>NC_000008.11:19254041-19557072 GCF_000001405.40 Homo sapiens | reverse complement strand
AGCATTTTAGAATATGTTCCCAAGATTGAATTTTGCTTTTCTTCTCTGAAGGATGTTCCAGTTGAGGTTGAAGACTTTTTTTTTTTTTTTTGGCTGGGCAGAGAGTATGATCCTTCTCATCTGCAGTGGTGTGGTTTGTTTATAGCACACCTGCCTACAGGTGTCTCTAACTTTGTATCTGATTTACTTTAAATGTCTACACCGGGTTCAATTTTAGTTTACATCTGGAAACTTCATCCTGTTGTACTTTAATGTCTGTTGACCTGAAAATTGCTAGGTCTTTCTGAGATTAAATTTGCTTCAAGATACATGGTGCATTAATATGACTCTGGAAGCTCTGGGTGTTGGCACTGGAGAAATTATCCTAGGAGAGAAAAAAAAAAGGAGAATCTATTATAGCTTGTGCCTGCTTGCAGCAGATAGAAGCTTGCATACAGAACAGTCCCAATAATGCTGTGTTCTGATTGTGCCAACTCATTAAATTGACTAGAGCACAACACTATTGGTCAGCAGTCTTGGTTGCCGTGGTGCCGTGACACTGAATATTGACTCTGAATTGATGCCAAAGCCAAATCCATTGGATTTCATTATCACTGATTGTCATCCATTATTTCCCCCTTTAAAATAAAAGGAACAGATGTTAAAGTAGGATTTTGTTCCATAATAAAATCATCTTTTTTTTTTTTTTCTTTTGAGAGATGGAGTTTCACTCTTGTTGCCTAGGCTGGAGTGCAAATGGTGCAATTTCGGCTCACTGCAACCTCTGCCTCCTAGGTTCAAGCGATTCTCCTGCCTCAGCCTCCCGAGTAGCTGGGATTACAGGCATACACCACCATGCCCAGCTAACTTTTTGTATTTTTAGTAGAGACAGTGTTTCACCACGTTGGTCATGTTGGTCTTTTCCTGACCTCAGGTAATCCGCCCACCTCAGCCTCCCACAGTGTTGGGATTACAGGCATGAACCACCCTGCCCGGCCAAAATCATCCTTTTTATGTTGTTTGTTAATGCAAATGTTGCTTGCGCTTGTCATCACAACTTTCAGTGTTATCGTTCTTATCTTCGAGGGTAAAAAAACACACCACAGAATGCCGGTTCCTGATGGCTGTTTTAAAAATGGGACTCGAGAAGCCAAATAAAGAGGATCATTTTACTTCTTCAGTTTCTGTGACTGTGCTGAGTTACCAAGGGGATGAATGTGTGGAGTTGGGGTGTTTCCACGGAGTTGCATTTCAGTCACTCACATACCAGGCTGAATATTTCCCACAAGACAAGCATGCTATATTTTTAGGCACAGGCAATTAAGGTGACGATAGATTTCATTTTATAAGCAATTGTGAGTAGAAATAGATCTCAATAATCCTGGAACCTAACCACCCGTAACATGCTAAGTGAAGTCTGAAGATGTATAGTTGGGAGCAATAAACAGCATTGTAACCACAGAGATGTGCTTTGATGCTCACAGGTGTTTCCAGTTGAGCCAGTGTCAAGTTCTTGTTTTTTTGTTTGTTTATTTTTTTCTAAATATATCGGAATTATGCTTCAGTGTATTGGATATGCTTCAAATAGGTCAGAAAGTACTATGGGAAGCACGTGAAATCTCGAAAAGTTTGGGAGTTATAGCCCTTTAAAGTGGACCTCTCTTACTGCATCTGATAGTTTGTCATTTTCTTTCTTCAAACTCTACCTCCTTCGCCTGCATCACAACAAACATTCCTGGTTCTCTTTTGTAGGCAGTTGCCTCCATTTGATATTGATGGTCCCCCTTAGAGAGCTGCTTTTAACTCCTATAACTGACCCTTCTTTTTCTTTTCTTTTCTTTTTTTTAATTTTTTTGAAACAGAGTCTTGCTCTGTCACCCAGGCTGGAGTGCAATGGCGCGATCTCGGCTCATTTCAAACTCTGCCTCCTGGGTTCAAGCTATTTTCCTGCCTCAGCCTCCTGACTAGTGGGAACTACAGGCGCTCAGCACCACGCCCGGCTAATTTTTGTATTTTTAGTAGAGACAAGGTTTCACCATGTTGGCTAGGATGGTCTCGATCTCCTGACCACGTGATTCACCCCCGCTCGGCGTCCCTAAATGCTGGGATTACAGGCATGAGCCACCACGCCCGGCTCATTTCTTTCTTTCTTCTTTTCTTTCCTTTATCTTTTTTTGAGACAGAGTCTCCCTCTGTCACCCAGGCTGCAATGCAGTGGCGGGATCTTGGCTCACTGCAACTGCCGCCTCCCAGGTTCAAGTGATTATCCTGTCTCAGCCTCCTGAGTAGCTGGGACTACAGGTGTGTGCCACCACACCCAGCTAATTTTTGTATTTTTAGTAGAGACGGGGTTTCACCATGTAGGGCAGGCTGGTCTTGAACTCCTGACCTCAGGTGATTCACTGGCCTCAGCCTCCCAAAGTGCTGGAATTTTAGGCATGAGCCACTGCATCCAGCCTATATAACTGCCTTTTCTGATGTTATCATTGTATCTGAAAATTTTATGCTTACAGTTATTTCCTGGTATATCAGTTTTGGAAACTGTCAGTTTGCTCAATATGGTTGCATCGCATTTTTAGTTCCTCTATTTAAGTAACTTAATAGTATATTTCTATTTTATATCTTCCTTCATTACCCAGAGGTGGCATCACTTGGTCCCTGACTTAGAAGGTGAGGATCTTGGCCCTGCATTATTTCCTGTAGCTCCTCTCACCGTCTGCCTCTGTTATGTGTACCTGACTCTCCAGGTACCAAAAATGATAACACCGATTTGATAAGTTAACCAACTTATTTTCCTTCAGAGCTTTGAAGACATTGCTCCATTGACTTTTGATGTGCAGTGTTGCTGATGATAAATCTGTTACCAGTCCACTCTCCTTCCCTTGCAGATAACTTGTACTTTTTCTTTGGAACCCTTTAGGATATTGTTTTTTTCTTTTGAGTTCTGAAATTTCCCTGTATTATGTTCAGCTGTGGGCTTTGTTTTTTCATTCGTTCTCTATTATTCTCTTACTAATTTTCTCTCATTTTTCTTCTTCACTTTTTCTGGGGCTCCAACTGGATGTTGAACAATGGACAAACTGGAAATTAGATGGTTATCTTTTCTTATTTTTCTCTATTCTGAAAGATATCTTCAGGTTTATCTTCCAAGCTTTTATTGATTCTGGGTGTGTGTGTGTGTGTGTGTGTGTTCTACGAGTTCTTTCTTGTTCGGTGATTATTTTCCTCATGACATTCTGTACTTATTTTGTCAATGCAATGTTTTCTCAGCTCTCTGAGAACAATAATTACATTTCAGAAACCTCTTATTTCCTTTGACCTTTCTATTATCTTTGGGGTCCCATTTGTTTCTCTTTTACATTGAAATTTAAAATCCCTCACTGGTTTTGTGCCTTAATCATCCTTGGGTGTCTGCTCATTCATAAGAAGTAATAGAAAGGCTGACATATTTTTTTATATATATATATATATATGTATTTATATACATAAATGTATTTTTATATATATATATGGTTTGAGCTTTTTGTATATAAATGGTTTAAGCTTTTTGTATATAAATTGTTTGAGCTTTTTGACTGGCAGGCTTTGTTTTGAGTGATAGGAGTTTGGGATAGGCGAGAGAAGCTCTTGCATTTTGGGCCTCCCAAATGCCAGAAGATAGAGTGCTTTCTTATCAGGTACTGATTCCCCACTCACAGGCATTTAGTGAAATTTTGGTTCACTCATATTGGAAGAAGCCACATTTTTGCCCCTCTGTCTTGCCTTTTAGTTCCTTTAGGGTACCATTTAATAAACAGAAGGTTTTTTTCAATTTTATTTTAGTGTGGTTCAGTGGACCAATCTTTGGGGTTAGTGCTTTTTCTGTCTTGTTTAGGGAATCTCTTTTTAACCTGAGGTCATGAAGGTATTATCTTACACTTGTTTTTAGAAATGTTGTTTTGTTTCTCACATAGAGGTCTTCTGTCTGTCTGGAATTGATTCTTGTGTGAGGCCAGGCTCAAATTTCTGTACTAAAAACAAATGGGCACAAAACTATATTTCTTTAACAAAAACGATAACATAAAAATCAAATGCACAGTGGAGGCAGACGTCATGTGCTTGAGCCTTCCTTATGTTCTCCAGGGTGTGTCTTCCATGTATCCTGAGCACAGTCTTCCCTGCCTCTGTTTTTCCCCAGGGCCTCTCATCAGCCACTCTCCTGTTCTTAGTACGTTTTTGAAGGAGTACCTGTTTGCAGTTCACTTGGGAGGGTGAATGGGAAAGGAAAAGTTCTTTACATTCTGTTCTTATAAGCATTCTGTTTAGCTACAGTTAGACTTTCTTTTCATGACACTTTTTACACAAGGAAACTAATACTTTTTAACAGTGCAATCTGTTGCAAAGAAAAATTGAAAACATCAGCAATACAAATTTTCATCTCAGTATTGAAGTGCCATCCACATTTTGAATGTCGTCATGTTTTTAATGTATAAAAAGTCCATCTTTAATTTCCCTGAAAAGTGATGGGAGCTTGCAAGTATGTATCTTGAAACTGAGCTGAGCTTGCTTTAAAAGTCATCTTTCTTATCCATAGAAGGATGTTTCTATTAGACAAAAAAAAGAAACTTGGTCTCGGAGTGATAATTTTCTGCATGCAGGTCTGTTGGAAGGGAAAAATGCAGCTGGAAGGAATTGAGTTGTCAAATTAGCATTTTACCTTTAAGGAGTGGCCCATTTTCACTTTTAATATTATTCCAGAAAAGAAAACTCTACACCCTCTTCTGGTAATATTTAATATACTTCACTGTAAGTAAATTTTCCTTATGTGATATCTTAAGTCCACTTTCTTACTGTGTTTGAAATGGAAACAGAGAAATTAGGCCAACCATCTTGTGTCTATAATAATTCTTCATCTACTCAATGGCCATTATTAAATCCCTCATTAGTCTTCTTTTCATGGTATAATCTAATCTGTTTGTTTAGCTCTTTTAAGCCAGTTTCCAAATCCTCTAATTACTATTTTTTATCCCATCTGAAATCTCTCCATGTCATTTATAAATTATGATTTGTAGACTAAAAAATTGATGTAATTCTTTTGCCAGGGTATGATCCAGTGCTAGTTAACCTAAAGGAATGATACCCTATTTTAGAGAGTTATTCCAACCAAGACTTCTAACCTGAATTTTTTTCATGATGGAAAGATTTTTGAACTTACGGTTATATAGGACAATTGGAACACATTTGTTTATCTCTTTGTCCTCCTAAGACTACTGAACATGATAGGTAAAAAATAAGATATAAATTCCTAGGGACAAAGAAAATGTGACATGAGGCTTAGTGGGTGAGAATGTCAACAAATTTTTGGGAGATGGCAAGCAAATTGTTGAGTGGGAATTGGATTAGCAGAAGGGAGAGTACCGAAAGCCAAGTGCCCACTGGGAGGAAAGCCAACCCAAAGCAGATTGATTGGTGGTCAGAACTAGGAAAGCTTCAGACTTGGAACTGTAAGCAAACCAGACTGGATCTATTTGCTTGCACGCAATAGGAAGCCGAACGCTGAAGCATGGTTCTTCCAGGGAGAGAAGTTTATTGCCAGTGAACCGACAGGGAGACAGGAGGAAATGCTCTAATCTGTCTCACCCTACTGACTTTGCCACCCAATTGAGGGAGAGATTTTGCAAGTGGAGTTTCGGGTCTGCACAGAGATTGGCTTGAAGGGAAGGGGTTGGTAAGGGCCTTTGGGCATGTGCTGTTGTCCTGACATGCTTCATGGGCTGCTTGCTCAGAAAATGGTGGAATGAGCATGATCTGAAGGTGGAGTTTCCGGCTCTCTGAGGTCAAAGGTCACTCATCAATGAGCAAGTCTTTCCTACTCAGACTGCTGTCTGCCATGTTGGTTCCAGCTGGTGTCAGCCTGTTATCCGACTTTGTTGTAAATAAGGGAATTGTAACATACTCTTTTCTTCTTCAGTTGTTTTTTTCTTCATTGTTCTGCAAAACAAACTCTTGAAATTTTGCTGGTTAATAGCTTTTCTAACCCTGGGGCGTGGTTTCAGAACCACAAGCTCTGCCAGAAGACAGATGTGAAGGGTGAGGCCAAAACTGGTGATTGCTGGGAAGTCAGAATAAGGAGTAGTGGGAGCCCATTCTAACCACGTGTCTGGACAAATACCCTTGCAGGTATGTTTTCCAGAAGCCTTGGACTTGGAAACAGTAGATACAAATGAGAGTAGGGGTAAAGCATGCTAGAGAAAATAGGAGTTTTCTGTGAAAATCTGTATGGAATGGTGCTATCTTCCTTCTAAGCACCCAGAACTCTGACAATGGGGCTTATCTTCCACCATGCCAGGATTAGAGGATTCACATCTGAGAAAGACCAGTTGAAGACATTTGAAGGCCCCTGCCCCCCGAAATAAAATGGCTATGTCCTCACCCAGTGACATCACTTAAATGCACAGTTTTAGATTTCAGGGTAGACAGTGAAGGATCACTATACATTTGAGGATCGTCACCAAGATGAAGGAATGAGACCAAATAAATAAGCAGGAAAGACGTCTCAGAGGAAATAAGGGGAAAAGCGGGGAAGAAAAAAACTTCAAAAACCTATAATTGGTATTCTGTGAGACATTAGAGAAGATATTGCATCCATGAAAGAGGGCTTGGAAATGAGAAGCATGATGACAGAAATTAAAAATTCAGTGAGGAGTTGGACTGTGAATGAAATTGCCCAGAAAGTAGAATAAAAGCACAGAGATGGAAAACATGGCAGAGGAGGATACAAGAGGCTCACTTTAAGAAGTCCAAAATCTGTTTTTCTAATGAGTTTCACAGACAGGTGCAGTGCTGTACATCTGTTGTCCTGGCTGTTTGAGAAGCTGAGGTGGGAGAATTGCTTGAGCTCAGGAGTTTGAGGCCAGCCTGGGCAACACAACAAGACTCCTTCGCTTAAAAACAAAAACCTAAAAAAGCAAAGTTTCAGAAAGAGAATGAAGAAAATGCAGAAGAGACAACTACACAAAAATGCTACAGAATTGAAAAATATGAATTTCCATGTGGAAAGAGTACATTAAGTGCCCAGCACAATGAATGGAAGAAAAAAGACCAACTCCAGGACACATCTATTGAAGTCTGAATTAAAAACAAAAAGAGATTTCCCAAAAATGTTTAACAGAGAAAAGGTAGGTCGCATACAAAGGCTCAGCAAACATTCCAGCATCTGACTTCTTAGCAACAGTGGAACCTAGAAGAAATACAGCTGTACTTTCCAAATCTCAGGGAACATGATCACCAATCTGAAGCCTTTACCTGGTCAAACTGTCAGCCAAATGCAACGGTAGAATAGGGATATTTTCAGACAGAAATGCAAGGTCTCAAAAATTAGCCTCCTCTGCACCCTTTCTTGGGAAGTTTCTGGAGAAGGTGAGTGAATACGCCAAAAAAAAAAAAAAAAAAAAAAAAGTAGGAAATTGGGGAAAGTGAAGAAAGTTTCCTGATGGGGAGAAAAGGGGAAGTTTCAGGGTGACCTTTGAACATCACCTGTGTCAGGCCTGGAGAACAGGCTGTCTTGATTGGACCAGGGGATGAAGAGACCAGGAAGGATGGCCTGAGGAAAAAAACAAAAGAAATTGGAAAAAGTACCTAATTGTTTATCTATCAGTTTTCTAGTTCTGTGTTAGAGTGTGGGGAAAATTAATGTTAGATACATAGAGAAATCAACCAAATGAAAAATTGAAGCAGTTATTAATAGCAAGAAAAAACAAAAAGTTGTCTAAGAAAACTATAATGACAGTGCATCATTGGGCTTAGTTAGGAACAATATTTAAGACAAAATACTGTTATATAAATAGTATTATTGTTACTAAAAATTGTAATGGTTAAATTGATTGGATTTTCGAGGGGAGAGGATGGAGAGGAAAAGTGTGTTGAAAAAGTAAGAGAACTAAATCCTGATCTTCCACACTGGGATACCAATTGCTATTAAAAAAAAAAAGGATAAGCAGCTAGTCTTGCTGGCTTATGCGTGTAATCCCAGCAGTTTGAGAGGCTGAGGCAGGAGGACTACTTGATGTCAGGAGTTGGAGACCAACATGGGCAACATAGTGAGACACTATCTCTGTAAAATTTCAAAGAGTATAAGGCATGGTGGCATGCACCTGTAGTCTCAGCTACTTGGGAGGCTGAGGCAGGAGGATCGTTTGAGCCTGGGAGGCGGGAGCTGCAGTGAGCTGTGACTGCACCACTCTACTGTAGAAGGGCAAAAGGGCAAGGACCTCTCTCAAATAAAGGGATAAGCATGGCAGTTGAAGAACGTTACCTAAAATATGAAGATAAATACTAAAGAAAACAGCTAAAAGAGTTGAAAGTGTCTTTTGATCATTTGGACTCAGGGAAGTTGGAGAGGGCAAAAGGCTGCTATTTTTAATTGTCAGTCTTATAGTACCATTTGATTTTAAAATCATGTGCTTGATAAAAGTTAAAATAAATCCATGTATATAAAAGTATATTTACACATGTAAAATTTTAACATATTTCACAAAATGTTTTAAAAATAATATTTGAGAAAAACTAACAGCAGTGAGTTTTTGGAATATATTGAAAAGTAATCTATTGTTTAGTTTCATGTGAATAATGCATTTCACAAAATATTTTTTAAAAATAATACTTGAGAAAAACAGCAGTGAGTTTTTGGAATATATTGAAAAATAATCTATTTTTTAGTCTCATATGAATCATGAGTTTAGAGTCATGGTTGGTTTGATATTTGATATTGGAATTTGTCAGAGCTTTATTATTCACACTTACTGTCTAACTTAATTTTTAATATTAAGCAATTTTAGTGTCTAACTTTATTTTCAATATTAAGCATTAGAAAAAAGTGCCAGAATCATTAGAATTCAGATTTGCTATCCTTGAGGAAAATTCCAGTTGGACTGAAATGGGCAAGTTGCCTCTCCTCTCTTTAATAATTAGTGTTTGGCTGAAATATAATCCAAATTCAATATTTAGTTGAAACATTTAATACTTAATCCAATAATAGTCTACTTCCAGCTTTGGACATTTCCAGACTTTCAACCTCACAGAGTTAATGTGAGCGATGTTACATCACTCGTATGAATCACTTAATACAATGCCGGGAATATGGTGGGAACTTAGGAAAATGGCAGCTGCTCTCTCCTCTTTCCCATCAATAACTACCAACCCCCTGGCAACACACCCAAATCCCTCAGGGTCTGGCAGTGGCCATCTGGTCCTCATCACCTTTTATGTAAATGTTACTCTTTCTTTCACTTCTCAGTATTACTTGCTAGTAAGGAATTTATTGTACAAATCAGTGATCCATCTCCCTTTTTCCAAGTTTTTAACTATTATACTTGATATAAGTGAAAGTTTCTAGAGTATACTTTATTGTATTCTACGGTATTAGTCTGTTCTCACACTACTAATAAAGATATACCCGAGACTGGGTAATTTGTAAAGAAAGAGATTTAGTGGACTCACAGTTCCACATGGCTGGGAGGCCTCACAATCATGGTGAAAAGCTAAAGGCACGTCTTACATGGTGACAGGCAAGTGCAAAGAAACGAGAGCCAAGCGAAGGGGGAAACCCCTTACAAAACCACTAGATCTCGTGAGACTTATTCATTACCATGAGAACAGTATGGGGAAACCACCCCCATGATTCAGTTATCTCCCACTGGGTCTCTCCCACAAAACATGGGAATTAAGGGACCTACAATTCAAGATGAGAATTGAGTGAGGACACAGCCAAGCCATGTCATTCACAAAACACTGAAATGCATTCTGATTCCAGTTAGTTATCAGACTTGGACCATAGATGACCAGTTAGAGCTTTTACTTGTCACTTACTTGGCTGTGTGTTATATTACACCTCAAAAATACCAGCAAAGGAGGAGCAGACTTTTAACAAAACACTGCTGGCATTTTTGCTTTGTCCTGTGGCATCATGGAGCCCTTCGTGTCCTGGCCTTTTTTTCTTGCTGGAAAGACTGAGGATATCACTTTATATTTGTTATATTCTTGGGTATAGAAAACCCAGGAGAGTCTACTGTGAGACACTGGTAAGTTCTCAGACGGTGTTTCTGGAAAATCACTGTCAGGTATTTCTAGAGAAGACGCATCTGATGGATGATTCAGCTACTCTCAGCTCCCTCTGCGAAGAGCATCTTGACAGTGAAGAGATATTGTGAAGCCATAGGATCATTCTGCACCCTGAACCTTATGTGACACTGATCCGGGGACCTCAGTTGTGGTGGCAGGATCTGAGCTTGGTCTAGATTCAAACTCTGTAAAGAGGAGCCTTCCTAGTCACCTGTGTTTGCTTTTTAGGTTTCATCTGAGTTTGGAGGGGTTTCATATAGGTTTTTGTTTATTACATTTCTGTGCTAGTAGCAACAAGAATATTTATTGTACATTTCAGATATTCCCAAGAATGGGTAGGGGGAAGAAACAATATTCATGAGAATACTGACTTGGGAGAGTGGATGTGGCTGTGCAGCATCAGATGGTATTCCAAGTATTTATTTTCTAAATAATTTGATGCCACATTTGTTTAAGAAACTTGTAGTTAGCTTTGTGTTCCATCCTTAATTCTTAGTGATACTTCCCTATTTCATTGAAGAGTAGTGAGGCATAGTTATTTCAATGTTCTATTGAGGTCCATGACCACAAAGTCCTTAATATTCCAGAGAGGTTAATTACCACTTGATGATTATAGTAGGAATAAGATTGACAGATGGGTATTGTGTTGCCATTTTGGAGAAGGGAAAATAAAAGCCGTAATATTGAAGCACAGCCCTCTAGGCATATATGAAAGCCATGTTCAACTTACTTACAAAAACACGATTAATCATGTTTTATGTATTTATATACTTGACAGATAAATATCAGTGAATATGGAAATTGGGCAAAGCATACTAAAAATATATTCTGCTGAATTTATCTGCATATATCTATTTGTGCTATTGAATTGACTGTGTAAAATATATTGAGTCTTGTTTCCTTATAAAACTTCCTTCTTGTTTTAAGTGAAAAGGACTATTAAAATTTGATCTAATGGTATGACAACTGTATGACCTAAATTTTCTTGGGCTATCTGTGGAGGAATCACACACTATAACTATACATGCAGTTTGCAAATTGTGAGCTTTATTTTATTTTTTGTGCATTGTTTTGCTGTTTTAGAAAAATAAACTTATATATGTATACACATATAGCATATAACTTATATATAATATATAGTATATAACTATTATATATACATAATATATGTATACATATATTAATATATATAGATATATAATGTGTGTGTTTACAAATATATATATATATCCTTTTCTCAGCAGGTCTCATTAACGTCATCTAACTTTAGTTGCCTGGAGACTTGGGAGGAAAAGTTATAGTTTCGCATTAACCATTTCCTTACGTTTTTTCTCCCTTATTGTTTTACTACTTTATCTTTTTAGCATACTCATTCATTGACCCAGAGACATTTATTGAATGCATATTATGTTTGAAACACCATACTAGGCATTGAGGAGGAATAAAAATGTAAGACAGAGTCTTTGCTATCAGGACACTTGCCATCTGCTTTTTCATCTGACAGAAATCAATGATCATGTTTTATGCTTTTTCTACATCAGTTATTATCAAAGACAAAAGTTATAGGCATGAGGTGGCTTTGCCAAGATAAGTCTGCAGGAAAATTTTCCCCATCTCATTTTTCGTGAAAGGGTTATCTATGAATTTAAATGTTCAATTAAACGTTAATTGTTTTATAGAAAAATAATGATTTTTCTGGGATTTCATTCATCTCATTTCTGCTCAACCACAAGGACATCCTCATTTCACTACAGTAGGAGATACCAAGTATGGCAGCCACCTAACTGCTATGAACAGGCCTCCCTGGTGACAGGCAAGACTGGGTCAAGTCCAGAGATAGGATTTTAACAGTTTTATTGGAGGAAAATATATTTTCTAGCTTCCAGGGTGACATGGAGTGACTTCACTGTGCTTCAGAACAACTCCCAGGAGTCGCTGTGTCGTCGTGATTTATCCTGGTCTTTGGAGCTAAGTTATTGGAAAAAAAAAAAATGTCTGAAAGGATGGACTGACTGGCTTCTCCCCTGGTTCCCATTTTTTCTTTGAAAACTTCTCCTTTTTGAAAGGAAAGGAACTTCTGGTGTCCTGTGTGTAAACGATAGCCTCTTCCTTTGTTGTCTTCTTGGGGAACTTTTTTTATATCTCAGATACACAGCTTTTACTTGGAGAATGATGATGTCTGTATTTTTCCAGCAAGATAAATGAAAATTGGACCAATTATGCAGTTAAAACTGTACAAAAGAATCATTTAAACTTACAGCTACTAGAGGTTTATTAATTCACCCCTGGAATTTAGCATAGCTAAGCTCAGCATAGGTATGGGGCCCTGTTCCACATTACTTTAAGAATTATAACAAAATATTTGGATAAGGCAGTTTCAAATCCTCTCCAGAATTCTGAACACCAGAGAGGTTAAAAAGCAAAAGGGTCATTCAATCAGGTGGATATCTGTTCGGAGTTATCTTTGGTTTCATTTAATGGACTTTTCAAGTAGTTAAAGAAAACACACGAAATTGTTAGCTTTTTCCTTCAGCATTGGAGAAAAAAATAAAAATGTCATACTCTTAAACATCTAAGTTTCATGTTTAGTATGTTCAGTATTTCAATAATAAAAGTTATTCATTGATTTGTTCCCAATGTCTTTTAAACTACATAGATATTTTTAAATAGTAGAGATTAGTTCTATTAAATTATATTTCCTTAAGATTGGATTAGAGAAAGAAAACTGTGGTCTCAGTGGTGGTGGCACATATTCCAGCTGTCTGCTCAGTTTTATTTTGTTGCCTCTGGCAAGGAACAGATTTGTTATTCAGGCTCTGTCTAAATCTATAGTTTGACAGCCATGTCCTTGTGGTCACCAAACTATTCTTTTCCCATAAACTAAACAGCAGCAAAACAACTTGTTTAAAAAAAAAAAAAAGTTATGTCCCCACAATAGAAAACCCATTACATTAGCAGCATCAGGCTATGATGTATTTCGTGAGGGAAGAACAAGTGTCTTTATGTCTCTCTCCTAAAACTCTAAGCTGATCAGGAAGAATTTAATACTGGCACCGTCTTTTCCTCTTTAGAAAAATTAACAAATGTTAATGATCGACTGGTAAAAGGTCGTATTTTGTTTTTGGACTTGTTTCAGGGGTCCCCAAGGCCATCTACATTTTGAGTCCTACTAGGAGGACTCAGGATCAGCATTTAGTTGCACTTACAGTTATTATTAATTGCAGTGAAATAGCAAGAATGCATACAGTGTCACCAAGGGAAAAAGAGATGAGTGTAGTCTGGAGGAATCCATGTATAGCTTCCTGTGCACTGTACATGAAAGGCTACATAAAGAGTGCACCTTCCCCAGCTGGGAAACATGCAGCCACATGTATGCAGTTTCTGCCTGTGGAACCCCACTGGAGACTGTGAGTTTAGGGTTCATATTAGGAAGATAGTCACTTAGGCATTCTCTGTGTAGCAACCCCTGCCAAATACCAGGCTCTCAGAAAGAAAGTAGGGGCTCACTGTAAATCACAGTTTCTACAAACAGTCTAGGCACAGCAAAACAACCTTATCAGTTAGAGAACTCTTCACATACGTATAGAGAACTTTTTACAAGCCCCGTTCCCAGACATTGTCAAGGGCGGATCTTGCAGGACTTTCTAAGGAAAGCCTCAGGCGTGCTATGTTAACACTTTCCTGCACAGAACTGCAATTCATCTTGGTAAACAGTTTGCAAAAATACACTGAACCTGAAGTATAGGATGGGGGAGGGCAATGTGATCATTTCTCTGAGCTATCAAGATTAGGCTTCACATTTGATAAGGGCATCTGGAGCTGAAAATGATAGTATCTGGGGATTCTGTATATAATATACATCTAGTTTTGAAAACTCCGTGAGCCTAGTATTTGTTAGTTATAACTCAGTCATAATCTGGGTTATATTTTGCATATGTAACTGACTGCTTCCAAAGTTATGACTTAGGTTTCATACAATTTAAATTGAGTCTTACTGTTGGTAGCTTAGTCTAGACCATGCTCTCTGCTTGTTGATAGCTCATACCTCTCTGATATTTCATTATTGAAGTAGGAAAACCCAAATGAATTTATCAGGAAACAATTGGAATCTACAGAAGGGCTTCTTAAAATGCTTACAATGTTACTTTCATAAAATTAACCCCACTGCTTTAGAGCCATTTATGCCGTTAAAACAACTTATGAATTATGTTTTCTTCTTGTTTTGTTTTGCGTGACAGCTATCCTAAAAAAAAATGATGGGGTTTTGGATAGATGAATTAATAAAAATGATTAGATAATGAAGAGATGGCTGGCAGAAGTGGCCGCCTATTTACCTTCCTACTAGGAGTCAAATGTGTTTTGCATCTCTACACAGATTCTTAAAACTCCCCCATAGAAATTAATCATCATCTCTTGTTTTGGTAACTCCATTAGGATTTCTCAGGGTGTCACTCAGAACCTGGGAGGTTGAAAAGAGTCGGGGCAGCAGGCGCTTGTGCAGGAAAGGAGAAAAATAGACCGAGGGCTCTGGGACTGGGAGACTGTCACATGGAACCCCACTATGGAGCCTCTTGTTTAAAATATTTAATGATTCCTTTGCCGCTAATACTGTTCCAGTCTTCTGTGAAATAAACATTCTTCCCTTCTTATTATGGCTTAAGTGACACAGTCCTGGTTTGACGGACAGTGTTTTCTTTATAGGGAATTTCAATGGCTTTCCTTTGAGCTTAACTAACAGGCTTCAGTGAATAATAACCCTGTGTGTGTGTGTGTGTGTGTGTGTGTGTGTGTGTGTTTCTTGTGCTGTCTCTCTTCTTTCTTTAGTACTTGGAATGAAATTTTGTCTAAATCAAGGAGCTCACAGAAGAAAGCATTTGGAAAACAATTCCTTGTCATTTATTCTTTTTGCTTCCATCAAGAACTAGACAATCTCCTTGGTTAGAGAATATTTTTTATCATAAGATCTATCCATGCCAAAGTTTTCTCTTCTTTTGTGTAAACACATCTTGCCTCCATTCCAGTATTTGGTGATAACTGAAGACCTTTTCTGTGAAATGTTATGAGATTCAAATAAGAACTGCCAGGAGCAATATTTGACATGATCCTACAGGGATTTTTATTTAACAGTGGCCCTTCATTCTTCTATTGCACACAGTTATTTTAAGAATAGGAAAATAGAAACATTGAAGAATTACATGTTTTATTACAAAATACATTTATTAAGATAAACACTGAAAGCTTACAAAAGCCAAACTAACAATAGTAAAAATTACTTAATAAAGAATGTATCAGCCAGGCCAGGTGCAGTGGCTCAGGCCTGTAATCCCAGGACTTTTGGAGGCCAACACAGGGTGCATCACCTGAGGTCAGGAGCTGGAGACCTGCCTGGCCAATGTGGTGAATTCCTGTCTCTACTAAAAAAAAAAAAAAAAAAAAAAAAAATTGGCTGAGCACGGTGGCTCACACCTGTAATCCCAGCACTTTGGGAGGCTGAGGCAGGCGGATCATGAGGTCAGGAGATCGAGACCATCCTGGCTAACATAGTGAAACCCCATCTCTACTAAAAATACAAAAAAAATTAGCCGGGTGTGGTGGCAAGTGCCTGTAGTCCCACCTGCTCGGGAGGCTGAGGCAGGAGAATGGCATGAACCCAGGAGGCAGAGCTTGCAGTGAGCCGAGATCACGCCAGTGCACTCCAGCCTAGGTGACTAAGCAAGACTCCGTCTCAAAAAAAAAAAAAAAAAAAAAATTAGCCAAGTTTGGTGGCATGTGCCTGTGGTTCCAGCTACTTGGGAGGCTGAGGCTAGAGTTTCTCCCTTACCTGGGAGGCAAAGGTTGCAGTGAGCTGCGATCATGCCACTGCATTCTAGCCTGGGGGACACAGCAAGACTCCATTAAAAAAAAAAATTATCACCCAGAGAAAATACATTAGTATAATTTTGCCACATGCATCATGAGCATAATTTATAGTGAAGGTGATAAAGAGTTAAGATGTCATTCTTTCTTTAAATGACCTACAGTCTGGGGACAGGGTAGGGGCTTGGAGAGTGTTGAGAGAACTGGCAGCTATAGCTCAGTGGAGGAGTGCTACCTCAGGGCATTTAACCTAGACTCACATGAGTCATCCTGGCAGGTGACATCCATGCTGATACTGAAGGATGTATGGGGATTATTCCAGCAAAGGGAGAAAGATGATCCGGTGGAGGGAGAGGAAAGGCTTCCTGGGCAAAGGGAGCAGGGTGAACAAAGCTCTCCAGGCAAGAAGACAGCGTGACCCATTGAGAAATCCACAGCATATAGCACTGTGGCTGAAGCGTAGAATCTAGGACGTAAGGGCTGAGAGTTGAGGCAGGAGAAGGAAGTAGAGATCAGATCACAAAGAACCTGGCCCACCACATTAAGACATTTGAAATTTTTCCTTATGTTGCTTTTCCTTCCAGTCTCTTACTGATACATAAGGGTCTCTGCTAAGTTATAATCCCAGTGCAAGCATTTATTCAAAACAAGTGTTTATAAGCAGATACTGTGTGTCAGAAACTGTGAACTCAAATTTTAGTCACTTTTGTATCCACACAGTGAGCCGATGGGGTACGAATCCAGGGAGCAAGAGGAGGGGTGTAGAAGACCTACTTTATAATCCCGACCCAGGTAACACTAAAGAATAAATACTGTTTTCCATGTTACCATGCAGTCCCTTTAATAGCCTTTTTAACGTCTGCATGATAATTCAGCAGACAGAAGGGGCATAATTAACTGGATAGGACATGATGTTCTGGTCACGTATTTAGGTCATTAGACTATTTTGGAAGCAAGGAAACAATTCCAAAATAATATGAAGCACTGGGGTATTGTAAAACACATGCCATGGGAATAGCCATTTTTTTCAGGATTAGGGACAACTGGAATGATGTTGTTTAGCGTTAGGAATTCATGATCTTTAGTCTTTTGTGGCTCTGCTACTCTCTCTGTGTCTTTGGGTAACCTCCACTAACTAGTTGACTAGTTCTCTCAGTATTTCTTCTTTCAAGAGGGAGGAGTCTGATGGAGCCAGCTACTCACCCCAACTCCTCTCAGGCAGAACTTTCTTTCCAGGCTACCTCATAGGTATCTCCCCTCCTGTCCCCCTCCCTCCAAGGCCATGTCACTGCCCATCTGTGTTTAATAGCCTAGAACTCCCCTCAGCAGGGGTGTAGGAGGGGCATCGCCTCTGGAAGGGGGTGGAGAATCACAGTCAATGTGGCCAACATTTTTAGTGTCACTTGTTTCCATTTTTTTCTCAAGGATAAATATTGCTGTGTCACATATCACTGTGCATACTCCTGTTGTGGCCTGACAGTGCAGTATTTAGTAGGACTGCCACCTCCTTTAATCTGGAAAGTATACATTTATCAGGACAGTCTTGGTTGCATTATATTGCTTGGCTCTTTTTCTACTTAACAATTCTCCTGATATTCATGACTTTCAGAGAAGCCTTGCTTTAAATTCCCTTCCAGTCAAAAACGTACTTATTCAGTGCTTTCTATATGCCAGGCCCTGTGCTGAGGACAGAGGTTACGGTAGAATATAGGACTTGGAAGATCCCTGTTCTAATGGACTTAGCTTTCTTGAAGGGAAGGCAGATAATAAATAAGAACATTAATAAGATTAATTTCAGATAGTTTCTTTCTATGAAGGTCAAAAGGTACACACTTGTAGTTATGTAGAATGAGCAAATTTGGATATCTAATACATATGAGGACTACAGTTGATGATATTGTGTACTGCAAGTTTGCTAAGGGTGTAGATGTTAGGGATTCCTAACCACACACACACACAACCCACTGACTCTGTGAGGTGTGTAAATTTGCTTGACTATAGTAATCATTTCACTTGGTATATGTATATCAAAACATCAAGCTGTACATGTTAAATATATACACTAAAAATATAAAAAGAAAATATAACAAAATGTGATACAGAGTGTCTGGTGGTGAAGTTGTAGTTTCTCCTGTATGCCCAGCACAAGGTCTTTTGGGAGAAACCATCTCAGCTGACACCTAACAGAAGAGAAGGAGCCAGGAGGGACAACATCTCAGGATGAGCGGTCCAGGCAGAGCAAATGGACACACACTAGCTCAGCGGCAAGGTTGACCTTGGTAGGCTCAGTGAGGAGACACAGAGTCTGGGGGCAGGGGTATCTAGGAAGCAACGGAACCAGGATAGGAGGCCTACTTTATAACCTTGACCCAGATGTGCAGAGTGAAGTCCACAAATCCTGCTGTTTCAATTGATCTTCCAGCCATCTCCAGCTTGTCTTGCCCAAAGTATAAGTCATGGCTGTTTCTTCCCAGCCTGTACCTCCCCCGGTCTCCCTCAGTTCAAGAAACTAAACCTTTATGCACCGAATGTTGGCTGATGTTATCCTGAAGGCCTCCTCCTTCTCACTTCCCCATGCAAATTACCCAGTCCTTTAATCCTGCGTTCGACATGAGGTCAGGTTCATACATTGCTCTCTACTTTTGTTGCCCCCATTCTCATTCCAATTACAAGTATCTTTTGCCTGCATCATTGCTTTGGCCTCCTAGCTGATTTTCTACCACAGTGAAATGTCTGTTCATGTCTTCTGCCCATTTTCTAATTATATGACTTTTTTTTTATGTTGTTGAATCTTGAGGGTTTTTATTTTTCCCTTTTCAGACAGGATCTTGCTCTGTCACACAGGATGGAGTACAATCATAGCTCACTACAGCCTCCAACTCCTAGGCTCAAGCAATCTTCCTGCCTCAGCCTTTCAAGTAGCTAGGGGACTACAGGCACATGCCACCATGCCTGGCTCACTTTTATTTTCTCTTTTTCATTTTTTGTAGCAGTATCATCTTGCTTTGTTGCCCAGGCTGATCTTGAACTCCTGGCCTCAAGCATCCTCCTGCCTCAGCCTCCCAAAACACTGGGATTAGAGGTATGAGCCACTGCACTCCACCAAGTGTTCTTTATATCTGACTAAAGGTTGGTGCTAGTCCTTTGTTAGATACATAGTTGGCAAATATTTTCCCCAGTCCATAGCTTATCTTTTCATTATCTTAACAAAGAATTTTGCAGAGCAAAAGTTTTTAATGAAGTCCAATGTATGTTTCTTTGATAGTTCTTATGCTTTTGGTGTCAAGTCAAATAGTACTTTGTCTACTCTTAGATCTCAAAGATTTTGTCCTATGTTTTTTCCTAAAAGTTTTAAAAGTTTAATCTCTTACATTTAACTCTGGGATGCATTTTAATTTTTGTATGAGGTGTGAGACTTAGGTTGATGTTCCTTTTTCTTTTGTTTGCTTATGGATTTGTCAACTGAAGGATCACTGGGTTTATAAATTTGGAAAGGGGAGCTTTATTTCGCATAAAGGGTTGCAGCCTGCAGGCTTCCCATCCTGTAGGCTTGGAAGGGTAGTCTCTGGCAGAAGCCAAAAGCAGACACTTTGAGTGAGGGGTAAAGGGAACAGGAATTTATGCTGAGTGGGGTGGTCAAATGTACATATTGAATAATAAGTCATGAATATTTATGAAAGGAGAAAGAAGCAATTGAGATTTATGCCTCTTCAAGGTTCACATGCTTTAAAAAATGGCAGCCTTACCATAATCGAAGGGTGGAGTTTTCAGCCCTCTGAAGCCACGAAGACCGTTTACTGCACACCCTCTGTGAGTCAGACAAACTGGCTTAGAGACTGACATTTTAGGAGGGGGATGAATTGTGGAACTGGTGAGCTGTCCCATCAAAACTGCAAAGAAGGAGGGGGAGTGTAGTTACAGCCTCAAATGATTGGCTCAAGGTAATAAAGAAACAAATTAACCATTTCTTGTTTTCCAGAGCTAGTTTCTGCTTACTCATGAGGAAAGAATTCTGCTTAAAGGTTAATAAGGAAGGGACATACTGAGGTGTGTCTGACCTCCCTTGCTGTCATGGCTAGGAACTCAGATTTTTAAGGTTTCTCTGGGATCCCATTGGCCAAGAGGAGATCAGTTTGTCGGTTGGAGGGGGATTTAGGATTTTATTTTTGATTCTCAGATTGGATATTCACTTGCTCCAGAACCAGCACCATTTGTTGAAAAGGCTGTTTACCCCCGTTGAATTACTTCTGTACCTTTGTGAAAAAGCAGTTGGACGTAGCAGTTGTACCTATTTCTGGGTTCTCTATTCTACTTTGTTGTTCTGTATATCTATCTCTCTGCCACTACTTCTGCCAGTCTCAACTGCTGTAGCTGTATAATAATTCTTGAAACTAGTAGACTGATTTCTCCCACTTCATTTTTCTTTTTGAAATTATTTGCTGTTCTAGCTCTTTTGCTTTCTTACGTAGATTCTATAATCTTCATATGTACAAAGCAATCTTGCTGAGATTTTTTATAGGAGTTATATTAAATTTATATATCAATTTGAAGAGAATTTATTTCCTGTTGAGTCATGTAACTCCTGATTACATTTTCCAATCCATGCATCTATTCATTTAGATTTTTAAATTTTCATCTGTGTCTTGTAGTTTTCAGCACATAAGGCATGTACATATCTTGTTAGATTTATACCTAAGTATTTAAATTTTTTTTAGTGATTATAAATGCTCTTGTATTTTTAATTTCAGTGTCCATATGTTGATTGCTATGTGTGGAGATGCATTTGTTTTTTTTAACATTTTTTACAAAATTTTGAAGTTCAGAGCAAAATGAAGAAGGTACAAAGATTTTCCATATACCCCTTGCCTTTACGCATGTGTAGCCTCCCCTGTTAACAACATTCCCAACCAGAGTGATATATTTGTTAAATTGATGAATCTACATTTTACATCATCATCACCCAAAGTTTATAGTTTACATTATGCAATTAAGTGTCATATATTGATCTTATATCCTTTGTTCCTGCTGGACTCACTCACTTACTCAAGGAGTTTTTTGTAGATTACTTGGCATTGCCTATATAGATCATGTCTTCTGCAAAAATGGACAGTTTTACTTCTTCCTTTCTAATCTGTATGCCTTTTCTTTTTCTTCACTTGCATTGGCTAGAACTTCCAGTACTAGATCTATCAAAAGTTGTGAAAATTAACATCCTTGCTTTGTTCCCAGTCTGAAAGGAATGTATTTAGTATTTCACCATTAAGTATAATGTTAGTTGTAGGTTTATTGTAGATATTCCTTATCCAGTGGAGGAAATTCCCTCTATTCTTGCTTTTCTGAGAGTTTTAAATTGTGAATGGATGTTGAAGTTTTTCAAATGTTTTTTGACATCAGTTGATAAGATCATGTGATTTTTTTCCTTCTATGGCTTGCTAATATGGTGTATTACATCAGATTAAATGGATGGGTTCAATTCATCATCTTACAATCAGAATCATATTTAGTTTTTAAATTTCTGAAAATTGACTTGGAGCACTACCTGAATTGGTTGATCATTGTTTAAATGATTTTAAATATTCAAAGTTTTATTGTTATTAATGGACATTTAATTGAACTAGTGATTTTGAGAACTAG
Source organism: Homo sapiens (assembly GCF_000001405.40). Classification (NCBI taxonomy): domain Eukaryota; kingdom Metazoa; phylum Chordata; class Mammalia; order Primates; family Hominidae; genus Homo; species Homo sapiens. The sequence goes on along the minus strand of NC_000008.11, from coordinate 19,535,505 downwards.
TTTATATAAGTGTATTTTGTCTAAACCCTCCAGTCAGGAGAGTTCAACTGGTAAATCACCCCTTATAGAGAGATCCTTTTAAAATAGTCATCAACTTTTAACTAATTTTTCACTGCTCTTTTGGAGTAGAAGTTGTTAATGGCTAAGTTATCTTGAGCCGTTAGTTTTAGAAATAGCTTAAGGGACATCTTGGATGATGAATCCTTCTTTGAGGTGCTAGAAGAACACGCTGAAATTTTCAGGCTTCTAGAGAGCCAGATTTCATAAAATTAAACATAGGAAATAATATTTCTTTTCTATTTTTTTTTCAAATGTTGTCATTTATATGTCAGTAGCAGGCACAGGGATGATAATTTGGAAATAGGTTTAAAATGTTTAAATGTGTTAGGAACCTATTTCTTCACATTCTTTCTCTCAGCACAGATGGTTTTAAGCCTTTGCTTTTCTTTCCAAATACTCCCTGATACTCACTGCTAACTCTGTCTTTTTATTTACTTCAACCTGGCAACATCTTTTGGTGGTGTCAGCCACCACATATATTTCGGCAGTGGTCAGGGATTTGAAGCTTCTTCTGGGAGGAAATATGGCGAAGTGCAATGGATAGACACAAAATATATGGTTATAATCACCAAGGCTGTTTGGATTACAAACTCCCCACTTGACTTGAAGAAAAAAGATTGCCAAATGCAAGATTAGTTCTAACAAACTGCTTATGACGATTATTTTATTTCTTCTAGGCATTTTTACGCCTCTTTAAACTGTCATTCACTGAGCATTTTAGACGTGTGTGAGAGAGTTTAGGTCACTTGGGGCTTTCTCGTTTCTGATTCGGTTTTCGATTCCCGTCTGCTTTTAGTCATGCCAAGAAATAGTTCTTGGTGGATTTCATTTAATTTTCCCTGGCCCCTGGCTGAATGGTACCTGCAGGGTCATGATTGGTGTGTTTTCCCCACTTGTGCACCACCATCTACAGCAATGCAGCCGATGGGTGTCCGATTCCCCAGGAATCTGCTTCTTGATTAAATAAGTACTCTTACACAGATTTTTTTTTTCTTGAGATGGAGTCTCACTCTGTCACTCAGGCTAGAGTGCAGTAGTGGGATCTCAGCTCACTGCAGCCTCTGCCTCCTGGGTTCAAGCTATTCTGCTGCCTCAGCCTCCTGAGTAGCTGGTACTAAAGGCACCTGCCACACCTGGCTAATTTCTGTATTTTTTTGGTAGAGATGAGGTGTCACAGTGTTGGCCAGGCTAGTCTCGAACTCCTGACCTGAAGTGATCCACATGCCTTGGCCTCCCAAAGTGCTGGAATTACAGATGTGAACCACCACACCCGGCCTCATATGCAACTTAATATTACATTGAACTATGAACTTGCTAACATCAAGTATTCTTTCAAACTTTATACTATTTGTCACACATCACTGAATATATTTTTAATATTATACTTATTTTAAATTTAGATTTTGAAAGGAAATAAGACCAAATTCTGCATCTGAGTACCTCAGAACAATTGATTTGGCATGGGGGGAAGGTAGGGAGAGACATGCCAAAAAATCTGGGGAGATTATTTTGGTGTAATAGTAAAGATTCTCTTTTTCTTCCCCTCATGGTTTTAAACATCTTATTATTTTGACCCTTTTAAAAAATCTAAGCTTTGTTTTCCATGTATTCCCAATTAGACTGCATATGTTTTGGAGAAAAAGAACTGTAAAAAGCTCTTCTATATGCCTACAGCAATGAGCATTATGATCAGTATATTATGGGAGCTCAACATACTGAAACTAAGCGTTATTCTGCATTGTCGATGCTGTTAATACACAGAAAGAGGAAGAGCCATTCCTTGCTCTCAAAGAGCTTACAGCCTATTAGGAGGATGTGAAGTACATGAAAAGATATGATCAAAAATATTCTATATGAGCCATAGAAAGGTTAAACTCTAGTGCTTGAAGACCAAGCAGGATAGAAGGTACACTAGCGAAGAAAATCTTCATGAACCATTTGATATTGATAAGTCTTGGAAGAGTAGGATTTGGAAAAGCATAAATTAAAAATAGGGAAATTAAATTAAATTAGGATAAATTAAAAATAGGGACTCATGGCTTATGACTGTAATCCTAATGCTTTGGGAGGCCAGGGCAGGAGGATCACTTGAGGCCAGGAGTTTGAGACCAGCCTGGGCAACATAGCAAGACCCCATCTCTATAAAAATAAAAATAAAAAAATTAGCTAGGTGTGGTGGTATGTACCTGTAGGTCTAGCTACTCAAGAGGCTGAAGTGAGAGGATCGCTTGATCCCAAAAGTTTGAGGCTGTGGTGAGCTATGACATCGTCACCACACTCCAGCCTGGGTGACAGAGGGAGACCTTGTCTCTCAAAAACAAAAACAAAAACAAAAACGTCAAACTGCTTTAAGACTAAACAGGATAGAATATACAGTAGAAAAGAAAAGCTTCATGAAAAGTTTGACATTTAATATTTAAGATAAGTCTTAAGGAGCAGAATTAGGAAAGGAAAATAAAAGTTGGGGTAGAAGAAGAGAGGACTATTTTAGACAAAGATGACAGTGTTGATCGGATGGGATGTATGGCAGTTGGAAAATACTGAGTCCGGTGGATAAGCAGCTTGTTTTGTAGTTCACCTGTAGTACAGAGAAGTGGGGTATGTGTAAACATTTCCTTTGGTGTAGATGGATCTGAATCTAGCATTTTAGGTGACTCCTCGCTCTCTGTACCTTCTCGCCAAGGGTTAACCAGCCTGAACATGTGTATCTGTGATGAGGAAGAGCTCACTACCTCTTCAGGCACCTTCTGCCATCTGAGTACTCGTATGACTGGAATATGGTAGGAGCCAAGGCTAGAAGGCAGGGAGAGGGCCACATTAGAAAGACTTTGAGGGTCAGTGTGAGGACTTTCCAGGTCATTATTTTTGAAAATCATGATTGAAGCCATGGTTTAGTAAAACTATAATGGCAGCTGTGGTGAGGATTTGGAGTGGGAAGACTGGTTAGGGAGCTCTTTTGTCATGATAGGAACCTAAAGCAGAGAGATGTTTAAGGGAATAGAAAAGAGAAGACAGACATAAAAGGCTTTTGTAACACGGCTCATGTTTTTGAAAATACCGGGCTCATATGTCCTCATCCCCAGTCACCCCTAATTGTTCCTCACTGCCCTGCAGCTTTGCATCCATTGAAACTGGGATAATTGTTGTTTTGGGAGGAGGGTGGGTATAGCTTGGATAAAGAAGCCATGGCTGCTGGGCTTCCAGGATCAAAATGAGATTGTTTTAAGGTCCAGAGCGAGACAATAATGTGCAAACAAACATGTTTTTTTTTTTTAATTTCCAAAAGCTAAACTTGTTGAGAGACAGAAAGAAACAGCGACGAAGGCTCTGTGCTCTCCTACCAGCCAAGACCAACAGAGCCTAGAATTTACAGTACACCATGGCATTCATGCAGGATATGATGTCAGGACTATTTTCCTTAGAATAGGAAAGAAAAACTCAACCAGCAGGCAGGAAGTAGAGAGATTCAGAAGGGCCAGGCTCCTCTTTTCCCTTCCAGAAGCCCAAGCATCCAGGGAAAAGGGAAGGGGCAGGCAGGAGAAACCCAGAGGCCCCATCTGCTGGAAAGACATTGAGCTTTGGACTGGGCAGTACCTGCATCTGGCCAAAAGGAACCACTGGATCACAGTGAGTAGAGCAGAACAGGCTATGATGGGTGGTGTGCTCCCTGCAGACTGGGGACGTGAAAGCCAAGTTGAATTTGCTTGCAAACAACAAAGTTCTTTTGTTCCACCGAAGTCACAGTTGATAAAAAAATTTCACCTTGGCTATACTCTGAAGAGGTGAGGTGTTGAGGGCTCCTGCCTTGAAGTCATGAGATTCTATGTCAATTTTCCTTGCACCTGAGAAGCTGAGACCCAGAGAACTTTAGTGATTTGCCAAGGTTACTTAGTTGGTAAGCGGTGGTGTTAGAAACAGGACTTGGAGATGCCATTGCATTGTAAATTTTGATAGTATTTTGTAAATAAGGGAACTTAAATAAATGAAGTGATCCACTCAAAGCTGTGGCTCCAGCTAGGACTGAGCTGGGTGTTCTGCCTCCTGCCCTGCAATTTCTTTAGCAGTCCAGAATATGTCTCATGGGAATGGCAATATTAACGTCCATCCCATTTGACTTACATTGACTTTTTAAATTATGTGGAGCTATGAGTGAAAATTCTGGCAGACTGATTATGTTACATTCTTTTTAAGAAGCTTGTGCTTTTGGGGTTTCAATGTTTCCAACTCTAAAATAAAGATGATAGATATCTGCCTCCCTTGGTGGAATGTCATGAGGATTTAGAAAATAGCTCTATCTCTGAAGAGTTTCAAGCTCCCTGGAATTAGTCTAAGGTTTTAATTTTTCTTTTAATCATCAAGATGTTTTCATGTAATAGGAAATGGAAGCCTTAGCAAGAAACCACGGGTTCAGATTCTTAGGTATTCACACTTGAAGTGTCAGGCTTGAAGATCAGCTGATACTGATTGACTGATGACAGTTTCTGTGGGGAGTGGCAGAGAACCCCCTGTAGGTTCAAGGCAGTGGGGCTAGAGGCAGTAACTCCACACACTCCAGATTGCAGGGAAATATTTGTGTTGAACAAAACTTCTGTTGCTCATTTCGTGTGACTCTTTTTTCCTCACCAGTCCCTTTCTCATTAGAAAGTCTGTGACTTCAGGTAAATAGTCTTACTAACTTCATGGACAATCAACTTTTTCCTTTTCTATTCCTTTATGAGATAAGGTCTTGCTCTGTTGTCCAGGCTGAAGGGCAGTGGCACAATCATAGCTCGCTATAGCCCCGATCTCTTGGGTTCAAGCGATCCTCCAGCCTCAGCCACTTGAATAACTGGGACTCGAGCTGCGAGCCACTGTGCCCGGTGAACAATTTACTTTTTTCTGCTGTGCTATCGGTTTTACATTTTTTTAGAAGTAAGAGTTTAGCGACTGAATTCTAGTAAAGTTTACATGTCATGATTATAATGCATAAATGTAGAGACTAAGTCATAAATGCAAAATCTGTTACTCATCTATGTTAATGAAGCAAAGAGTTATAGATATTATAAAATTATATATACACTTACATATATACACATACACACTCATGTACAGTCAGTACTTGTGTGCGTGTGTGTGTGTGTGTGTGTGTGTGTGTATGTGTACACATTCATGGATATTGAATGGATTCAACCAACCATGGATTGAATTTTTTTTGTTTTGTTTTGTTTTGTTTTGTTTTGTTTTTTCAGCCAGAGTCTCGCTCTGTTGCCCAGGCTGGAGTGCAGTGGCGTGATCTTGGCTCACTGCAACCTCTGCCTCCTGGGTTCATGCAATTTTCATGCCTCAGCCCCCGAGTAGCTGGGATTACAGGCACGCACCACTATGCCTGGCTAATTATTTTGTATTTTTAGTAGAGACAGAGTTTCATCATGTTGACCAGGCTGGACTCCAACTCCTGAGCTCAGGCAAGAGCTCACCTCAGCCTTCCTAAGTGCTAGGATTACAGGCGTGAGCCACTGTGTTGGGCTGAGACTATTTTAAAAAATAAAATATGAGAAATAATTGTAAAAATTATACAAATAATAGTACAATAGCTATTTACATAGCATCACATTGTGTTAGGTTATTATAAATAATGTAGAGATGATTTAAAGTATACAGGAGGATGTGCTTAGGTTATACACAAGTACTGCACCATTTTGCATAAGGGAGCTGTGCATACATGGATTTTAGTATCCATGGAGGAGTCCTGGAATCTGTCCCTCATGGATACCAAGCGACAACTCTGTGTGTGTGGGTGTATGTGTGTGTGTATTTGAAGTTTTAATGAATAGACACATTTTCCCTTACCACTTTTTCATTCACTGCTATTTTGATATTGATACGTATTTGATAACTATTCCTGATATTTATTAGTAATGGGGAAAGGGTTGCAGTAATGATGAATGAAATGTTATTAAGAGCCCAAACGTCAAAGTCAAGTGAAACAGGAGATAAGAGCTTCTTCTTGATTTAGCTCCTACTTGTTTGCCACCAGCCTTGAGTAGGATTCCAGGAGCCAGGAGGAAGAGCTGATGCCCAGTAGTGGTCAAGGCCCACAGGTCTGGTCAGTTGCACAAATGCCCTGGTCTTCTCCCTGATACACACCCTTCCAACTACTGCTCACTCACTCTCACTCTTCTGCTATGCAGTTAAACTTCTGGAAAAATTTCTGCATATTCATTGTCTCCATTTCCTTCCCACTCTGTCTTTAATTCACTCTTCTTTCGCACTCAACAACTCACCAAAAAAGCTTTTAAGTTACCGTTGACCCCCACGTTGCTCAACTCACCGAGCTTTGTTGCAGTTCTCAGCTTACTTGATTTCTCGGCAGCATCTGACGTTGCTGTCCACTGAATCCTTCTTTTTAAAGGTATATTCAAATTTTGAGACTTCAAAATTTTGTGAATGACAGCCCCATCTACTCGCCATTTGGTTTAATAAATAAAATCTTAACATTAACAACCATTACTCATAGACCTTCTGAAGGCTGTGTGCCCTTCCCCAGTCACATCCCACTTCTTCCATCTCAAGAGAGAACTACCATCCTAGCCTTAGCGTTTGGGGTATCTAGGGGTTTGATATCTTTATTTTCTACATCTGAGTTCTGTCAGTTCCCTCCAGCCAAAGACTGTTAGGCACACTCTGTAGTTGGACACGCTGGGTTTATTATTTGTTGCTGCAAAGGAGAATGCATACCATGGGAAGTCGTGAGGTATCCTAGTAAGAGGGTGTTGAGGGAGAACCCATCATACAGATTTGGGTCTTGGTTGGATGATTTGGGGGTGGGTTTAAGGAAGGAGAGATTTGCTCTAGATTGGATCTCCTCAGAAAGAGTAATTCTCACATAAGGTATCTCAGTAAATCTTACTATGGGGGTCTAGAATGAGGATAAAGTTGTAATTAGTAAAGAGGCAGTCACTTTGGCCAAGAAAAGGGGGTGTTTGGTATTTTGCGGGTGACATGTTGACCTTGTTTTTGTCTGTGTTTAGACAAAATTATGGAGTGGCCTTGTTTTGTCTCTCTTTATCACTTGTGTGAGGCTGGTTTTCTTTGAGATGGTTTATGTCTAATAGCGGAATAACATGACCTTGCCGTGACTGTCAGGCAAGCTTCTGAATATCAAGGGCTGCTTGCTTTTTTTTTTTCTTTTTCTTTCTCAGTCCTGAACGAGTCGGAAAATGGTGTTCGGGCAGATGGAGACACAAATATTGGCTAATTTGGAGAACATGACCGGGATACGTGGCAAAAATGGGCTACAGAATTAGCCAGGCTACCTCAGTCAGTTCTGGATAGCCCTGTGTCAAACCTACTCAGGCAGAGCCTCAGCCCCCAAGTTCATAACAATGTGGGTCATCTCCAGAAGTTCCTTCTCCAGCTGCTTTGCAGGCTTATTTCCTCTTCCTGGCTGTTTGATGTTGGAGTTCCTATAGACTCAGCACCACCTTTTCTTCCCACTCGATTTTCTCCCTGAGTTTATCTCCTTCAGTCTTACGGTTTGATTCCTATCAATATGCCAGTGGCCCTGAATCTACCTCTCTGGCGTACAGCTCTTCTTTTCTCTGACTTGCTTAGTCACCATCTCCGCCTGGATGCTTCAGAGGCACTTGAGCTTAACTTGTCTAAGCCCACACTCATAATCTCCTCCCCAAATTTGATATTTTTGGTTTTCTACAGCCTGACCCTGCTACTTCAGCTCAGCACCCCACACTCCAGCTATGCTGACCTGCCTGCGTGGTTCTCATGCGTAATGTCGCTTCCAAGCCTATGCCACTCAGTTACTTCTACCAGAAAGCCTCTTTTATCCTTTATTTTTTTGACATGGAGTCTCACTTTGTCACCCAGGCTAGAGTGCAGTGGCACGATCTCAGCTCACTTTAACCTCTGCCTCGCAGGTTCAAGCGATTTTCCGTCCTCAGCCTCTGGAGTAGCTGGGACTGTAGCCACCCACCACCATGCCTGGCTAATTTTTCTATTTTTAGGAGTTGGAGGGGCGGGGTTGGTTCACCATATTGGCCTGGCTGGTCTTGAACTCCTGGGCTCAAGTGATCCACCCTCCTCAGCCTCCCAAAGTGCTGAGATTACAGGTGTGAGCCACTGTTCCTGGCCCTCTTTTATCCTCTCTTCCTGGCTAACCTTCTCCTCCAAGACCTAGCTGAGGTGTCATCTCCTGCAGAAAGCTGTTTCTGAATGCGTGAGGTTAGGTTGAATATTCCTCATCTATGTCCCCTTTGTTCCTTTTGTTCCTCTGTCCTAGCAGTTAGTTGATTGATTTATCCTTTCATGGATCTGTTACTGCCAGTGTACTTCAAACTCCTTAAGGTCAAGAATGCTGTCTTACTTATCTTGATATCGTGAGCTTTACCTGTCTTTAGCTACATAGTATATAGGTATAGATAGATATAGATAGGTGGGTAGATATGTAGTGAGTCATATAGATACGGATATCTAAGATCCTGAATGAGACTTTAACATAGCATTTAACGTAGGTACTGAGTAAATGTTTGTTAAACCGAAGGTTGTCTAAAGATTTTGTTAGCATTTTTTGTACTCCTGGAATGGCCAGAGCTTTGATAATTTTAGTTGCAAAAAAGTGAGCCAAGTACTTTTTCTGTTGTATTTTGCTATACTCATGAAATACCTGTTGGAGAAGTAGTCGTTTGTTTGAAGTTTGGTAAAGGATGGAGCTTTTTCTATTAAATTACGTGATGTTTTTAGAAATGGTTTATTTTTGTTTCTGATTGATCGCCATTGGATTGTGGCTCCTTTAAGTAATATCTTTATCAGTCAAATAAGCATTTCTCTTTTACCTACAATTTTTATATATAAATTATTATTATTATTTTGAAACAGAGTCTCGCTCTGTCACCAAGCTGGAGTGCAGTGGCACAATCTTGGCTCACTGCAACCTCCGCCTCCCAGGTTCAAGTGATTATCCTGCCTCGGTCTCCCGAGTAGCTGGCACTACAGGCGCGTACCACCATGCCCAGCTAATTTTTGTATTTTTAGTAGTGATGAAGTTTCACCATGTTGGCTAGGATGGTCTCATTCTCTTCACCTTGTGATCTGCCTGCCTCAGCTTCCCAAAGTGCTGGGATTATAGGCGTAAGCCACTGTGCCTGGCCTTTATCTATAAATCTTAAAAGTTAAGGGCCCTTGAGTAATAGCTGTTCTGCCCCTCTAGTTAAGGAAATGCAAGCCCCTGAATGGAAACCAGGGCTCCTGCCTCCCAATCCCATGTCCCTTTCCCTAGACTCAGTTGGATTTCATGAGAGAGGTGGGTTTGAACAAAGCGTAGCGGGAGGTAGGATATGACAGCATTGGGCCTTGTGGAGCTGGGCAGCCTTTTCCTTTTTTAACTTTTTATTTGAAAATAATTACGGATTTATAGGAAGTTGTAAAGGTCTGAAGTATTCCTCAGCTAGTTTCCCCATTCTTGCACATATGATAAAATGGAATGGTAAATGCGCACTAGACCTAGTTTCTGGTTTGGATATTGCACTACGGTTATATAGGACAGAGCAGTGGAGCAGCACTGACGCTGGCAGTAATCCCTCAGGGAGCAGCAAAATAGAGCCACCCCTGGCCTCACGTAGCTGGCACTGCCAAGGTGCTGGTTCTAGGGCCTCAGTTCAGAGGTTGTGCCTCTGTAGACTAGGACATTCATGTACCTCAAATGTGCTCCGAGGGCAGGCTGCTTTCTCTCTGTTGTCACTTGGCAACTTTTCTCTAGGTCATTTATTCCAGCTTTGTGCACAAGGCTTATGGTGGGCTCTACTTTTTTTTTTTTTTTTTTTTTTTTTTTTTTTTTTGGGACAAGTTTCCCTCTGTCAGCCAGACTGGCATGCAGTGGCATGATCTCAGCTCACTGCAGCCTCTGCCTGCTGGGTTCAAGCGATTCTCCTACCTCAGCCTCCTGAGTAGCAGGGACTATAGACATGCACCACCAGGCCCAGCTAATTTTTTTTTTCTTTTTTGTATTTTTTAGTAGAGGTGGGGCTTCACCATGTTAGCCAGGCTGGTCTTGAACTCCTGATCTCAAATGATCCGCCGGCCTCAGCCTCCCAAAGTGCTGAGATTACAGGAATGGGCCACCATGCCCAGCCATTCTGCAGGTTTTTAGTGCCAGTAGAAACAAAAATAAAGGCAGTAATGATGCCTCCCACAATGAGTGTTTTAGTTTTAACTCTGCAAGCCATTTTCACGTTTGTTTAAAGAAAATTGACATTAGTTTTTCATCAATTTGGCAACAGGGATTGCCCTGGAAGGAGAGCCAGGCCTGGCAGATATATATTGGACAAAGAACACAAAGTTTCCATACTGAAGGGGCATGCTTGCTTTTCTGAATTGCTGGAAATAAAGATGTAACAGAGTAGTAAATCATAAGCAATGCTGTGGTCAGTTTGTGCTAGGCACTATTTCTCAATTTCCTTGGCTGGTCCTCAGAGATACTGTTCTGGTTTACAAGTGTCTGTAGTGGGGATGGTCTCTGTCTCTCTCTCTCTGTGTCTCTCTTTCTCTCTTTATTTCCAGCATCTTTTGCCTGATTCTTAGGCTGAGGCTGTGGGATGTTCCATAAAGGTACACCTTGTTTTGTTATGTTCTTGTTTATGTCTGTTCTGTCATTGAGCGGGGAAGCTGGAAATAAACATCTTGGGGGCTTAGGCAATCAATGGTCCCAGTCCTCTGTAGCTAAGGGCTTACAAACCTTATCACATTAGAGGCTTTTAATAGGGATAAGCAATGTTTATTAAAAGCTGAAGCCTCCTTAGACTCACCACTCCACAGGATAATTGCATTTATATCAATCTTGAGACTCATTAACTTAGAGTCAAGAAAAAAAAATCCCAACTCTTCCTACTATATGGAAGGAACTAATATTAAAAAAATTAGGACTATGACAAGGCTCATTGTATTTTCACCTTGCCCTGGGAAATATGTAAAGGGTTTGAAAGCTAAAAGAAACAGACTAGAAAAACAAAATCTAGAAAAAAAAATTAGGCATGGTTGATTAAATGGTGAGTTTTGAGTTCTCTATTTTTTCGTCTTTTTATTAAAATAACATGCATCGTTAATAGCGGAATTGGAGTGGGGATGGTGGGAATGGAAAATCTTAATTAGATCTGTGGCAGTGTTTTTTCAGAGACAGGATCTCACTCTGTTGCCCAGGCTGGGGTGAGATGGTGTGATCCTTGCTGTAGCATTGAACTCCTGGGCTCAAGCGATCCTCCTGCCTCATCCTTCCAAGGAGCTAGGACTACAGGAATGTACCACAATGCCCAGCTAATTTTTATGTTTTAGAGATGGGGTCTTGCTGTGTTGCCCAGGCTTGTCTCAAACTCCTGGCCTTAAGTGATCCCCCCACCTCAGCTTCCCACAGCACTGGGATTACAGGTGTGAGCTACTGTGCCTGGCCCTGCTGCATATTTTATATCCATGATGATTTGGGTATTCTCCCAAGTTTTTCCATCTCTACCTAACAAATAATACTCAACTTGAAAGGCTCTGCAGAAGCTTCTGTGATTCTTCCAAACAGATGATCTTTCTCTCCTCTGAACTACGGCATTGTTTTGTTTATATCGCGAATGACTGATCACATTCCCTTGACATAAACATTGTTTTTAGAACTGTCCTTGCCACTCCCCATTACCCTGGTGAGGACAGGGATCTCAGCTGACCCTTCGGTTTGTCTCCTGTGATAATTGGTATGGTCCCTTCCATGCAGTAAGCATTTAATAGATATTTGATGATTACGTGAATACAATTCACATTGTTTATAACATTATTTACTGAATGCTAGAAAAGTTGTTTTCTGTTTTAATAGTACAATGTAGCCTGGGTGTGAATAGTACCATGTAGCCTGGGCGTGGTGGCTCCTGCCTGTAATCTCACCACTTTGGGAGGCCAAGGTGGGTGGATCGCTGGAGCCCAGGAGTCCAAGACCAACCTGGACAACATTGCAAGACTACGTCTCCACAAAAAGTAAAAAAAAAAAATTAGCTGGGCATCATGTCATGCATCTGTAGTCCCTGCTCCTCCAGAGGCCGAGGTGGGAGGATGGCTTGAGTCCTGGAGTTCAAGACTGCAGTGACCCATGATCGCGCCCTTGCACTTCAGCCTAGGTGACAGAGTGAGAACCTGTCTCCAAATAAGTAAGTAAAAATAGTACTGTGTGATAATGCTGTTGAGGAACATCTTACATGCCACCTTTCCTATAGAGCGAGGTGGGTGTGGCATGAGAAGGTGGTGCCCCGCCCCTCTTTCACAGGTGCTTGCTTCAGTGTAGGTCACTGTTACGTGAGATGGAACTCTGATGGTCTTGTTCCTTGTAGATTTTTGCAATGCAGTGGTGGTAATGTCCGCAATTGTTGCAGCTTCACACGAGTGTATTCAAAAGGATCATATTCCAACTTATCTTTCACATGGAGGCATTTTATGCCTCTCCTAGGCAGCCTTGAACTGAGCCTTGTTATATGTCAGGATAGTAGCATGCAGTTTGAAGAGGGAATCAGGAAACTCCGCTCACCACAGACATCTTGCAGCCTTACTTTGGGAAGAATCTTTTATTGTTTAAATTTTTTTTTGAGCCTTGGGAATGTGTCTAGTACCAGTAGCTGAAATTAGAACGTTAGTGTATTGAATCATATTTTGAGCTACTGGAAAATTGCAATTTAAAAATAACTTAGGAGGTTTTGAGATTTCTCCCAAATGTGCTTGCTGCCACTTGAAGAGTGACTTTGCAGGTCAGAACTTCACCAAGGTGTACCCAGAGTCCTTCTGGTAAGTTGCTGGTGCAGAAAAATGCTTCTGCTGCTTGCAGCCCCATGTGTACAACTATGGAATCTATTGTCCCCAGACCTAATGTCCTCCTCCACTGTGCCAGGACACTGGGCTAAGCATTTTACATACATCGCCTTTTAAAATCTCCCAGGATCCCTAATGGAATCTGTACCACTTAGTTTAAATGGCATTTTAGAGAGAGTTTTTCAAATTTACTATGGTTTTCTTTTCTTAAAATAAATGGATCTGGAGAGGTAAGAACGTGAGTTATTTTGATTTAAAATTTGGAAAGTGCAAATTTAGAGGCAAGAGATGAAGAGTCTCGAGTTCTGAGTTCTGGTTCTTACTGTGCTTTCTACCAGCTCTGTACCTGTGTATACACACCAACCATTTATTTCTTGGTGGTAGTTTTCTCATCAGCAAAGTGATGTCCATGCCACATTTCTCTCACTAATACGGTTTTGACCTTAATTTAGCTCACACTGATTTCATATTAACTCTGTTACAGGCACTATGCTGAGTACGTCATGAGGACTCTATAAGACAAGCCTTTCTGTGCTCCTCAGGTCTGGGAGACAAAGGCTTCAAGAAACCAAACAACTGCAGGGCTCAAATGGTCTCAACCTCAGAGCCTGTAATGTCAACCACTGCATTGACTGCTAGGAGAAAGGGAAATACAAGATGTGGAAGCAACTTACAACGTCAGAACAAATGGACACATGAAGTCTTACCACGACGCAGGGATTGGTAGAGCAGATGCTTGCCTGTGCAGTAATTTGAAGAATGCCAGCAGAGCTCTGTTTTCAAAGTCCCCCTCTCTTATCTTCCATTCCTGCAGGCAGAGCAAAGTTTGCAGGTCCATGAAACCAAACTTGTCTTTCTCCTAGAACTTCTCTTGTGTGTGTTATTTTTCAGTGGCAGCTCCATCCTCAGAAATGTACATGTTAAACCCTGGCGCTATTCTTCTTCTTCTTGTTTTTATTTTTTTTGGAGACGGAGTCTAGTAGTGTGATCTCGGCTCACTGCAGCCTCCGCCTCCCATGTACAAGCAATTCTCCTGCCTCAGCCTCCTGAATAGCTGGGATTACAAGCGCACACCACCAAGCTTGGATAATTTTTGTGTTTTTAGTAGAGATGGGTTTCTACCATGTTGGCCAGGCTGTTCTCAAACTCCTGACCTCAAGTGATGTACCCACTTCAGCCTCCCAGAGTGCTAGGATTACAGACGTAAGTCACCGTGCCGGCCCCCTGGGCCCTACTCTTGATGGATAGCTTTTTTTTCTCCTCATGTAATTGGTGTACTTCCTCTGTCTTTAGTGCTGTAGCCTGGGTTTAAGTCTTCCCTGGCCTTTATTTAGAACATTGTAATAGCCTCATATCTAGTGTCCCCAGTGCCAGTCTTTCCTCTCCAGTTCATGTCAACACTGCTTATTTGCTAAAATTCAATTCTGATCGTGTGAGTCTGTTGTTTAAAATCTTAGACAGCTGGCTAGCCGTTACCTATAGGATGAAATTTCATCCTATCAGTTTCAATTTTCTGCCTTGAAATGAGGGGCCCTTTGCTATGATGTCTCCCCGCACACCTCCCTTTTGCCCTTACGCTCCAGGACGGTGTGTTGAAAGGGCATTCTGCATTTCCAGATTAACCTATCAGTGCTTTTCCTCATGGTGAACACACATCTGCGAAAGCACCTCTGTAGATTGTAGAGAAGCCATGTGGCATGGTGCTTAAGAGCACAGACAACACCGGACTAGAGACCCCGATTTGCTGTGGCATTTGGACATGTTAATAACCTCTGTCTCAACGTCCTTGTCTGTCTGCAAAATGGTTATAATATTAACAGAACCTACCTCATAGGAGGTATCAGAAAGTTAAAAGGAAGATGGAGATAGCATGGGGTTATAATTATGAGAGGAAAGTCTACTGAAAGAGAATGGAAAGTTTTAAGACTGATGCAGAGGGAACATATTAGTGGAATGTTCAACAGTGTTAAACTGTAAAACTTGGATTAAATAATTGTCATGTGGCATCTATCTGTGCATAGAAACAGGACAATTTCTACTGTGCGTACATTTCTTTACAGGCATGAAATCTTGAAATGTTTTTTAGCTAATGCCATAATAATCAGTTAACTCCCTAGTAGAGATTGCTGACTACAAGATAGGATTGGCGGCAGGCGCCAGGAGTGAGGGACTCCAGGAGAGGGACTCATAGGCCTGGGGAGGCTGGAGCCACAGCCTTAAAAATATTGTCTGCAATATTATCTGTAGGTCTTACTTTTACCAAAAATAACAATGCAGCTTGCATTTATGTGTTATTGGGCTTCCTCTTGTTATTTTTCCCTACATTTTTTATTCCATTTTTCTGTTCAGTTAGATGGCACAAAGAGAGAAGCCTTGGTTGATGTAGCTTCATGGAGTTTCTAAAATAATTCTGCACAATACGTGCATTCTGTAGTCCCGTTCTATAATAACCACTTTCTAAAAGAAAGCCCCTCATTTGTGTGCTCATATCTTTTTGTAGGTGGGGAAGGAAGAGGAGAGCTGAGAGGAGTTAGGCTGTTTATTTTGTCTTAACTAAAAGTAACAGTTTCATTCTTAACCCCTCTCACCTAGAACACGCCAGCAAAACACCTCCATGAACTCATCAGAGTGGGTGCCGGCATTGCCACAGTGGGTGCTGGCACCTTTCAGTGTAGGAATGTTCCCAGATATCCTTCCTTGGGGACTGTGCTGGTGGGGAATGAGGAGGCCACTGTGCAGATCCATTCTTCCATAATGCCTGTGGCAGACCAGGCTTCTCCATCATGCTGGCTGGTGCCAAGGATTGTGGGTGGAGAGACCAGAATGCCACCCCTGGGAGAAGGGAGCATACAGCAGCCATTAGGTGACTGCAAGTGCCCAAGAAGACAAGCTTTAATTACTAGTTTGTCACTTTTGGCACCAAAGCAGAGTGTCTCACCCAGGGGAGCCTGAGATGGAGAGGAGGGAGAGTGTCACATGTATCCTCCAACTCTCGCCTTCGGATCAAAGCATGATTTGGCACTTCACGAGACAGCTATCGGCACCAGTGATTCTGTTTAGAGGTGATGTTTTGTCCTATTTCCAGGGTTCTCTGCTGCGTGTTTTCTTAACTTGGCTGCTCTTTCTCTTTTGCCCTGCTGTGGACATCGCCTTCCCCTGTGCTGGTGTTGTTTAATTCTCTGTATATTGAAAAGCTCTGTCTACTTTTTGCAACGTAAGGCTGATTGAAGCAGATCATTGTGATGGTGCTTCAGGATATGGGGGCCTACTAGCTGTGTGGGCAAGTCACCCAGTCCTGCTGAATCCTGGTTTCCTAATCTAGGAGAATGGGGATCAACAACTTGTAACTAAAGTTATTATGAGGTTTAAGTGAGACAACAGGTGATGGAGAAGGTCCAAGGATTCTCCAGCAGTACTTGGTAGACCCCCACCCCCAGGGCTGCCCGAGAGGACTAGGTCACTACCTTAGACTCAAAGTGAACACTTTTACCTGTATCTTTTAATGAATTGGGCTTTCCATAATGTTTGTTCTTGGAGAGCTGTGTCTAAAGAATGTTTTAAAACCATCAGCTGGTACCTGGTCAAGGCATTGGGTAAATATTGTTTCTCATCGTCAGTTCCCCCCTTCTACCTGCTCATAATGTACAAGGATCATTTTATCAGGAAGGAGAGAGCTTCGTTTTTCTTCTTTCTGTGCTTCTTTTCACTGTAAATAAATAAAGTTGAGCCTGTTTCGCTAATGGAGCCACCTTAGCCTTCCCAACACAGAGTGTGGTGATTCACACCTCTGATCGTGCCTTGTGGCTGATGTCTACACTCAGCATCTCTGCCTGCAATCTGCTTAGGGCCTGTGCTGACGGCCTAGCTGGAAGTGAAGCAGCTACATTGTCTGGGGTATATACCCTGGGGTTCCTCGTGGTGTACCAGGAAAACTGAGGACACGGACACACATGAGGAGTTTAGGAGCAGAGGTTTAATAGGCAGAAGAGGAAAAGAGAAACTGCTCTCTCTACAGAG
Organism: Homo sapiens; assembly: GCF_000001405.40. Lineage (NCBI taxonomy): Eukaryota > Metazoa > Chordata > Mammalia > Primates > Hominidae > Homo > Homo sapiens. Next base: position 19,518,606 of record NC_000008.11, on the reverse strand, counting down.
AAAGGAGTCTCAGAGCAGAAAAAGGACTGAGTGGCAGAGACTGCACAGGATTTTATAGTCTGGTTTGAGGAGGCAGTCTCTGATTTACATAGGGCTCACAGATTGGTTTGATCAGGTATGATGTTTACATAGTGTGTGGGGAAGGTTGGTCACCCCACCCTAATATTATTATGCAAATAGCTTTCCAGTTGATTGGTGCCATTTTGTCTGGTCCTTACAGTACAGGTTGCTGATAAAGAGAAGGGAAGATGGAGCTGCCATCTTGAATACTTCTAGTCCTTAGTTCCTGCTGTTAATCATCCATGCAAACTCCCAGCTTGCTTATGTATGTCTGGGGCTCCACTTTTCAGGCTGCTCTTAGTTAGAAAATGATTTGGGGCTGCTTTTCATTTAAAAGAAAGCCTTACTGAGGACTCCCATACCCTTACTATTTGCCTAAGTGATTGCTTCTTAACTCCTGTATCAGAAAGTACTTGGCTGGGGAGTGTTGCTCATTTTTAAATTAGTCCCCTCTTTGTTAATTAACAGCATGCATTTCTCTAGAAGCTGTGTGATGCTACCTCAGACCCTGATCTCTCCAGGTGCTTACTTTCCTGAGTCTTGGAGTCTCCCCAGTGCCAGGGCTGGTTTCTGCCTGCACAGAAGAATGTTAGTTTGACACATGGCCATTACATGGGCATCTACTTTTGCAGTGCTCTAGAGGAAAGAAGAGAGAACTGAGTGTGATATGGTTTGGCTGTGTCTCCACCCAAATCTCATCTTGAATTGTAGCTCCTATAATTCCCACATGTTGTGGGAGGGACCTGGTGGGAGATAATTGAATCATGGGTGTGGTTTCCCCTATAATGTTCTCCTGATAGTGAATAAGTCTCAGGAGATCTGATGTTTTTGTCAGGGGAAACCCCTTTGGCTTGGCTCTCATTCTCTCTTGAGTGCTGCCTTGTAAGACGAACTGTTCCCCTTCTGCCATGATTGTGAGGCCTCCCCAGCCATGTGGAACTGTGAGTCCATTAAGCCTCTTTTTCTTTATAAATGACCCACTCTCGGGCACGTCTTTATCAGCAGTATGAAAACAGACTAATACACAGTGTTTTGCAGGAGAGCCTTCCACAGTGATCACTTTAACCCTTCTAGAGATATTCTCTTTTTCTTCTTTTCTTTTTTTTGAGATGGAGTTTCACTCTTGTTGACTATGCTGGAGTACAGTGGTGCAATCTCGGCTCACGGCAACCTCTGCCTCCCAGATTCAAGCGATTCTCCTGCCTCAGCCTCCCGAGCAACTGGGATTACAGGCATGTGCCACCACACCCAGCTAATTTTGTATTTTTAGTAGAGATGGTTTTTCTCCATGTTGGTCAGGCTGCTGATCTCGAACTCCCAAACTCAGGTGATCTTCCCACCTCGGCCTCCCAAAGTGCTGGGATTACAGATGTGAGTCACCATGCCTGGCCCTCTTTTTCTTCTTTCAAAGAACATTTCTTAGTTGCTTAAAAATTCTACTTGCCGTGATGCTTTTTAGTTGAGATGCTTCGAACTTGATATGTGAGTATAAACTCCTGGCGTCTTACACCCACATATCAGGTTTGAGGCATCTCAACTAAAAACCAACCACCTCTCCAGGTGGGCAGTGGGTCATGGCCAAAGTAGGGAATGGAGAACAGGAAATAAATGTGGCTGCAGATTCCAGCTGGAAATGGAAACTCCAGGAGCAAAGGCAGCACTTGAACCACTGAGACTGCCGTGGCCGCTGTGTTCACCTCGATCCCCAGAAAGCAGCCACTTCCAGCATCTCACCCCCTCCTGGGGGCTCCCATCATGGAAGCCTAAGGGCCAGGCCCAAGGAGTAATGGGTGACATTCCCCCAGCCCACCCAGAGCCTGGTCTGTGGAGGCCACACGGCTGGAGGGTCTGGTGGAATCACTTAGAAACACTTGAATGTTGCGAAGATATTCTGCCTGGCCCTAGTTGCAGGGACAGAGCAAGGCTCACACCGGGATGGGGATTATTTGTCAGGATAGTGTGAGTTTGCCTAGCTGTTGAGAGATGTGTAAATGCAGATCACGGCTACATGGGGGTACAAAACATTTTAACTAGAGAAGCAGTGATTCATGCCACGTTTGAGGGGCCAGGCAAGCTCATAAATAATATTTATGAGTTCAGAAACAAGAAAAATTGGACACGCTGGGTGTAGAATGAGGAGCAGGTCTCAGCAAGCAGTTTGAGATTATGAAGCGGGTTGAACAGTATAGCGTAGTGGGTAAGAATCAGACGGAGCTGGGTTTGAAGCTGGGCTCTGCTACTTGCCAGCTGAACATCTGGGTCAAGTTACTTCATTGCTTTAAGCTTCAGTTTCTGTTTCTTTAATGGGGTTAATAAGATGTAGCTCATAGGATCGTTTTGAGGATTAAATGAGATAATATTTGTGAAGTGCTTTGTATGATGTCTGGCCCCAACGTAAATGCTCACTAAGTGCTTGTAATTATGAACGAGGGGAGGGTGTTGGAAGGCTGGTTTCATGCGGTTCTCAGTTTGGGGTGAGAACCGGCACCAAGAGCCCCAAAAGACTCCGGGAGTCAGGTCTCCTTGCGGGGTTTGGCAGCTGACTCAGCCCCACATGTGTGCTTGAGATGTCTTACAGCTGGAAGAAGCGTCTTTATTCTGTACACCTGGCTTGAGTAGCATCTTCTTATGCCAGTGTCCTGCCCTCATTGCACCTTCTGGGGTCCATGACCACCACCCATGCCAACTACCTGCCTTAGGTCTTCCTGAAGCAAGGGTGGCAGTTGTAAGGAATGGGACTAGACGGTCTGGCATAGACAGGAAGCCCCTCTCCATCAAGCCTCCTCTCTAAAAGTTTGCCAGCAAATTAAAAATCAAAATAAAAAAAAAATAGGACTTGAGTCTGTTTCTTGACCTTTTGGTGCTTGTGGTTGTGATCAGTGTGCTTTCATTTTCTGATTAGCAGGTGCCAGCTTCTTTTTGCCACATTTCCCTTTTTCTGCTTCAAGGCAGGGAAATTGAATCAGAATTCTTTTACTTAGTTATTTATTTTTTTGATTTACACTTATGTGTTTATTCTCAGTTGCTTTTCTATTGAGAATTCTTTTAAAAGACCAACGAGGAGTTGAGGGGATGGAGGATCCCTCCCAACTAGGGAATTCCTGACTGTGAAGTCATTTGCAAGCCCATTCCCCTGGGCTGGGTCAGTGCTGGTCCCTGGAGAACACGCCCTCTGAGTCTGCAGATAGGGGGACCTCACAGGGAAGACTCAAGGAGCATCTTGAAGGCTGAGCCTAAGTCTTTTGGGTGAGGAAGGAAGGGAAGTGGGTTGTGGGTGGAGTCCCGGCAGTTTGGTCACATGGCCTGACAGCAGGTGCTGAGGACCTGAGATAGAGATAGTGGGGTCCAGAGGCAGGAAAGGACATGGCCTGACAGCAGGTGCTAGGGACCTGAGATAGAGACAGTGGGGTCCAGAGGCAGGAAAGGCACTCTGAGGCTGGGTTCCCGAAGGAATGGGGGATCAAGGCATGATCCTGGCACTGGGGACCTGGAATCAGTTGTGGCAAGAGCCCTGCCCCAAGGACACTTGTAATGCAGTCAGAAGATCAACTACTGGAAACCTGGAGCTAGGTATCTGTGGGCTCCAGGATGGTCCATCAGGGTGAGACAATATTATTTAAAAATATTTTACGCTTTATTATTTTAGATATATTGTAAATACATAATACTACATTATAAAGCTTGTATTTAATATTTTATTTTTATTTTCTTTTGGAGACGGAGTTTCACTCTGTCCCCCAGGCTGGAGTACAGTGGAGTGATCTCAGCTCACTGCAACCTCCACCTCCCAGGTTCAAGTGATTTTCCTTCCTCAGCCTCCCAAGCAGCTGGGACTACAGGCATGAGCCACCATGCCAGGCTAATTCTCTTCTGTATTTTTTTTTTTTTGGTAGAGACGGGGTTTCACCATGTTGGCCAGTCTGGTCTCAAACTCCTAACCTCAAGGGATCTGCCCACCTCAGCCTCCCTAAGCACTAGGATTACAGGCGAGAGCCACTGTGCCTGGCCTGTATATAATTTTTAAATAGATACATGTATATATATATATATATATATATATATATATATATAGTCTCTGTTCAAAAGTCATATGATGCCTGAAATGTGCTATTTTTGTTTAATTAATGTTTGGAGACAGCTGGTCTTGAGTATTGAGGAAAGAGGAGGAAAAGCAGCAAAACTGCTAGGGCCACCAAGGCAGCTGTCCACACAGATTGCTGTCTGTGTGAAACCCGAGCCAGTACCTGTGCTAAGTAGCTCGGTGTCAGGGCTGGAGGGGGTCAGGGAAGAAGGCTTCAGATCCTTCCACAGCCAACTCCAAACTCTTGGCATTTAATTGTTGACTCCCCAGTGGGACCCCTGTCCTCTCGCTGGGATTTGGCTCAAGCACCTCTTAGTGCATACACAGTAATACTGATCTGCTTTAGTTGCTGTCAGGAACGTAGCAGAAGATAAAGCACTTGGCCCATAGATAGATGCTAATGAAAGTCTCAATGGAAAAAAGAAACCTGCATTCCAGAAAGATCTCTGACACCTGAAAACCCTGCTCTGAAACTTCTGGGTGGATGTGGTTTGGGGAGATGATGAGCTATTATGCTCATTTTCAGGTCATTTTGGCTTCTTTGAAAGTATAGTTATGTGATGTGTAACATTTTGTCAGTGGACCGAATACATGTGGGTGGTTCTATAATTATAATACTATATTTTTACTGTACCCTTTCTTTGTCTAGATGTGTTTAGATACACAAATACCATAGTGTTACAGTTGACTGCAGTATTTATTATAGCCACATGTGGTACAGGTTTGTTAGCCTAGAAGCAATAGGCTATACCATATGGCCCAGGTGTGCGGTAGGTCTACCATCTAGCTTTGTGAAAATACACTCCATGATCTTCACACAACAACAAAATTGCCTGATGATGCATCTCTCAGAACATTTTTCTTTCATTAAGCAATGGCATAACTGTGCCTCAGCCCTAAACTAATTAAGTGTGTATAAGAGATAGATTATTGTGGATTCTAGCAGTTGTAGGTGTTGGTTGTATATACTCATTTTCTTTAACAGCAGGCAGATGGCACAAAATATATATATATATATATATATATATAGAGAGAGAGAGAGAGAGAGAGTGAGAGAGAGAAAATTCTATGAACAGAATGTACTGGGTGTAGGAATTGGGAGCGTTAGGGTCTTTCAATCATTATAGTGGCTTTCGTGTGTCTTCCGTTACATTTTGCGGTATTTTCCTTTGATCTTAAGACCTTTGCTGTCCTCTTTTCTCCCACATTGTCGCTATCCTCCTATGTCCTGGGTGCTACCACCCACCTCTAATATTCAGTGTCTAGTGCATGGTCTTGGTAGGAGATGATGGAGCCTTGAGTAGGGTGGTGGTGGAGGTAGAGATGCAAGAACTGATTTGAGATACTTTTGGAACAGGAAGCATGTTGACATGGTGATGAGTCAATGGCAGAAGATGATGGAGAAGGAAGGGCTAGGGATGGTTTTCCTGCCTCTGGCTTAAGCAGCTTGGTGGGTTGTGCTGCCGTTGGCTGCAAAGACAATGACTGGAAGGGAAGCAGAGCTGCTGTGCTTCATCACTTCTCAGTTAACTTGGCCCGTGTGCTGTAATAGTCAGCTACTTCTACACAACACACCATTGTTGACTCTGGTTTCTGGAAACAGTGTTCCTCTGTTTTAACTTTACAGATTTCCTAAAGTCCCTGACACTTAAAGAAAACATTTTTGGATTAATGACCATTGTTCAAGAATAAAATCTCGGAGGGCTTTGGTAGAAAGCATATTGGGCTTCAAGTCAAAGATGGGTTTGAGTCCGATTTCTATATCTTGCAGGTTGTGTGGTTTTAGACAAGTCGCATAACTTCTCTGAGCCTTATTTTCTCAAACGGAGAACTGATTATAGTAATGTATTTCTGATGGCACAAGATTATTGCATCATAGGAGGTAAGACATATTAAAACATTTTATAAAATGAAAAATAGTGTATGGTTGAGAGATAGCATTTTTATGTAAATCTGAAGTCTGTGACCCTGTGAATTAGTTATCTATCTGTTGGAATGTAATAAATTATTCCAAAACTTTAGCTTAAAGTAACAAACATTTATTATCTCACAAGGTCTTAGGGTCAGGAGTCTGGGAGCAGCTTAGCTGGATAGTTTTCGTTCAGGGTTGCAATCAAGCTCTCTGGTTGCAGTCATCTCAGGCCTTACCTGTAGCTGCAGAACGCATTTTCAAGCTCTTTCAGGGGGTTGCCGGCAGGCCTGCCTCTGTTCCTTGCTAGCTGTCGGTCAGCTGGAGGCTTCAGTTCCTCATCCATGGGCCCCTCCACAAGGCTGCTCACAACACAGCAGCTTGCTTGGGAGAGAGGGCACCCAAGACAGAAGCTGCCCCCTTTTACAACTTAATCTCACAAATGCCATACCACTTCTTCTGCCATATTGGTTGGTCACTGATAGGGTTTGGTTCTGTGTCCCCACCCAAATCTCATTTTGAATTGTAATCCCCAGTATTGAGGGAGGGACCTGGTGGGAGATGATTGGATCATGGAGGGCAGATTTCCCACTTGCTGTTCTCATCATAGTGAGTGAGTTTTCGCAAGATCTGGTTGTTTAAAAAGTGTGTAACACTTCCCCCTTCTGTCTCTTCTGCTGCCATGTGAAGATATGCTTGGTTTCCCTTCCACCATGATTGTAAGTTTCCTGAGGCCTCCCCAGCCATGCCTCCTGTACAGCTGTGGAACTGTGAGTCAATTAAACCTCTTTTCTTTATAAATTACCCAGTCTCAGGTAGTTCTTCATAGCAGTGTGAGAACAGACTAATACAGTCACTCACATCAAGACCCCAGTACAGTGTGGGAGCAGACACACAGTGGTATGAATACCAGGAGGCAGGGACCATTGAGGGCCATCTTGGAACCTGGCTATCACACCCTGCCTACAGGAATTCAACTGGGGTAGAGGGAATTCTAAATGAAGCCATATGTTCAAATAAAGTTTACAGTGCTGACTTTATATCCATTTTTGAGAGCATTTGAAAACTCTGAATAAGAATCCTTTCCACACACCTCCAGGATGGTATGTTTATCCGAGAGATATGACTTGAGTTTATGTTCTGTTGGTACAGCTAATCCTTTGATTGAAGGTTAGTTTGTGCCCTTGCTGTCAAAGAGCTGATTGTATGTGCCCAAGTGGAATAGACTCGCACTGCGGCATTAGGGCTTTGGTCTACCACTTCCTGACCCCATAGACACTGCTTGTTTTTTTCTCCATCAAGCCTTTTGGCTGTGTCTGCACACGGGGTGGAGATGTCTTGCAGAATTTATTGCCACTCCTTGAATAGTTGCCTTTATCACTTACAAGGCCTGTCATTGTAGCATGTAGTGCTGCCTGCCCTGGCCTTGCCATGAAGCCACTGTCCTTTCTGCCTGCTGCTGACCCTGACAGCGTGTCATCAGCAGGGCTTGTCCTTGAGTCTTTCTTGATTTATGAGCTTCTTGTGGACATTAGTAGGCATATCTTGGCAGAGTACACAGCTCTCGTGACCAAAACGTTCACTGAAATCTGCAGAGTGAAATGCTTACACTCAAACTGAGAGCAACTTCTGTCCTAGTCATAGAAATCCCGGTATGCACTGGCCACATTTCGTTTAAGTCTTAGGCTGTGAAACAAACCTGACCTGCCTTTGTTTTACCTTCTGAGATGAAATGGTAAACAGTATCTGTAACTACTTGGATATCTTATCTTGACAAATATTGATGACACATAACATTTATCTTAAACTTCTGTCGTTTTAAAATGTATTATATTTGTACTTTTCAGATCCTCCCATCTCCCACTCCTCACCCATACGTTTGGTCGGTGGGAACATGACATTAACACTTTATATCTATTTTAATGGTATTTGTCTGTTTGGGGCTCAGATTATAGTTATTTGAAAGGACGTTAGTTCCTCTACAAGCTAGTAAATTTGTTGAGGCTGGGATTTGTTCTTGGTTCACCTTTTCATCTCCTGGAACTTTTTATACAGTGCATTGAACATACTAAGTGCTTAGTGCCTATTTGTTGTATGGATGAATAAAGACAGAATCCTAGATAGAGTGGACTGAGACTGTCGTCTATTGTTTATTCATTGCTGTGTTATTTGGAGGTTGTTTCTGGGTCTCAGATCGGAGTGAGTCCTACAAGCATTGCTCTGCAGGAGTGTTTTGCTTTCACAGAAGACCATGAAGAAGCCTTCTCCCATTGTTTTGTTGCCCAGAGATTGTAAGAATGGCAGGAAAGGCATTGCGCTTGGATATCTCCTTCATTCTAATCAAGAAATCCACAGTTTCAGATGTGATGCATCACAGTTCCATCCCTGGGGATTTGGCCAGGGATAGGAAAGTATTAGGCAAAACAATTAGTAAGGATGAACATTTAAAAATGGCAGTGTCAAGAAACCTGATGAGCATAAGGATTTTCTACAATTAAAAAAACAAAAAACGGGAATTATGTATCTCCCTTCTTCCAGGGGTCCTAAAATTTGTTGTTGACAGGGACTCCTTGCTCCCTACTCTCTCTGTCCCACAGCCACCCCCAAGAGATTGACCTGGTCTAAAAATGTGGGTGCCTTTCTAAGTTCTTAAAATAGTAGCTCAATGCTGCTGTGATCACATAAAGCTGTATTTTCACTGTCATCTCTAACTTCTAGTAGTGCTTGGTAATTACACGTTGCTTTCCATCTGCAAGTCTGTGAACATATAAATTTTAACTCTTTAATTCTCCCACTGTTGCTCAGAGAAGGAGATTGCACAGAGATTTTGTGGCTTAGGTATGTATTGGTCCAGTTATGTCTCATCAAGGTGTTTTTTTCCTGAAGGTGGCAGAGGTGGTGACACCCATTTTTTTTTTTTTTTTTTTTTTTTTTTGAGACAGAGTCTTGCACTGTTGCCCAGGCTGGAGTGCAGTGGTGCAATCTCAGCTCATTGCAACCTCTGCCTCCCGGGTTCAAGCGATTCTCGTGCCTCAGCCTCCACATTAGCTAGGATTACAGGCTGCACGCACCACGATACCTGACTAATTTTTGTATTTTTAGTAGAGGCGGGGTTTTACCATGTTGGCCGGCTGGTCTTGAACTCCTGACCTTAAATGATCTGCCAGTCTTGGCCTCCCAAAGTGCTGGGATTACAGGTGTGAGCCACCGTGCCCGGCCAACACCCACTTTTAAGAATGATGTTTTGTGCTACCGAAGGAAAAACATGAAGTCTTCACAGAAGCAAGAATCCGAAGGGTAAAAGCCTCTTCTGACTTCAGGAAGCAGATACTCCCAGCCTCTTCAGTATAACCAGTTTTTAAGCGTTTGATTACAGATGAGATTGCTGGAACGGTTCAGAGATATTTTGTCTGTTAAAGAATGGAATTTTGTTTCCGACACACGTTATCTGCTTCTGACGTTTCAAAGGAAAAATTCATTGCTGCCTCCTTGGCAGCAGTTCTTATGACTTTTTGTTATTTCTATTAAAAATGCCCATCCTTCCTAAAAATCTGTCTTTTCCACTTTTTCTTCTTTTCTCCAAAGAGTGGAATACCAAATAACTTTGAAATTTATACTAGTGAATTTCAAAAGCCAAACTAGATCTTGAAGAAAATTATAGAACAGAACAAAAAGATATTCCAGTTTTAAATTTTCAAATCACCGATTTAGTTTTTAAATAGTGTTCAGTTAGCCAACATGCTTTTCATCTTTTATGCAAATACAACCATTTTATTAGAAAACCCTGAGAGAAAAACAGCATAATTTAAGTTTCCACAACACAACAAAATGTGTTGACTACTCCATTTTTGTTTCTTGATTTGCTTGTTTTGTCTTTAACGACAATCTTTTTAAAGTAGGAGTGTTGAAAGTGGCAGAATAGCACGATAACATGTCTTCACTGGTAATTTAATTCTTGGATATAATGAGTTTATCTAAGAGACTTCATTAGAAACAGCAAGGTGCCTGAACACCAAAGCTGAGCTGTTTTCAATCACAGAATTACAGTAATTATATAAATCCCAAGATTTTCATCAGATGGAAAAGGCTTCCAGGGCTAAACATGCACTTTAAACTTAGCACTAATAACTGTGTGTTGTTCTAAATTACAGTAGAGAGAATCCTTGGGCTGAAGGAAATATTAGAATGTTAAGTGTTGAATTTCTCAGAAAAGTTGAGAAATAAACTATTTTGATGGCATAGTGATATCACTAAAAGGCACATCTCCTGGGTAATAGAAGAGGAACTGTTGTGTAGACATAGTGCATAGCAAGTGAATATTCAAGTAAAGGAGGTTGTTAACATTCTGTCTTTGAGAGGAACATCTCTCTCTTTTCTCCCAAGGGTCCTGAACGTGTGAATTGACTGGGCTGAGCTCTTCTTCTCATCGGTAAATAGGATAGACTACCAGTAAATGAGATGATTATTGGCCCAGAATCTGGCTTTCTGAGTCGGGTGAAGACTATATAAAGAATAATTTAGTTATCATGAGGATCACTTAAAATGACAAGTTTTTATAAAATGGCAAAGGCATGATACCCTCAGGGATCTTGTTTGTGAGTGAAGTGATATAGAAAGATGCATCTAGGAGGGCCGGGCACGGCGGCTCACGCCTGTAATCCCAGCACTTTGGGAGGCCGAGGCGGGCGGATCACAAGGTCAGGAGATAGAGACCATCCTGGCCAACATGGTGAAACCCCGTCTCTACTAAAATACAAAAACATTAGCCAGGGGTGGTGATGCGTGCCTGTAGTCCCAGCTACTCAGGAGGCTGAGGCAGGGGAATCGCTTGAACCCAGGAGGCAGAGATGGCAGTGAGCAGAGATCGCGCCACTGCATTCCAGCCTGGCGATGAGCGAGACTCTGTCTCGACAAAGAGAAAAAAAGAAAGATGCATTTAGGAAGGTTTCATTAAAATGTCCCTAGACAAGAAATTCTATTTGGTCTATTTTCCATTAATCATTCTTTTTTTTTTTTTTTTTTTTTTTTCTGGCTAAGATGGGTAGGGGAAGACAAGGAAAAGGGATTAAGGAAGGAGAACATCTGAAGAGGAGTGTGCTGTGGAAATGTCCATGATGAGTGGAGGAACAGGAAGGGTGACCCCAGGGGGAAATGGAGAAGGCAGGCAGACTGGCTTCTCATTTGTTGAGATTGAGAGTTGAGGTGCAGAGCATGTGAAAAGTCCTGGGACCCGTCTGAGTATTTCTTATGAACTATCAGGACACAGAATTCCTCATAGACACTGGAGCAGAGATATAACTGGGATTTGGGTCCCAACAGGACAGTATTTCTGAATCTGATCTCTCTTCTTCTCCCATCCTCATCCCTTCTATGATAAATTCATCTCCTGTCTGTAAGCAGCATCAAAGAGTTAGCTGGAACCATTGTCCCCTGATCCCTTCTGGATGTGTTACCATCCACATTTATTATTTGTATATTTGAACCTCTGGGTGCTTCCCCAGTTCCTGATCAGAAAGCTCAGAACCATGTCGATCCTCTTTCAGGCCTGCTCTAAGTGAGTGCACACAGGTGAACACATGTGGGCTCACCTGGCTGCATCCACGCCTGCTGGCAGGCTTAGTTCATTCTTGCTGCTCTAAAGGAATACCTGAAGCTGCGTAACTTAAAAAGAAAAGAGGTTTATCTGGCTCACAGTTCTGCAGGCTGTACAGGAAGCATGGCACCAGCATCTGCTTCTGATGAAAGCCTCAGGCTGCTTCCACTCATGGTGGAAGGTGACGGTCAGCAGGCATTATATGGTGGGAGCAGGAGGGAGTGGGGATAGAGAGAGACAAAGAGCCAGGCTCTTTTCAACAAGGAGTTCTCATGGGAGCTAAGAGTGCCAACTCACTCCAGCAAGAATGGCACTAAGCTATGCCTGAGGGATCCACTCCCATGATCTAAACACTTCCCACCAGGCCCCACCTCCCAACACTGGGGATCATATTTCAGCATAAGACTTGGAGGGGACAAACAAACACAGCACAGTCTCCGGCCAAGTAGTCCGCTGCCAGCAACTCCAGTGTCATTAACATTTTTGCTTTTCTCCCTTTAACCATCAGGACTTGCGCCACTATGCAGAAATTACCAGATACAGAAAAATAGAAGTAGAAAGATGACTCTTAATCTTTCCATCTGGAGAGAATTATTGTTCAGATTTTGCCATTTTCCTTCCAATCTTTTTTCTCTGTCCTTTGTTGCTTATTTGCGTTACACTGCAGATGTGCGTTTGTGTTCTGATTTATACACATTTAACAATATTTAATCATCTATCATAGGCATTTGCCATAACTCTCACAGGAGATCTATTGGATATTGATTGCCGTAGGGAACATGAGGGAGTCGTTGTCTTGATTAAGTGTTGATGTCATTTGTGTTTCTTCCCAGGTCCCCTCTTGCTGTTGGCTGCACATCAGGAAGGCTGTGATGGGAATGAAGGTGAAAACTTGGAGATTTCACTTCAGTCATTGCTTCTGCCTGCAAGATCATCCTTTAAAAGTAGAGAAGCTGCTCTGTGTGGTGGTTAACTCCAAGAGGCAGAACTCGTTCTAGAAGGAAATGGATGCAAGCAGCTCCGGGGGCCCCAAACGCATGCTTCCTGTGGTCTAGCCCAGGGAAGCCCTTCCGTGGGGGCCCCGGCTTTGAGGGATGCCACCGGTTCTGGACGCATGGCTGATTCCTGAATGATGATGGTTCGCCGGGGGCTGCTTGCGTGGATTTCCCGGGTGGTGGTTTTGCTGGTGCTCCTCTGCTGTGCTATCTCTGTCCTGTACATGTTGGCCTGCACCCCAAAAGGTGACGAGGAGCAGCTGGCACTGCCCAGGGCCAACAGCCCCACGGGGAAGGAGGGGTACCAGGCCGTCCTTCAGGAGTGGGAGGAGCAGCACCGCAACTACGTGAGCAGCCTGAAGCGGCAGATCGCACAGCTCAAGGAGGAGCTGCAGGAGAGGAGTGAGCAGCTCAGGAATGGGCAGTACCAAGCCAGCGATGCTGCTGGCCTGGGTCTGGACAGGAGCCCCCCAGAGAAAACCCAGGCCGACCTCCTGGCCTTCCTGCACTCGCAGGTGGACAAGGCAGAGGTGAATGCTGGCGTCAAGCTGGCCACAGAGTATGCAGCAGTGCCTTTCGATAGCTTTACTCTACAGAAGGTGTACCAGCTGGAGACTGGCCTTACCCGCCACCCCGAGGAGAAGCCTGTGAGGAAGGACAAGCGGGATGAGTTGGTGGAAGCCATTGAATCAGCCTTGGAGACCCTGAACAGTCCTGCAGAGAACAGCCCCAATCACCGTCCTTACACGGCCTCTGATTTCATAGAAGGTTAGCATTTTGTGAATTGGGGGGAAAGGAGAAGAAAAGGAATTGGGGGTTCCTGGCACCCAGGCAGGTTCCAGCTCCAGGAGGCTGGCAGCTGGCTCTGGGATGGCTGGCGGAAAGTTTTATGTGTGTGACACCAAAAGGTACGGCATGGCTTTTTATTTTTCAGAAACATCTGTTTCCACTTACTTTCTCATGGAAACCACGGTCATTGAGTGGACAGTTTCATTGTTCCTTGGCAGAAGAAGGTAGAACTTCTTCCTTTCATTTTAAAAATAGATAAACATAAAACTTTGAAACCCAAATAAAATATGACAGGGCACTTCTAGTAACTGAGCTTGGTTAGCAAGCTCATGAACAGAATAATAACACGCACATATTATTGCACTTACATGTGCCAGCCACACTTATTCTTTTCCCATGAAATGACCCCATTAGGGAATGAGGAAATGGAGGTGTAATTTAATTAATTAAATAGCTAAAGTTGCTCAGCTAACAAGTGACAGAACCAGGATTTGAACCCTGGAAGTCTTAACTCCAGAGTCCATGTCCTTAACCTCTACATTATATCATACAGATTGTCAGAGCACATGGAAACTAGTGAGATGACGGCTCATCTTTTTTTTCACGGGCGTAGGACAGCCTAGTATTAATTTGTGTTTGTGTCTAATTTTAGAAGACAGCAGCCTTGTCCAGTTTCTTGGAAGTTAATGTCTTTTTAACTTATCTATTGTTACTGGTTCAAAAATCAACTAATAATTTGGGAAAAGAAGTACCTTCAAGGACATCTAGTTCTTTCCCCATTTCTGAAAAGAATATAATTCATCTGGCCGGGTGCAGTGGCTCGCGCCTGTAATCCCAGCACTTTGGGAGGCCCAGGCAGGCGGATCATGAGGTCGGGAGATCGAGACCATCCTGGCTAACACGGTGAAACCCCATCTCTACTAAAAATACAAAAAATTAGCCGGGCCTGGTGGCGGGCGCCTGTAGACCCAGCTACTTGGGAGGCTGAGGCAGGAGAATGGCGTGAACCCAGGAGGCAGAGCTTGCAGTGAGCCGAGATCACACCACTGCACTCCAGCCTGGGTGACAGAGAGAGACTCCGTCTCAAAAAATAATAATAATTCATCTTGCCCAGAAATATAGCTGTGTCCACCTAACACCACTCACTGCTTTGGTTATACAACCACTGTCTCATGGGCCTACAGGCAAAACTGACTCTCTTCCATCAAATCAAAAAGCCTCCTGCTGCTGTTCATGCCTGTGTTCTTTGGACACTTTCTTCTTTTATGCTTTTTTAGACTTGATAAGTGAACCATAAGTTGATGCAATTTTAGTGTATCATCAGTTTTATGTGCCTAGAGCCAGGTAAAGAAATCTTTTACAAGATCATCTTTGGTGTGAGATTAAAAAAAAAAAAAAACTCATTCATATGAAACAGTAAAAATGTCTAGAATGTTCAGGAGCTAACCTGTATAAGCACATGGTAAGCACACAGTAAGAGTTCAAAATTAGAATCATGATAATGCAACATCACATTTTATAGTACTTTACAGTTTATAAAGCATTTCCACATGTATTAGTTTACTAGCCGACCCTCAGGGAAAATCATTAAACATCATTAAAAAAAAAAATCCTGGTTGTCACTCTCCCTGGGGTGTGCTACATAGAGCTGCCCACATACAGAGCAGTTTCAAAAGAACTTGATTGCAAATCAGTGTCTGCAATTTGGAATGTGTGACCTTGTGATGTTCAATCTGCATTCATATTTGAAATCTATCTGCTATTCTATGCACAGTAGTTTAACACGTAAGGCCTATCTTTCTCAATCAGCAGTGACACCAGCCTCTTGCCCCTCAGTATATTTGCTCTGAGGCTTGGCTGACCTTCTTTTAGAGACACATTATAGCTACTCAGTATTGATTTCGTGGGCAGCACACAGCTTTTTAAAGGCAGACAGACCCACATGTGTCTTCCATATTTGGTGAAAGTCTAGTCAACTGTTTTCGTTGATGAGTAAATAAAGGCAAATACTTTAAATATATTTATAGAGATTGAACTATGATGAGCAGTTTATTTCATTTTGAAAAATATTATCAATACCACAAGATTGTGGAGGCAATCTTTGATAGTCACAGGAAGCAGAGCCTTAGGAAAGATTCTACTAGTCAGAGGAAGCTGCAGGTGTGATAGAATTAAGTGCAGTATAAGGGGCCAGCTTTGAGAATAGTGATGTTTCAGAACAAAGTGGGATTCCTGGCACTACAAGAATTCTATCATCAACTGGGTGACCATTTGACCAGGTGGTTATAAATGATGATCCTAGCTTCAGAGAGGTGATTGGACTGAATTACATTTGGGGACCTTTTCAATCCTGGTTCACAATTCTTTGATCCACACCTAGTTAAGGAGAAAGAAGGGAATGGAAAGGTCTGGTTTGAGATTTGTGTTCTGTAATGAGCTACAGCAAGTGACAGGATTTTATAAGGGTGAAATTTATCTTAAAAATAACTTCTTTGGGTTCCTAACCTTAGAGTGATTTGAGGTTTTGGGTTTCAGTAATCCATGGTTGAGGCAATTTCTCAAAATCCATGGGAAAAGTTGGTTAGAAACAGGAGTTCTCCACACTTTGAGAGTTCCAAACGGAGAAGAAATTTGGTGAACCATGTAGTAGTATAACAAAGATGGGGATTCTTTGTATTTAAAAAATAACAAGAAAAGTTCAAGGCATGCTTGCAGATGATCCTAGTTATGTAACACTTCAGGCTAATTGTGAGAGAAGTGGCATGATCACGCAAGCTTGAGAAGGTATGATTTTGACTAAGACCCTTAGGCTCCTTGAGACTCAGTTTCCTAATCCACCAACAAGAGACTGAACATATATGTTCTCTGTCGCCCTTCCCAGCCCAGCCTTCTGGTCTCTCTTGTCTGCAAAATACAAAGCTTTTCTCCATAGCTTTGCCAAGCAACCATCTCTCAGAGATGCTCTGCCATCCAGCCTGCCGGGTGACCCAGGCAGGACAAGCCACCTCCCCTTTGGGATCCTCTTCTATAAAAGGAAGCAATCAGATATGTTACTTATAAGGTCTGGTCTGTCTGTGGCCACTTTCTACAGTTCTGCGAAGCTTGCAGAGGGAAAATATCAGACAGATGTCTAATTTATCTATATTGATTTCATTATTATCTATCCTCAAAACACAGAGGAAGTGATTTTTTGTCTCTCTTTTCCCTTTCCCCAGATGTTCCATTGGCACTGATTTTTGTGTTGGATTCTTACGTAATCGCAGTAATTTTTTACAACCATCTGGGAAGAGAAGTGAGAGTAGAGATGGAATCAAATCCTGTGCTTCACTGTTTGTCTCAAGTACACAGAAAATCCCTCTTTATGTTGTTTAGTTATTCCTTCAGGATGGGATATACAAACTAATCCTGAGATCTAAGTGGCACATATTTTGGCTCTGATTTCCTGTTTTTAAATAGATCCCTTGGACATAAGTTTGACATCATCCCATCAAACAAATTAGCTTTCCGAACTCTCTTTCACAATCCAAACATCTGATAATGTGACCCCTATGTGAGGCATTTGTGTCTACCATTTCCATGGGTTTGCTCTTCTGTCACCAGCCTGTGTGGCTCATCCTCCTCCAGCCTCTGCAGGGTTAGTAGTGTGGTGAGAGTGGGTCAGATGCAAAAGGCTTGATTTTGAGATGAGATGGAACCTAAGCTATGTTCCACAGAAAAGTGAAGGCTTTGAGGGTGCTGTGGTTTGAATGTGTCCCCTCCAAAGTTCAGATGTTGCCAACGTGATAGCATTAAGTGTTGGGGCCTTTAAAAGATGATTATTAGGCCATGAGGGCTCCTCTGTCATATATATAAGGGATTAAGGCCCATGTAAGAGAGGTTCTGTGTAGCATTTGCTAGCTTGCCCTTATTCTTTTTTTTTTTTTTTTTTTTTTTGAGACGGAGTCTCGCTTTGTCACACAGGCTGCAGGCTGATTCTATCTCAGCTCACTTCAACCTCTGTCTCCCAGTTTCGGGGGATTCTCCTGCCTCAGCCTCCTTAGCAGGTGGGACTACAGGCACGTGCCACTATGCTTGGTTAATTTTTGTATTTTTAGTAGAGATGGGCTTTCCCCATGTTGGCCAGGCTGGTCTCGAACTCCTGACCTCAAGTGATCGGCCCATCTCAGCCTCCCAAAGTGCTGGGATTACAGGCGTGAGCCACCGTGCCCGGCCTCTGCCCTTATGCCTTTTATCCTGGGAGGACACTGCATTCCTCTCCTCTGGAGGATACAGCCCTTACCAGACAACTGAACCTGCCTGGGCCTTGATCTTGGACTTCCCGGCCTCCGTAATTGTGAGAAAATAAATTTCTGTTCTTTGTAAATAACCCAGCCCCAGGTAGTTTATAGCAGCACACAATGGACTAAGAGGGCACCTTGAGATACGTTTTAAAGCAAAGACACAGGGAGATAGCTATAAACACACATTAGCAGGTTGTACAGTCAATGCCAACCTCCTGTACTCTTCAACAAACACCTCACGGGGATAGTGAGTTTTTTACTTCACTTGTCGGTGTATCACTAAGTAGCCTGTAAGGAATGCTCTGTGACCACTTTGCTAAAGCTTCTCTGGATGAGTCAAATAGAATTTGAGGTCCTGCATGTTTGGTGAGCAATATGCTGGGGATGTTAGCGGACAGGAAATGGGTCCTTATGTCAGTGTGCCATTTCAGTGATAGCAACTTTGTGACTTGTGGTGGAAATCATAAGACAGCCTTTCAGGTGCATTCTGGGCATTTGAGAGGTATGTGGACATCTTGGTGCAGAAATAAGGAAGAGTGGGGATTCTCCTTAGTGGTGGGTCACACTTGTACTTGGGGTGTAGTGGGAGGAGACTCACAGGCAGGACAGCAAAAGGCCATCAGGGTGTGAGTTGGGCTTGGGAACTCTGAGCCAGAATCCCCAGGGAAGCAAGGGTGGCAGAACCGGGGTCCTTCTGACTACTGTCACCCCACTGTGTTCTGGAACAACCCAGTGGTTTATTCTTCAGTGTGGAGTAGGCCTGTGTGATAGAAGGTTCCTCTCTCACCAGGCCCCTCTATCCTTTTACTGCTTTCAAATATCTCCATGCGTTTGCTGATGCTTTAAGTCCCTATAAGGAAGGATAAATGCTTTTCATTCCAAAATTTGAGATAAGAGACTTAAAAGCAAATACATGGCTTGAGGCTGTACTTTGTAGAATGAATCCCTCCTTGTGGTGATGGTGAGAAAAGAGTGGCCCAGTCTTGGATTTCTAGCAACTGCCGGGAATCCAGTACCCAGGCACTCCATCAGGATCCTGCAACCTGAAGAGCCCCATGCTAGAATTAATGTTCATGTGTCTCAGAATTGACATTCTTAATCATGTTTAAGGGGCCCCACATTTTCATTTTACACTGGGCCCTGCAAACTGTGTAGCTGGTCCTACCTCCGAGGTGGAGGGGACAGAAGGGAGAGGTCAAGGAAAAGGAACATGGAATTATGAGTCTCACAGTACATTCCTGATAACTTTGATGAGGACCAGCTCTTTTGACCATGGACTGGGGCAGATGGAGCCTCTGCACAGAGCATTTTGTTGCAATTGCAGAAGCTGGCAAATCAGGCCTTGTGTTGTGGTGATTTTGCTGTCAATTGTATTATCCTTATTCAAAACAGTTTAGTTCCCAGGGAAAAAAACGTTATTTGTTTGTTTTTATTATTTATTTGTTTTTGGGTGGAAGGTTGCACTCATTCACCATACATTATGTGAGTGCTCACTATGTTCCAAGAACTGTGTTAGGCCCCAGACACACAAAGCTGAGTGAGGCTCAGTCCTTATTTCAAGAATTTTGCGGTCTGGTGGTAGATGCAGACACTTTAAAAGACAGTTATGACAGCATATGGTAAATGCCATGATAGAGATAAGCCTTGGAGATTTTGTGACTGTAATAAAGGGGCATCTACGCAAGCCCAGAGTATAGGACAGGCTTCCTAGAAGATATGGGTCGGTCAGAGGATTTGGGGATTTTTAATTTTAATTTTGTTCTGTTTGTTTGTTTGTTTGTTTTTGAGACAGGGTCTCACTCTGTTGCTCAGGCTGGAGTGCAGTGGCACGATCATGGCTCATTGTAGCCTCAACTTCCTGGGCTCAAGTGATTCCTCCACCTCGGCTTTTGGAGCAGCTGGGCTACAGGTGTGTACCACCATGTCCAGCCAATTTTTTAAACCTTTTGATAGAGATGGGGTCTCACTGTATTTCGCAGGCTGGTCTTGAGCTCCTGGCCTCAAGTGATCCTCCCACCTTGGCATCCCAAAGCATTGAGATTACAGGCATAAGCCACTGCATCTGGCCCTTTTTGTTTCCTTAATAGAGATATCACTGTTCTTCCTGGCTTATGTTTCCTATTAAGAATATGTTATGAGAGAAAATTTGTGATGTTATGGGAGGTCAAAGATGAAGGAACTTGAGTTTATCTGGAGTGGGCAGGAAAGGCTCAGGGGAAAGAGGGGTTCTGGCTGCGTTGTACACAAATTGGAAGGACATGTGTTCTGTGTGAGTTGAAGCTGCTGCAGGCTTAGGAGGGGAGATGGAAAGACTCAGGGGAAAGAGGGGTTCTGGCTGGGTTGTACACAAATTGGAAGGACATGTGTTCTCCGTGAGTTGAAGCTGCTGCAGGCTTAGGAGGGGAGATGGGCAGGCAAAGAGCGCCCTGCACATGAATGGTGCCTCCCCATTAGTATGGCAGGCAGTGCTGCTCAGCCTCTCCCATCTCACCCGTGTTGGGTAGGAGGCATTGTTGGGAAAGGATGGAAGTTTTTTAATCAGCCTCCCAGTTTTTCATCAGTTACGGTTGTGGATGTGGTCCTGCACCGAGGCTTAATCAACATGTGTGTATGGATACTGGTCATGTGTGCAGAATGTCCCCAGCTGTTTTGGGGCTAGAAAAGGAGGAGAAAGCCAGGTCTCAGGCTTGAAAGACCTGGTAACCTGCCTCAGGGAGGAGACAGAACTCTGAATTGTGAACCCACAATTCTGAGACAGGTCTCAGTTAATTTAGAAAGTTTATTTTGTCACGGTCGTGGATACGTGCCCGTTGACACAGCCTGAGGAGGTTCTGATGACATATGCCCAAGGTGGTCAGGGCACAGTTTGGCTTTATACATTTTAGGGAGACATGAGACATCAATCAACATATGTAGGATGAACATTGGTTCGGTCTGGAAAGACAGGACAACTCAAAGCAAAGGTGGTAAGACTCAAAGCGGGGAGGGGGCTTCCCGGTCTTAGGTATGTAAGGGACAAATGGCTGTATTCTTTTGAGTTTCTGATTAGCCTCTCCAAAGTAGGCAATCAGATATGCATTTATCTCAGGGAGCAGAGGGGTGACTTTGAATACATTAGGGAGGCAGGTTGGTCCTGAGCAGTTCACAGTTTGACTTTTCTCTTTAGCTTAGTAATTTGGAGGCCCGAGGATTTATTTTCCTTTCACAGAATGATCCAGGATTTTTAGGTTGCTCTTACTGTATTTTTTATTTCTAGCATTTCCATGTGATTCTTACTTCCATCTCTATGCAGAAGTGACCCATATAATTGTTGTCCACTTTTCCATTAGAGCCTTTAACATATTATTCATGGTTGTTTTAAATTCTCCGTCAGATAGCTCCAGCATCTGTATCATACCTGAGTCTGGTTCTCATGATTGCTTTGTGTCTTGATGTGGTCGGGGGAGGTAGGAGATGAGTAGTCAGGAGGGGGCTGGGTTTGAGGTTTGTTGTTGCTGTAGTTACCACAGACTTCAAATCCCTTTTGAGATACCTTGTGTTTGGGGTAGAGGTTGTTTTCCCTGAGTATTGTCTGTTCAGCCCTGCAATTGAGGTCTACTCACTGCTCTGTATTTCAGAGAAGGTCTCTGTACTTCTCTCCTCTCTCACTCCCAGCAATATTCTGCTGTTTCTTGTTATTCACAGCTTACCAGCTTAACTGTCTGTGCAGGGCAGGAGGGAAGTGGGGTTGTCTCTGATTTTTCTGATAAAATCTCAGTCCTAGGCAGGTACCACGTCACTGGGTCTTAGGGTATTTTCCTGTCCCCACTCCGCCTTCCTCAGCTGCACTTAGTTTTCACCAGTTCCCTAAGGTGAGAATATTTGTTGATCTTTCCCCACCAATAAGGTTTTTGCTCCATAGAGGGGAGGCGGGAGGGGGAGGGTCCGGGAAGAGTGTTTTGCCCCTCCCAGGGAGCTCCTGTCCCCTCCCGCCGGCTGCACAGCATGGTCGGTGTCCTAAGGTTCTTTCTGATCATTTTTATTAGCACCCATTGGGGTTCCTGGAGAAAGAGCTTGCGAAAGGAAGCTCCACTTCTTGGAACCACAAAGGGCTTCACTGCCCTACTCATCTGCACTGAGCCTTGCTTAGGTCGTTGATTTCTTTTTACCATTAGCTGAGTGTATCTGCCCCACCAAGCAAGGGCTCATATCTCTTTTCTCCCTGCCAGCACCTGTGACTCCTCAGATTCTGAGCCAGCTGTTTGCTCCGTGACTTCACCTCTCTACTAAGTTCCAAAAAAGTCTTGGATTCTAAGGTTATGTGGTTCTTTTTCGTGGTAAGGGATGCTTCTTTCAGCTCATTATATCTTGGAGCAGAAACAGAAGTCTGAAACTCCTTTATAAAATCATACTTTAAAACCTATTGATTAGTTTGTCTACTTACACTGCTCTACAAATGAATAACGTCTTCCCACAACCTCACAACCTAGTTCCAACCATCAAGCAGAGTCCCATAGCTTAAAAGAACTGAGGTGTGTTGTTTTTACTCATGAGTGGGAATGTTGTGGTAACACCCCAAATCTGGAAGTCCCTTATTAGAAGATTTACTTTTGAATATGAAAGCCTCGGATCCCGTGATCTGATCTGTGTTCTATGGTGGTGATTTAAAGAAACGGCGTTCTTTTTAAAAACCCTATCTTTTACCAGATACATATTCTTTGAGTTTTAATGTTATGAGTAGTGTTGGGCCCTTGGATTTCTTCTCCCAAATGCCATATTATCTTAAAAAGTAAGGCTGTTCTTATTGTGGAAATTTGTAGTTAACAAGCATACTGCTCCAAATTGGTGGTGTTGAATCAGCCCCCTCTTCCTCATTGCCGGAATACGGGGTCATTATTTTCCGAACTTTCTTCCTTTCACCTTAGTCAGCCTAGAACCCCTTTTATCCCATTCCAGTTTTGACACAAGTCCTATGTTAGCTGGAGGAAGGGAGTTAAAATGGGTATTGGTTGGAGAGGCAAAGGTAATATCTTGTTCCTTCCAGAACTGTCTACCTTTTCCCTATATTTCCCTTCCTCCTGCAGGCCTGGAGACACAGCACTGGCTGAAGTGTCCCCCGCTTCTCTCTTTATCATCACCTCACACAAACCCTTGGTTCAGAAATAAAGCCAAGACTTTAAACCCTGAGGAGGCTACACATTCTCTTCCGAATCTTGTGCTTCTTTTTCTGGCAGACTTCCTTTGCCAGTCAGTAGCTTCTGCTTCCTTTGTTTCTCTGCACCTATCCTTGCCATCTGGAGCTTGTGCCCTAAGGACCCATCAGTAGTGACTTAGAGCTCCCTCCTCTCCAGCCTCCTCCCTGTCTTGTGGGGAGGGATAGTCCCTCTCTCACTGATCCCTGCGAGGTGTCATTCTGACTTTCAAAGTTAGAACTGTGGATGGATTTCACAGTTACATCCCTGGATCAATGCATACAGCCCTATAAATGCCATACTGCAGGCATACGATGGGTTAAAGAGGTTTTTATGGGCTGGTCTGAGGACTTCACCACAACAGACAATATTGTTTCTGTGCTTTCTGAGTAACTTACAAATGAATATTGGAACAGGACCCATTTGTAAATAGAGGACTGCCTCCCTGTATTTCCTGGCATTGTAAATTTCACTGTCAGAAGCTTCCAATGTTTCTCTACACCGTAAGTCAGAATCAATCTGATTTACCTAAAGAAGGGGAACATGTGGATGGCCCTGATGAGGTTATTTTGATTGCAAGCAAGAGATAGGGTCTAGGACGCATTCTTCCTCCCTCTCCACCTGTTTCCATTGAGATTGCTTATCAGAAGTCAACATCCGTGGAGACATTTGGGCTTGTTGTTCTTCGGAGTGAGTATCTGCTGAGCCTTTGCCTAGATGACTTTATTCCCATTACATCTCATATAGGAGCTGAGGTGGGAGAGGGTTAAACACAAGAAGAGGGGCTCCATCATGCAAATAGCTGCCTAAATCCTACCCGACCCTCCTGCCCCCCGCCCCCCGCCCATTTTCTGTTTTTACTGTGAACATAGGGTGGAGGGAAGAAATGGACTTTCTAACGTTGGAGTGTTCCATCTGGTTTCTCAATGCTATGGAAAATGCAGCTGTCAGAGGTGACTTCATCTGAAGGTTTCCATAGGCAGGGTGCTGATTGTAAAGAACAGAACCAGAGGAAATTAAATTGCAGGAGGAGGTACTCAGGTTAAGTGCAACTCAAAACTTTGTTAAGTGTAGGAATAGATGTGTAATGGGACAGAATGAGATTTGTGCTTCGAGATTGTTAAAGACTTGGATATTCAGTGTTCTTTGTTCATTGGATGTGACTTAGGCATTCTCAGTGCTGGAGATGGACAGAGTTAGACAATATAGTCCCTGCCTCTCACAAGCCCCAGAGCCCAAATGAAGGGGCACCCATGTACACAGGTAAGGACAGCACAGGGTCATGTATTAAACAAGTGTACAGAACAGAGAGAATTGGTCATGGAGTGGAATGATCAGGAAGGGCATCACAGGGAAGGCTACTCTTGAGCATGTTTTGCAAGATGTGTAGAATTGGTGTAGGCCAAAGATGTGTGTGTGTTGTGGAGGAGGGGAGTGTTTTGGGAGCAGGAGTAACTAACATGGGCAAAACATGGAGGTATGCACAAGCTGGTTGATCTGGAGATCCATAGGTAACCAGTTAGTGCTGGCGCATCAAGGAGGAACATAATAGGTTTAGATAGAAGAAGAGGGCATGGCAAGGTGATAAACCTGAAGAATTAAGCAGGGCCAAGATTACTATGCATTTTGTGTGCTACCTAAGTGTAGGTTATTCAATGGTTTGTTGACCATTTTAAATGTCGTGGCTAGATTTGTTTTCTAGCTGGGTCACTCGGATAGCAGGATAGAGGATTACATTGGAGGCAGGTTTGGAAAATAGTTTGGCAGTTTCTCAAAATGTTAAACACAGAGTAGCCATGTGACCTGCAGTTCCACTCCTAGATGTGTGTGTGTGTGTGTGTGTGTGTGTGTGTGTGTATAAACACACATACGTATATATACTGATGAGAAATGAAAACACACATTAACTTAAAAACTCCTATGTGAATATTCATGGTAGCTTTGTTCATAATAGCCAAAAAGTGGAAACAACCCAAATGTCCATCAGTGGATGGATCAATAAACAGAATGTGGAATTGCATGCAATAGAAGATTATTTGGCCATAGAAAGAAATGAATTACTGATAACATGCTGCAGCATAAATGGTCCTTGAGAAAATTACATCAAGTTAAAAACCAGATGTCAAAGACTACATGTCCTATAATTCCATGTCTGTGAAATGTCCAGCATAGGCAAATCAGCAGAGACAGAGAATAGACGAGTGTTTGCCTAGGGTTCTGGGGGTTGGAGGAGTTGGTGGAGATGGGGAGTGACTGTGAATACTTAGTTTCTTTTGGAGAAGACGCAATAGTCTCTAAAAATAGATTGTGGTGATGGTTGCACAAACCTGGTAACACATACAAAAATTAGCTTGTCTGCTTTAAAGGGGTGAATTGTGTGACGTGAATTTTAACTCAATAAATAAATAACACAATCTCTGTCCCCCTCCCCCAAAAAAGAGTGGAAACTGGGAGACTAATGAAAAGGCTTTAAAAATAGTTGAGGTGACCGAAGAGCTCCTGAGTGGAAGCTGTTGCTGTGAAATAGAAGGTTGGGGGAGGCTGAATGTGTTCAGGAGAGAGTAATTCTTTAGCTTTAATTTAGTATTTTGGGCTCTTCCATAGACATTTCACAAAAGTGTTTAATAAAGAATCTGTTGCAAACATATTTACAGATGTTTTTTTTTTTTTTCAAAAAAAGAATTTTAGGCAGCTATCGAATTTATTGATGTCGATTCTCTTTCTCACTTATGTCAGTGCTTGATCGTAACCTTGTCATGGAAGACACAAATATGCCATACACTGGACAGGCGAGGCAGGGCACAAACTAAAAGAAAGAAGACTTAAATCTTATTTTTACCATAAGATTAGTTTAACAGACAAAACTATGAAAAATCTGTTCATATTATTCCTGATCATAGTCAACAGATTACTATAAAGATGAATTTCCAGTTTGGGAATAATGTTTTAAATACGATATCAGTAGTTTGAGGCTAAACATTCAAGCCTAATAACTGGCAGCATTATGCCATTGCTAGGCTGGTGGCTACGGGCCAGTGGCGTGGACCAGCAAGACCAGAGCATGGCTGGGCTTCCAGCTGGTGTTGAATGGAACATGCCCTTATCCTGAAAGCCTTTAGGGCAAAATCTAAGTCAGACTGGGGCATCGGACATGACACAGGTGAGGCTTGGCCCAGGTTGGCAGGCTAGCTCCAGCAGGGTAGATGGCACAGAGTTTAAGAGGACGTGAATTGATGTTTGAAGTTCATACTAGACATTAGTAAAAATGCAGAAAAATGCCTTCTGAATCAGGAGATCAGGAGTAGCGTGCAGGAAACTGAAGAGGTAGATGAAATTTACCATCCTGGGATAATTACTCAACAAACATTCACCAAATGTCTACTACATCCCAGGCATAGCCCAGCAGTATGCTGGTTGATTTCATCGTGAGGGCTTCAACCAAATGTCTACTATGTCCCAGGCATAGCCTAGCAGTATGCTGGTTGATCTCATTGTGAGGGCTGTGTGCTGTTGACCTTAGATACGTGCTTCTCTGAAAAGAAGAGCCTTCTCGCATATAGTTAGCATTTTGTTACTTAAATCCTGTAAATTTATAGACATTTTCCAAAGGATTCTCACTAGTTACCAATGTTCCCATGAGTGGCATTGTAAACACATTTTTCATTTTCAAGTTCATGGCTGAACCTACTTAAGTTATGAATATGTTTATGGTCAATAAATAGAGCTTATTAATAGCACAGAGTGTACTTTGGCCTTCCATCCATGTCTAAAGAAATCATTAATCTCTGTAACCTCTACCCACATACTAATTTGCACTGCAATGCTTGAAAAATTGCTAATTCTGTGGACTCATGTAAAGTGTGTGGAATGTAAATGTATGTCTTAGTACCCTTGAATTATGTACCGAATTTATTAGAAATCAGTTGTGTCGTTTGCAAATTACTGCACAACATCGAAACACACATGAAATGCTAAGAGTGAAATGTGAAAAGACCTTGCTTTGTTTGGTTCAAGATGCATATGAGCATGACATAAATTCTTGCTGAAACTTAAACCCAAGCAAACATCATGAAAGATACATGAGCAAAAGATGAACGGATCACAAAAGAGATACAGATATCTGATATACAAATAAAAAACTGTTTACTTTTTCTTACCTAATAAAGTTTAAAACAAATGTAAAATACGAATTTTCACAATTTTATAAATGATGACACATATTGTTAGGAGCAGGTGAAATGAAAATTTATATTTAGTATTAAGAGCATAAACTGTTTCTATCATTCTGTAAAGTAATTTGTATCAAGAACGTTCAAAATATTCATAGCTTTTTCCAGTATTTTCCTTTCTGAAAGCTGATTCTCAGAAATGTCCATGAATATTTATATCATAGAAGTATTTATAATAATGAAAAATGAGAAGCAATTAGTTGTCTAACAATAGGAGACTGGTAAAATTTTGCGGTATCGTTATAGTAGAATATTGTACGGTAAACAAAAATCATTTATTCAGTAAATATTAACATAGGACAAAGGCTATCATTTTAATTGTGAAAATAATTATAAAGTTTTTATCTAGCTATGTAAAGAAAAAAGATCGAGGGGATGAAAACACTGTAGCAAAGCATTGGTTTTTTTTTTTTTCCTGAGTGGTAGAATTATGAGTGATGCTGTGTTTTCCAGATACTTTCTTTGGAAATTCTGTTGCTGTTATACTTTGCAATAAGATATGGCAGTGCTTGAATCATGTTGACATGACTAGAAAATAAATTAGCATTTGATTCTAAACGTGACAGAATAGGGTAATTGAAACAGTCCCAGGTTTCGAGGTGGTAGTTTCAGGGGACTTCCTTCCTGCTGCCTGGGAATCACCTGGAGAATCCAGAAAGAGAAAAATAAAATTACAGGTAACTTCTAGGTCTCAATCAGTCTTTACCCTAAATACCAAGGCTGGAGCAGGCAGCCTGTAAAGGTGAGGGTTTTTTGGGGAAGGAGATGATGGGCCCTGTGGAAGAAGTTACAGCAAAGCCTCATTGTGTCCTGGGCTCCACTTCTCCTGCATTGTGATGGAGACTACAGGTGTCCAAGCTGGAGAGAACCAATCAGCATATAGCACTAAGCTGGTGTGGATTTATCAGTTGGCTCTGCAGAAAAGGTGGTTTCGCATGCTCCTGGCCTCTAAGCAAGAGTTTGGTGGAACCAGAGGTTCTGGTGTTCTCCGTCAGAGTCCCTTTCCTGGTGGCATCTTATGATGCTTTCTTTTTTCCCCTTCCCAGTACTCCCAGGAGATGAATAGGAGTTTTCAAGGACAAGAGGAAAAAGAACAAAACACCTCTTCTTCCTTCCCTTGATGAAAGACCCTACTGTCAAAAGTGCCTTTTGTTTTTTTAAACCTGTCTCTCTCTTTTCCTCTCTTTCCCAAAATACTGTTTTGCAGTCAGTCTGTGAAAACCAGTGTGAGTCGCAGAAGCAGCTTCTCGTGTGCAGCCTTCCATCTGTAGCTTGGTCTGTATTATGTGCTGTATTTTTAGAATGCCTAAATTAGTGATGTTCCATGCGCTATTTAAAGAGGAGCTGGGAAGTCGGGGGAAGAGCAGGGCTATTGATCAGGATTGGCTTCTGAATGTTGCTGGCTGTTATACTCGAATCCCAGAGTTAGAAATATTTGGGGGCCATCAAAAGAACAGATGGTCCAGGAAGGCAGCTGGCCCATGTGGTAATTAGTCTATGAAGGCAATTGGTCATTTTCTGAGCTTGGAGCAGAATTTTGCTTTTCTTGGTACCATTCAAGGTGTAGAAGGAGACTTTGGTTAGAACACACAGGGCTAGAAAATGTGTGTAAACATACCATTCCAGCTGATAGATGTCAGCTCAGCTTGGCTTCCTAACAAAAGGTTCCTAACAAGAAAGTTGAAGGAGAGATTTTTGGTTTTAATTTAAAATTGGAGACACACAGCTATGTTTAACAGGGCTAAGGAAAGATGTCATCGTGAAGACAGCCAGTGAAAAGACAATATGGGACCCTCGATGGTGCAAAGATTCCTTATGCTCCATTTTCATACCATTTGTGTCCTGTGATTGTCGATTAATTCATCAGGGTCTCCCCCTAGACTTAAATGAGGGACCCTTTCTCATACCACTTTGTAGCCCTAATATTAAGCACGTTGCCTGGTACATAAACGTTGATTAAATGTTTGTTGAATGAATAAATGAAATCACAGAGGGGATAGGAAGAAGACCACAGGTTGAGGGATTGGCCTCAGAAGGAAGAAGGAAAATGCTTCCTTTGAGACCAGAGGAAAGGATGGCTCTGGCGAGTGATGAGTAAATTTTTGTTTGATTTTTTTCCTTTGAGAGAGAGACTAAGCATTTAAAGTCTAACAATATGACAATAATCACCATAATTGGTGGTTGATAAACATTGGATAGTGATGATTTCCTATGACTATTTCATTCTTCCCTATCTGTATTTTGATTTTACTCTGTAAAATAGAAGGGCAATTTATTTGTAGGTTTGGTATTTCTGTTGTAATAATCATACTGATTTTCTCACTGGATTCACTTTTCATCTTCTCTCTCTTCTAGGGACACCCTGTGTCTGACTAGGGACTCACACTATGCTCTTTGCAATTAACCCTTCTTAGGTGCCCTGGTCTCCCCATCTCTCATCTCCATTTTCTACCTGTAGGAGATACATCTTTTGCCCTTCAAATGGGGGCCGTTGTTTCTTCTTGGACTTATTTGCGCATAATAATAACTGCATATTATTCATTTTCAAGGATCCTGAGTTTATATAAAATGAAAACCCTGTATTCTGCTGTGACTCATGAGCAGGGAAAATTGATGAGACAATCCCATCCCGATGCTGTTGTCTTCTCTTCACTGTTTAACTGATTGTGTCAGGTATACAGGGTTCTTAGCTTCTCTTTTCCTGAGTTTATTTCTCTGTGAAACTGACATTATTAATAATCTACCCTGTCGGGTTGTTATAAACTATATATGGGTCTTTACACATGTCATTATAGCAGTGCCTGGCCCAATAAAATGTTAGTAATTATTACTGCTTTTGTTATTTGTTGGTGGAAATTTGCGGAGAGCATTTTTATACCCCTAGAAATTGTTTACACTCCTTCCCTGGCTCTTCATACCCTTCTGAATAGCAGTTGATTTTCTCTGAGATACCGTTAAGTAGTCATGGGTTCATTTCCCTTTATGGAATCATTTCCAAAACACTGCTTAATATAAACAAAATTATAAAAGTAAACATTGTTCAGTGAAGAAGGGCTCTTTACAAAGTTAGAATTCTGATCTAACTATATATATATATATATATATATATATATATATATATATATATATGTATATATAAATATATATAATGAGATGGAGTCTCGCTCTGTTGCTCAGACTGGAGTGCAGTGGCATGAGCTCAGCTCACTGCAATCTCTGCCTGCCAGATTCAAGCGATTCTCCTGCCTCAGCCTCCGGAGTAACTGGGATTATAGGTGCACACCACCACACCTGCCTAATTTTTGTATTTTCAATAGAGATGGAGTTTCACTATTTTGGCCAGGCTGGTCTCGAGCTCCTGACCTTAGGTGATCCACCCACCTCGTCCTCCCAAAGTGCTGGGATTACAGGCATGAGCCACTGAGCCCAGCCCCCTGTACTAATACTATGATTATCAGCAGTCATATTGCAAACCCCCATAGTGTATCACTGTGTGCTTACAGTATGTGAGGTGAGAGGGTGTCTCTTGGGAGGTGTATTATATGAAGAATTTTGGATCTAGGGTTAATATCAATATCACTTCACAGTTTTTTTAGCATATCTTGAAGTGAGAATTTTCATTCTCAGTTCATTCTTTGGGCTGCTGTGTTTCCATTCTAAACCCCCAAGCTGCCTTTGACTAGAGAGCTCAATGATTTCATGATACCTACAGCCCTTTTCTAATTAGAAATCCTATTAGAAGATGGATGGCATGGGAAGGATATCTCAGTCTGCATATGGAAACACCCTTTTTTGTGGAAAACTACCATGAATAGTTGACTTGTACCAAGCACCTTAGCTGAAGGTGCAGGCGAGTTTGTAAGAGAGGTGGCTTTTCGGCTGTTGGAGTTTATCAACAGTTGAGTCTTTCAAAGTCTGACATTTTTCTTCTCCAGAATCTTATCCATTTTTCTTATTGACTTTCTGTCCATTATGTTAATAGCGATTAGATTCTAGTTTGTCAGGCTCAGAGCTCATGTGTCTCGCCCTTTGCAGTAGGTGTGGGCTCCACCATCGTGTTGACATGTGGGCCGTGTCCTGGAACCTCCCTGTCATGGACACTGGGCATCCTGTGCTCTTTGAATCTGGGGTTGGTTTGACTAAGCATGAACAGCAGTAAGAGAAAGACGACATTTTATTTCCAGACACCATCGCTGCTGTTGGGAGGTGAAATGTTCTCATTTGGGTGTTGGTGGGAGTGAAATTGTTTGTCTTTTTAAAGCAATGCTGTGTTCTAGGATATTAACATGACATATGAGTCTCTGGAGCAGAATGTGAGTAAATGTTAAAGCAAAAGCTTTTGGGGATAAAATTTAAGCTCTTTAGAGTTGTCAGCTTGAGAAAAAATTGAGGCAATTCTTCAGAAGGGAAGCATTATATAAAAGCATGAGTTGGCATCTGAATGTAGGTTAACTTTCTTCCCCAAAAATAACAGCTAAAGGATTTCTGTTTGCCTTGGCTTCCTAAGAGGACAGGTAGTAAATCCTGCTATCCATTGACACAAGCATGAAAGAGTAGGCAGCCTTTTTGGTTACCTTTTCTTCAAGTGTTGTTGGGCAGCTACTGTGCGCCAGGTACTGTCCCAGGCAATGGGGAGCCAGGAGTGAAAACTGAGACAAAATCTACGTTGCAGGGCTTGTGTTCTAGTTGAGGAGATGATAAACATGAACCTAAGTAAGCAAATTCCATAGCTGAGTAAAGGGGATTCCCTTTAGAGGAACAATCAATGCGTTTAAGGGGGCTGGGGGCTTCAGTGGACGATAATACAATCTGAAATAAGACAGTCAATGTAGGTCTCATTGAGTAGGTGATATTGGAGCAGAAACTTGAAGAGAAAGAGGTGGCCACCCATGCCTATACCTGAAGGAAGAGAGTTTCCAGATGGAAGGAACAGCTAGTGTGCAAGCTCTGGGCAGGAATGCTTCGAGGGGCAGTGTGCAGGGGCAGAGCCAGTGAGGGAGAGAAAAGGAGGAGATGAGGTCTGAGAAGTAGGGGAGGGGCATGTCATGTGAGCCTCATAGACCCGGGTGAGGATTTGGCTTTTACCCTCAGTGAGATGGGAAGACCCAGTTTTAGAAGGGTTTTTCTGGAGGTTGTGTTGAGAATAGACTTGGGGAGGTAGGGCAGAAGCTCAGAGACCACCATTAGGCAGCCATGACAGTTACCAGGCAGCAGGTGAGAGTGGCTGGACCAAGGTGGTAACAAGTGACAACCAAAATGAGTGATTGAGGCTTGTCACCAATCATCAAGGCTCATTAAGCCAGCCTAAAGGCACACCTGGGAAAAACACAAGTCATAGAAGCATCTGTGGCTGTTTTTTTTGTTTTTTTTTTCTCCCAAAGAGACTCTCAGGAGGTTTAGTATTTACATATTTTTCTTAAAACCCTTAAGTGGCAGCTGAGTACGGTGGCTCACGCCTGTAATCCCAGCACTTCGGGAGGCCAAGGTGGGTGGATCACCCAAGGTCAGGAGTTTGAGACCAGCATGATCAACATGGAGAAACCCTGTCTTTACTAAAAATACAAAATTAGCCAGATGTGGTGGCGTGTGCCTGTGATCCCAGCTACTTGGGAAGTTGAGGCAGAAGATTTGCTTGAACCTGGTAGGCAGAGGTTGTGCTGAGCCGAGATCATGCCATTGTACTTCAGCCTGGGCAGCAAGAGTGAAACTCTGTCAAAAAAAAAAAAAAAAAAAAAAAAAAGCAAGCTGAGGTGGCAGTGAGACTTTAGTTAGTGCCCAGTAAATCTATGTTTTACATAAGATAAGGTGAATATTTGAAGTAAAAGGGAATGGAGGAAGCAGATGTCTCTGGGAGGGGTGAAGGAATGATTAATCTCATCTTGTCTTTGTTCTGTACCTAGTAAATAAGCTAGTAGGCTTTCTAAAAGGGCTGGCTGCTGTTTAGCCCTTAGGGAAGAAAGCCTAATAGCTGTTAGGAGCTGTTAACATCAACAGGGGTGTCCTATCTCCTATCCCATTATGCCCCTGAATTCAGCTTCCAGGGTTTCTCTGGGGATCCCTTGGCCAAGACGGGGTCTGTTGAGTGACTTGGGGGCTTAGGATTTTATTTTTATCTCTCACAGTGGAGGGGGTTAGAAGTGCCTAGTCGGAATCTGGACATATTTTGAAGGTAGGAGCAGCATGGTTTACTAATGGATTAACAAGAGAAAGAGAAGAGTCGGGGATGACTTAGTAGATTTCAGCCTGTGCCGAACACACAAGAGTGTGTTGTGATTGACCGAGATGGGAAGACGCTGGATGGGGTATATGTGTGTGTAATTTAAAAATAAATACACTTACAGAAGACACATTCTGGGCAAGTAGATGCTGTGTAACTGATGGTGGCCATCATTGGTTGTATTATATGACTTGGGCTGCCATAACAGGGCATCACAATCTGAAAGCCTGAGACAAGAGAAGTTTATTTTCTCACCCACTGGCAGGCTGGAAGTTCAAGGTGAAAGTGCCAGCAGGTCTGGTTTTTTCGGAGGGCTCTCTCCTTGGCTTGCATAGGACCACCCCCTCTCACTGTGTCCTCAGTGAGGACAGGTCAAAAATGACTCTTCCTTTGTGAGTGCACGTCTCTGGTGTCTCTCCTGTGTGTCCAAATGTCCTCCTTTTATTAGGACACCGGTCAGATTGGATTAGGACCCACCAGAGCAGCCCCATTGTAACTTAATAACTTACTTAAAAGCCCACAAAAGTACTTCTTGGTATTCTCCAAACACAATAACATTCTGAGGTACTAGGGATTAGAGTTTCAACATGTGAATTTTGGGGAGACACACTTCAGCCCACAAATTGGCCAACTTTGGTATCTGGGAATCTGGAGGAATTGCGTGATTACACTGTCCTGCAACCAGGCAACTTGACTCCTGAAATGAGAATGCCAGTAACGTTTCCTTTCTCTTACCTGCTGTCATGTAAGACATGCCTTTGCTTCTCCTTTGCCTTCTGCCGTGATTGTGAGGCCTCCCCAGCCATGTGGAACTGTGAGTGCATTAAACCTCTTTCCTTTATAAATTAAAATAAATAAATATCATTTCTTACTGTAGTCTACCCTTATCCTCGAGTTGTATGTTCCAAGACCCCCAGTGGACACCTGAAACTGAATAGTACCAACCCCTCTTTATACTAAGCTTTCCTCATTCTTCTCATAGATCTTAGCAACTGCAGCATGTGATTTTTTTCTTATTCGGTGGAGAATGTTCATCTTTTTACTTAGAGGAAGCTCTTTATGGCTTCTCTTTGGTGTATCTGAATTGCTATATCACTCCCCTTGTGCTTAGGGGCCATTATTAAGTAAAATAAAAGTGACATGAACATAAGCGCAGTAATACCACAATATTTGATCTGATCACTGTGACAGCTCCTAAGAGACTAATGGGGTGGAGGGAGGGCTGTTTGGGGGATAGTGTCCACTGCCTAGGTATGCAGGACAAAGTGATGATTCACATCCTGGACAGGATGGACTGTTTATTTCTGGAATTTTCCATTTAATATTTTTGGACCTCAATTGACTGCTGGTAACTGAAACCATGAAAAGCAAAATAGTCGGTAAGTGGGGACAGCTATCTGTCAGATTGAGGTATATGTCTATTAAAGGACAATACATTGGAAGAAAGGCTGTTGCTACATATTCACTTAATTTAGTCAATAGTAATTTATTATTTGCCGTCAGACATGGTTGAAACAAAGATGAAGAAATGAGAGTTTCCCAGCTGGCCCTGGGCTGCACAGATGAGTAAACAGATGATCAGTGATGGTGATAAGGTATGGTTTTAGATTACAGAGATTACATAATTGTTGTATGGGGCATGTAGGAAGGAAGGCCATCAGATCCACTCTTGTAGGGTGTGGAAAGGATTGATCCCTGGAGGAAGATATTCTGAGCTAAGTCTAGAGAGATAGAAGGGAACAGGACAGAGAGGAGCAAAAGTAGACTGGGGATGGCCAGTATAGGCTGTGGGGACCAATAGTGGTGGTATGCAGAGCCCTAGGGCAGGGCAGAGCTTGGTGAATTCATAAGGCTAAAATCCATTTTGGCTGGAGCATTGAGTTTGGGGTCAGGGCATGTTGAGATGAAACTTGGGGATATCACTGAGAACCAGACATAATGAAGTGCTTTAACTTCACATGCCTTTGGGCTTTGTCTTAATGAAACCAGGGAGCCATTGAAGGGCTTAAACAGAAGGGTGACATTATTAGAATTATATTTAGAAATATTGCTTTGTCTGCTCTGTTGAGAATGTATTGGAGGGACTCAGCCTAGAGGGACAAAGAGCTGTTGTTGTAATTCCAGGCTGAGACGTTACCAGCTTCATTTGTGGTAGCAGAATTAGGGATAAGAGAAGTGGGTGATTCCAGAGACCCTGAGGGATCAGAACCCATGGGGCTTGGTAATTGATCAGATAATAAATAATAGTAAACATCTATGTGAATGTCACTGTATACTGGATGTGGGATGGAGAGGGAGGTGTGAAGGATGAAGCTCAGCTCATTTAATGCTAATGCCACTCACTGCTCCTCAGAAGAGGAAGAACTAGACCAGGAGAGATGATCAGCTTAGTTGTAGGGGTGACTTTGAGCTGTCTCTGGGACACATAAAGGGAGAGGGCCAAGACAGTTGGAATATGGGTTTGGAGCTCAAAATAAAAATCAAATTTGGAGCTAAGGGGTTAGGACTTATTGATGCAAATTTAAACTGTGGAGATGGATGAGATTTTCCGTAGAAACATTGAGAGTGAAAAGCGATCTGTGATCGGAACTTTGAGGACCACCCACAATTATGTTATAGGCAGAGGAAGGGCACCCGTGATGGAAATTATAAAGGAACAGCCAAAGAGGGAGGCAGAAAGTCAGAAGGATTTGGTAACTCAAAACACAAGGAGAGAAAGCGGCTTTAGATGGAGAGTGTGGGCATTAGCATCGAATATTGAGAAAGGCAGTACGAGATAAGAATTTACAGGATCTATTGGATGTAGCAGAAGAAGTCATTGCTGGCCTGGATTGGGGAGAGAACATCATCAGTGGAGTGGTAGGGGCAGAAATAAGGTTGCCGTGGGACAAGAAAAGGAAAAAGTCCTCTGATGTTGGTTACAGAGCCTAAAACGGCACTGTCCAGCACAGTGCTGCTCCCTGCATGTGCTTATTTTAAACAAAAATTAATTAAAATCATATACAATTAAAAATGTATGTCCTCAATTTCACTAGCCACATTTCAAGTGTACAGTAGCCGTTTGACAAAATGGATTAAGAACATGTCCATTATCACCGAACATTCTGTTTCCCAGCGCTGATCTAGGTGCTCAGCGCTGAAAGAGAGGAAGGAAATGGTAGGAGCGGTAGCTGTGCTGAGCTCTAGTGTGTATACTCAGGAGTAGGGCTGTGTGTGTATTTAATCGGAGTCATGAGCGATTTGATGGAAAGAGCTGATAACGTGAAAGCATCGGTGTGTTTGCCTATGTCCTATTGAGTAGCTGCAGTATATGGAAAAAAAAGCCCCCTGCACTCCTGCCAGCATTTTGAAACCCTTAAATTATTTTGAGTACTTCTAAGTATTCAAAAGTTGCTTCAGTTGAGAAAATACTGTTTTATCTCTGTATCTCCATAAGTTTTAGCTTTGCACATAAGATGGGTTTGATACATGTTTGTTGGCTTAAGTCTGGGTTACTCTGGGATGTGTTCTAGTCCTGTCACCTGTGGTATAATCACAGCAACATGAGCTCAGCACTTTTTTCTATGGCCCGGGTAGAAAAGCCAGAGAGGGAGGCATTGAGGATACAGAAACGACTATGATGTCATTTTGATTATAAAATTTTGACCATAAGGATGTGTGCTTATCTCCAGTTTGGGACTTTGTTTTCACAGGGTGGTTCTAGGGTGTTCTTAAGTGTGTCCCCACTGTGATTTTGAGCTCAAGAGGAGGTTTGGGTAGACTTTGATGAAGATCTTGGGCAGGGTACTTAGCTAAAGACCTGTGATCTTTATATAAAGTCACTCCTGTCCACAGGTGTTTATCGAGCACCTGCTAAGCACCTTCCCATTTGTTAGGCCCTAGGATGTAGTCAAGATTTTTGAATAAGATGTAATTTCTACTCTGAGTTGGGAAAATGAGACGTCGTAGACACATGAAGATTAAAACAGGACCGTGACTAGCAAGGTGCCAACCAGGAGTATGGGGCAGACTATAAGGACAGACACCCAGGGCACAGAGGTCGATGGGCACAAGGCATTCAGGAAATGAGAAGACTGGCACGGTGGCAAAATAAAGTTAGAAAGGAGTAAGATGTGACTGGAAAGATGAAGGATGGTTTTATTAGCCGCACATAAGAACTGGTCATTGTAAAGCTAATGCCTGATTAATTACAGCCTTTAAAACTTGGAAAAAGACTTACACTGTGATATTTCCAGCAGTAGACAACATTTTAGGCACTTGGACGGGCAGATGACCTCATGCAATTGGAACTTGAGAAGTACACAGACCTAGGATCCCTCACTCTCGTAGGAGAGCCAAAACAGCAGGGCACAAGAGGGGAATGAGTCGATATTGCCTGGTGTTGATGCCGGGTGGAAACTTTAGAGTAACTGTTTAGAAAGAAGAAATATTCCTCGTTTTTCCTCCCAGTGTTGTTGGTGTGGCTTCTAATCTTAAAGGCAACTCACTGCTGGAGTGAGCCTGGTAGGGATAGGAAATGAGAAGAGAAATGAGCCCTTGTCTGTAAATACACGTTTTACTTCTTCATTGCTGGACACTCCAGATCACTGAACCTCAGGGAACTAGAAATTCCCAATGATGGGTCAGCAACTATGCTCTTTGCTAGGTTTGTTTAAAATACTCAAAGGAAAAGAAATTGTTCTATTGTAAAGACGCAGGCACCCATATGTTCATTGCAGCACTACTCACAACAGCGAAGACATGGAATCAACCTAAATGCCCATCAACAGTAGACTGGATAAAGAAAATGTGGTATGTACATACCATGGCGTACTATGCAGCCATAAAAAAGCACAAGATCATGTCCTTTGCAGGAACCTGGATGGAGCTGGAGACCACTCCAGCTCTAAGCAAACTAATGCAAAAACAGAAGACCAAATACTGCGTGTTCTCACCAATAAGTGGTAGCTAAATGATGAAAACACATGGACACATAGAGGGCAACAACACACACTGGTGCCTACCTCTGAGGGTGGAGGATGGGAGGAAGGAGAGGACCAGGAAAAATAATAGGTACTAGGCTTAATACTGGGGTGATGAAATAATCTGTACAATAAATTCCTGGGGCAGAAGTTTACCTATATAACAAACCTGCACATGTATCCCTGAACTTCAAATAAAAGCAAAAAATAAAAATAAAATACATGACTTGTTTCCTATTCAGAATTTAAGAAGGAAGGCAACTGAAATATGCATTGTTGTAGTTATTTGTAATTCAAACAAAAGAAAATAAGCTTACCATGTTGAGAACAGTTATTTTAGGGTTCTGTACTCTACAAAGAGGTATCTGTCATCCCAATATTTATATCACACTTGGGTTTTTAATGGAATCCCAGTATACAGGGAAAAGTTCTTTCCTGAAGACAGGCATTAGTGTGATCTACGGAGAGGAATCTTTTTTTTTTTTTTTTTTTCTAAGTTCTTTCCTGAAGACAGGCATTAGTGTGATCTACGGAGAGGAATCTTTTTTTTTTTTTTTTTCTAAGTCAAGAAATACGGCTTTTCCTTCAGGCTCTTGTTAAATCACACAGCTTCTGAAGGAACTTAATGAGGAATCCTAACAGTCGGGGCTTTCTGTGTATCTGCATGAACATCCTTAATTCTGGGTATTTGCCTGGTTAGAACAGCACTTCTTATACCTTTCATGTGGCATCACAATTCCCCCAAGCCTTCAATACTGTAGTTAAAACATAATAAGCATATGAAGGAGAATAAGACAGAACTAATGAGGACCATTAAATAGTATCCAGGTTTGATAATAATAATGAAAGAAAAAGAATAACCACAGCTGTGTCAAATTATTAACACTGATAAAACCAAAGGCCAGCCTGGACTACTGGCCGCCAATGGCTCTTTGAGAATCCTGGTTCTCACCATGGATAGAGTCCTTAATGGACTTTTTCCCATAGTCTATCCAGAGCACAGACTCTCATCCAAAGACAATGGAGTGTGTTTCTTTATAGCTGTGGCCGTTGAGATGTTTTAGTCTGCGTTGGTGACAGCTGTAATGATTCCAGCTTCATATAAGGGAAGAGACGGTGTCCTGGGCCCAGAAGACAACTTTTCCACAAGTTACGCAGATGGCTCCCTGCTCTGAATTGTATTTTCTCCTATTTCTTTCAAGTCTGCTTCATCGCATCATAACAATGCATGTATCATAATAGCAGTCATTAATAAGACCATGTAACCTTTGGTGTTTTAACTTTGCATTCTGTGTCTATAGGATCATCAAATAAGTCACTCTCCAGTCATTCAAGAACTCATCCTGCTTCTCAGTATTTCTTCTGCATGTTGGATGGTGTTTTTCCTACCATCCAAACATTAGCAACCTAAAATGACATGACAAGATCCCTTTAAGGAGGGTAGTGAATGCAGAGGTCTGGAAAGTTCTTGATATCAATGTTGTTTACTTTGTTTCATTTGAATATTGCCCTTCAAGGGATAAGTAGCTTCGTCACATTAGGCTTTGGCAACATTAATGCTTTTTTACTGAAGCAATTTATAGCAGTGGAGCAATTCAGCAGTGGAGAAAGGGGGGGTCATTATTTTTATCATCACTTAACTCCTAGAATTGCTTTGAAGAGGAGCAATATGTTATTAGCGAAGTACCAGTGTCCCATGACTGCCTGTGAATGATGTTACCTCCTTGCAGGAATCACTGGATTATGGAATCATTGAAATCATACTCCCTCAAGTGATACTTTGCAACCTGGGCTGTACGTTAGTTAGTCTCTTGGGGAGTCGAGGCTACACCACAGAATAATTAAATCGGAATCTCTGGGAGTGGGACCCAGACATCAGTACCTTTTTTTTTTTTTTTTTTTTTTTTTGAGACGGAGTCTCGCTCTGTCGCCCAGGCTGGAGTGCAGTGGTGCGATCTCGGCTCACTGCAAGCTCCGCCTCCTGGGTTGAGGCCATTCTCCTGCCTCAGCCTCCCGAGTAGCTGGGACTACAGGTGCCCGCCACCACACCCGGCCAATTTTTTGTATTTTTAGTAGAGACGGGGTTTCACCATGTTAGCCAGGATGGTCTCGATCTCCTGACCTCGTGATCCACCCGCCTTGGCCTCCCAAAGTGCTGAGATTACAGGCGTGAGCCACCGCACCCGGCCCAGACATGAGTATTTTTAAAGCTCCCCAAATGATTCCACTGTGTAACCACAGTTGCACACTGCTGTTTAACGGGAACCACCAGACCTAGAGCTAGAATCACCTGACATCTAATAGTTCTCAAGCTTGTGCCTCTTCAGGAGGTGGGGTCCCTGGAAACTGTGTTACTCTTCATCAAACATCATGAAATATATTTGACTGTCTAACTGGCGCATGGCTTCTTAGTAGTTTGGACGTGTATGGGAGGAACCGAAGTCTTTCTTCCCACACTCCCAAATAGTATTCTAGCTGACATCCATCAAGTGCTTGAAATGTTTTGTGTATTGTTCTAAGTGCTACATATGTATTTCAGTCCTCACAACCACCCTGTGAGGTAGCTATTGTATTACGATCATTCTTATTTTAGAAGTGAAGACATAGATGCAAAGAAAGGTTAAGCACCTTGCCCAAAATGACACAGCTGGGGCTCACACCCGGCTCTAGAGCCTGCCCTTCCTTTTAATTGGGATATGAAGACCATTTAGTTTTAAGATAATTACTAATAAGTTAGAGTTTATGTCTCCCAAGTTAACCAGTTACATAACCAAGGCGCATTTTTATATTAGAGAGTATGCCAAGAAGTTAAATTAAAGATAACTATCAGTGGGTACTTAATCAGGGGTCTTTGTTTATTTGCTTGATTTTATGGCCAAAGTAAGAGTGTGCTATCGTCCGCTGGAAAAGTTTTCTAGGCTGAATTCATTATAGCCGTGCTCAGTTGTGTGGGATTTTGGGGTCTTAGCCACCCATTTGTCCACGTGTTTAGTGGACCCAGAACTTTTTTCTGAGGAAAATCTTTGTCCTACACAGGGAACCCCCACTGCCCAGCTCTATGGGGAGCCTGAGTGGCCTTATGTTCCAGCGCATGCCTGGAGTGGCATAAGAGGATGTTGCTAACACTGAAAGTGCAGTAACTGATAATGGTGGCATCTGCTCTTGATGGACAGCATAGCATATTTACATGTTGTGAACTTGTCAGAGAACATACAGCAAAACTTCTGCCTGCCAGTAATGATCAATTACATGTGTTCCAGTTATTGCTGCATTACAAATCATCTTGGAATTTTAGTGAGTTATTATTACCATTTTCATATGCTGACAGATTCTGCAACTGGGTCAGGAATTCAGAAAGGACACATGGGGATGGCTTGTCCCTGCCCCAGCAGGCTCGGGACCTCATGGGAAGGCCTCATGGGAAAGTCTTGAGGGGAGTGAGTCAACAGCTGAGGTCTAGAATCATCTGAAGGCTTGCTCACTCACATGTCCGGCATCTGGACTGCTGTGACATGAGCACTGGGACTGCTGGCTGGAGTTCCCATGTGTATCCTGTCCATGTTGTGTGGCTTTTTCACCATGTGGCACCCTTGGGGTAGTTGCACTTCTTACATAGAAGTCTGGGTTCCAAAACAAAATATTCCAGCAAACAAGGTGGAAGCTGTGTTGCCTCACTCTCTTCTCTTAGGTCATGCAGTTATAGGCCCCTGTGATTCAAGAGGAGGGGACATTGCCAAAGAATTTGGGCGTCATGACTGATTTGAAAAAAAATATTGGGGAGGCTGGATGTGGTGACTCACACATGTAACCCCAGCACTTTGGGAGGGTGAGGTGGGTGGATCACCTGAGGTCAGGAGTTCCAGACCAGCTTGGCCAACATGGCGAAACCCCATCTCTACTAAAAATAGAATATATTAGCCAGGCGTGGTGGTGGGCACCTGTAATCCCAGCTACTTGGGGGAGGCTGAGGCAGGAGAATCGCTTGAACTCGGAAGGCAGAGATTGCAGTGAGCCGAGATCTTGCCATTGAACTCTACCTAGGCAACAAGAGTGAATCTCCATCTCAAAAAACCAAAAACAAACAAAAAACTGGGGGAGTACACTCAAATTGGCTATGTATTATCTATTCCTATAGGCCAAGTTTTAAAAAATTTCTTAAACTATCATCTGAAAAATGGCCATATTCAGTTGACATCTTATTCAATTGTTTTTATTCTTTAGAGAGGTACAACCTCAGTCATAGGATACATTAATAAAGTTACTGTAGGAATTTTGTAGGGGCGGTGGCTGTCAAAATCCTAAGATTACAATTGTCTTTCTTCTGTTTCATTGCTTCTCGTGGACATGGCAAGTCATGTTTCATTTAGTATCTGTGTTGTTGTGGAAATGGAGGCTTTGAGAATTGACTTTGCCCAAAGTCTTAGAGTAAGTTAATGGTCAAATGGAATGGAAATTCAGTTCTCTCTTTCTCACGTGCCAGGCTGTCTCTGTAAGGCCATTGCTTGGCTTTGTCATCTGAGCTGTCACTCTATGACTTGCCACAACACAGGAGTTTAGCGTGACCAAAACATAGTTTGGCGTTCTGAGCAGATTATTCTGTGAAAAAGGATGTTCCTGTTGGGTTGACAAACCTCATCTTCAGTATTTAAGTTGTTTGCTTGTGTGCTTTTCACCTCAAAGGAAACCACTTTTTACTTACTCGTTGTGTGTCATTATCTTCCCTTGGTGATCAGTGGAGGGTGTGTCTGTGTTTGTGTCTGTGTTTCCAAGGTTGTGGAGGGAAGTGTGGCACAAGATTGATGCTTCTGACTGAAAGCTGTTCTCCGGGGGCTTTCCTTCAAAACTTTATGGTGATTGGAACATACTTTTGTACAGCTTAATATTCAGATTGTTACAGATTTTGTTTTAGCTGTAGGGATTGTCTGAACATAGAAGCAAACCACCAAACCAAGATCCAAACAGACCCCAAAACCCTCGTGGTGGCAAATGGTGAGACCTCCTTATGTGACTCACAGGCTGCCTTCTTGGCCCTTCAGCTTCAGGTCTTACTGCATTCTCTACCTGGTCTATTTCCCAGACTTTCTCGGCTTCTGCATTTTTCTGATTGTGCCATATTCTTCCTCCATACTCTTGTACACTCTGGTCAAGTGGCCTGGAGAATCTTCCTCATCCAACCCCTGTTAAGTGTGCCTGCTCTACAGCTCCTCCTTCTTAACTTAGAGACTCCCCTGTCTGGGTGCCCTTCTCAAAATCTCCCCAGCAGAGTTAGGGATTTCTCGCAGTGCACCCCTGGCCCTGACCACGGTGTTATAGCTGCTCACTTCTGTTTCTGTGCTGCAAATTTGAGCCCTTTCCATAGCAAGGTCTATGTTTTTATTCATCTTTGTATATTCTAGTCTGTTACCAAAAATGGAAGTTGCTTTCTTTTTTTTTTCTTTTTTTTTTTTTTTTTCTGAGACAGAGTTTCACTCTTATTGCCCAGGCTGGAATGCAATGGTGCGATCTCAGCTCACTGCAACCTCCGCCTCCCAGGTTCAAGTGATTCTCCTACCTAGCCTCCTGAGTAGCTGGGATTACAGGCCTGTGCCACCACACCTGGCTAATTTTGTATTTTTAGTAAAGACGGGGTTTTGCCATGTTGGTTAGGCTGGTCTCGAACTCCCGACCTCAATTGATCCACCCACCTCGGGCCTCCCAAAGTGTTGGGATTATAGGTGTGAGCCACCACACCTGGCCGGAAGGTGCTTATTGATGGGTCCTTGAGTGAATAAGTTATTGGATTGATGGGTCAGCCGAAGCATATCTCTCCATTCACTATCATCTGGGCTTTAGTCACTGCCCTTAAGACCCTACAATGATTGCAAGAAATGATATGTTATTTCGATTCCACTTAAAACACTACCTGCTCTATACATTTCCAAATATAAATAAATAAATAATAAATAAGTAAATTTTAAAAATACTGCCAAAGTTTTGATAATAGTTTCCAACTTTCTTTATATTGGAAAGTAGATATTCAAAGGGTAGAGGAA
This sequence comes from Homo sapiens, assembly GCF_000001405.40. Lineage (NCBI taxonomy): Eukaryota > Metazoa > Chordata > Mammalia > Primates > Hominidae > Homo > Homo sapiens. Next base: position 19,474,289 of record NC_000008.11, on the reverse strand, counting down.
GAATTGGGTCTACAAATGTGCTTTTCACATAGATTGTTTTCCTAGGTTGGTGGGAGTGTTGGTTTCTTTCCCTTTTGAAGACTTCCATGGAGCCCACAGAGACAAGAAATCCAGGCTTTGTTATAGCACCTGTTTAGCTGGCATTGGTCGTAGCTTATCTCTCATCAGAAGCTCCATGGATCTGGACCATTGTTATTATTTATTGTAATGGCTAGTTCTTTTTTACTAAGATTTACTAAAGGCTTACAATGTACCAGTTTGAGATAAATGAATGGTTTCCAAAAGCTAGTCCTCAGACCTCAATTTAATAGGCCCAAGAACCTGTATTTTCTCAAGCTTACCAGTTTCTACTGGCATAGATGAATACAGGTCAATTCATTTTATTATAGTAGAAAATTGTGACCTGTTTTCTGGGCTTATAATTCTTTTCTTGATCTTCAGCTTGCTGTGGTTTCTCTGTCATTTAGAAGTTCCACAGAAATACATATATATTTTCCCCAAATATCCAGTGGATTAAACTTTATAGCCTATTTGTAAAGCTAAAATGAATTTCCACCACTAATTAATTAGATGAGTCATTCCAACAAAACCAATGCTTCTAAGAGACACTACTTTTGACTTTTCTTGAAGTACAAAGCAGTTGATGTTGAGGCTTTGAACAGATACTGTGGTCTAATTTTTAAGACTAGGAAGTGGGAAACCTGAGTCATTAAATATCTTATTTAAGGTGGTAGAAAGTCAGTGGTGAAGCCAGGGTTAGGCTGCAAGTCTGTACCATGGGTGTTGGTCAACCACAGAAGGCTGTCTGGAAGAGCCAGGAGACTCTGTGTGTCTGGGAAGGACCCTGTGATAATCATGTTAGTGACGGCGGATGGTGATGTAGGTGTTATACAAGGCAGGGTTTTACAACTAGAACAGATGATTGGGAGGGGAGATGAAAGGTCATGGTAAGTGACAAAGGGCTTTCGGGTTAATCATTTGAAATTTTCAGTTGATATTATGCATTAGAAATGGGTTTTTCAAGCAATATCAAAAAAATCCTCTAGCAATCTTGCTAAAACATTGCCTTGACCCGAATATTACATATGCTAATTTGTATATCCTGAGGCTTTTTACCAGAATATCAAAAATCTTTACATCTCTGGGTCCACAGTGGCGACTTGAAAAAACTAGCAATTGCATTCTGCTTTCAAGCATATTTAATGCCGGTAGAGCAAGTGAAGTACTTGCTATGGAGTCCTGACCTGTTTGACTGAGAGCAGTAATACATTAAATGATTGATGGAACAAAGTAGAATGACATGATAATAATAGTAAGAACAATTATTATAGTTATTTCTAACATCACTGAGTACTTCCTATGTATCAGGCATGAATGTTTTACATATATTTATTTAATCTTCAAAGTAACCCTATGAAGAAGTATTATTCCATATTTTAAATATAAAGAAATTGATATCAATGAATGAGTATTATATTATCTTACTCTTCAAAGATGAGTTTTAAGACTTTTCTGATATGCTTTGGAAAGTTGATAAGCTTTTTGAAGCATCTTTATGTTTTTCTATTCTCAAGTCAGTCTCAAAAAGAAAGGAAGAACAGAAAAGAAAGAAGAGTTAAAACATCCTTTTGATTGCCGAGTTGATTCACCTTGAAAGAGCTGTACTTTGACATTGGTCTCAGATTCTTACTCGTGTGCCCTTTGGTCTGGGAGCATAGCATTTGCAACCTTGAATTGGTTACTTTAACTTTTTCAAAATGAGTAAATGGCTTACCTCTTTGAAAGATACTTCAAAATCAAGATAATATTTGTGAACAGGGTTTGAAAAATGGACGTGAGTCAGAGTGATGGAAATTTCAGTTAGACTGCACATCCTCTACTTTGGTGGTAAGTTGCATATGGACGAGGTCAATGGTTGGCCAAAGACAATAGCTTGGTCACACATTCCTTGGTCTTTGACCTTTTGGTTCCTGCTTATTGCTTCTGCCTGTATCTTAAGTTTTGTGCTTTCCCACGACATCCTGGATATACATTCGAATGTGTTTGCAGAGGAAGTCCTACAGCTGTTTGGAAACTGGCCCTAATAATGGCAGCTGTGACTTCCCCTCCTTGCATGTTGTTTGTTCTGGAATCTTTGTAGAACTCCCTAATATCTTTGCCTCTACCCTTGCTGACTGGCCTCTTAAACTCCATTGAGTCCAAGTAGGCATCCTGCAAGTGTAATTTCTAACCCTTGGTGTCTTAAGGTAAGATGATGGGAATAGATGGATCTGCCATTTCTTCATTAGAAACCCACAGTTCTTCAACAATAGGAAGTGAAGGTGAAAAAGAGATCTGTGGAGTTGTTTTGAGCAGCCTGATATCTGGGTCCAGCCAGCTCTAGAGACAGCATTGAGGGAGAAAAGTGCAGAGGCCCAGTTTCCAGGACAGCTTCATTCTGGGGCTGTTGATCACCTGGAGCAAGTTAGACTTAAACATCCTCAGAATCTGTTTCTTCCCCATCTCTTCCGTTGAGTTTTCTCACTTCAGCCTTGTTGTTTACTCTCACTGCATCTAAGCTTTCACCCTTTCCTGTCCTTGTACTCTACCTTTCCTTAGGCTCCTCTGCTCCTCTCTCAACCTGGACCCCATAATGTAACCCCTCTGTTACCGGTGGAAGAGATAGGAGTTACCCTGAGTTACCGGCGTCGAACCCCTACAGGTCCACAGCAACTTCAGTCCTTGCCGCCTCAGAAGAAAGAATTCGACTGAGGGGCATGAAGCAGAAAAACAGACTAAGGCAAGTTTCAGAACAGGAATGGAAGTTCATTTTAAAAGGCTTTAGAACAGGAACGAAAGGAACATTCACTTGAAAGAGACCCAAGTGGGTACCTGAGGGTCCAAGAGAGAAAAGAGAGCAAAAGAAGACAGGAATGAAAAAAAAGAAAAGGAGGGAGGGAGACCTTTAAACTTGATCCTGGGATTTTATAGGCTCGCCTCTTCCCCATGATTCACCCCTTAGGGTAGGCTTTCCGCATGCGCAGTGTTCTCCTTACCCTTTGGCATTGAGCAAGCGCAGTGCGTTTAGTGAGTGATACGCATGCCCATTGGAGGCTTTCTTCCCTTTTCCGGTGGAGTGTGCCCCAAGATCATACTTCACCTTTTTTTTTCTCTCTCTCTCCCCTCTCTCTCCTTTTGTTTTGTTGTTTTGTTTTGAGACAGAGTCTTGCTCTGTTGCTCAGGCTGGAGTGCAGTGGTGTGATCTTGGCTCACTGAAACCTCCACCTCCCAGGTTCAAGCGACTCTCGTGCCTCAGCCTCCCAAGTAGCTGGGATGATGGGTACCCACCACCACGCCCAGCTAATTTTTGTATTTTTAGTAGAAACGGGGTTTCACCACATTGGCCAGGCTAGTCTGGAACTCCTGACCTCAGGTGATCCGCCCACCTCAGCCTCCGAAAGTGTTGGGATTATAGGCGTGAACCACCACGTCCAGCGCATTTTTGTCTCTTAACACATGTTCCCAGGACATTGCTTCTCCTTAGGGCCTGCGTTCAGTTAGCATTTTGATGTTAACGGGTGTGGATCATCAGGAAGTGGCCTCTCTGTGGCACTGCCAAATTTTCATTTTTAGAGAGGCAATGAGATGATTGCCGAATCATCCCCTTACATTTCTAGGGTAGAGCCCTCTCCTGCCCCGCTCATGCCCAGCTACCTGTTAACACTTCCGCCACTCGCTTCCCAGTGCCTGCCTTCCTTGCCCTCACACCTGTCTGCAGAGTCCAGTCCAAGCTCAGTGAGTCACCGTCTTGTTTCCTCTGTTGCCTGTGTTCCTCACGCTGCTGGAGAGAAGTCACTGAATGCGCGTGCTGATGTCAGTGCAAATTCATGCTCTCTGGCCTCGCTGCCTGCACCTCTGCGTTGTTTCCCACATCCTTACTCATCTCCGTGCTCACTGTCCCATCCCAGCCTCCAGCACTCCTCATAAACCCATTATTCTACTTTTAATTCCCTCATTCTGTTTCACCAAGAAATTAACGACTTAGCGCCATGAGCTCCTGTGGTTCCTTGCCCCAAGCTTTCTCTATTTGTATCCCTAGCCTTCTGCTCCATCCCCATTGTGGGAACTAGGTAACCCTTCTTTGTCTGATACCAAGTACTTTGCGGGGTTGTAGGTCCCATCCACCTCTCACCTTCTCACTCCGTCCCTGCATCTGTATTATCCATTTCTATTTGTTCCTTTTTATCAGCATATGAAGGAAGTATGTTGCTTTTTCCAATATTTTTAAAAAACATTCTGTCAACTCGGTAATTCCTCTGATTTCTACCCTATTGCATTTATTCCCTTTTTAGCCAAGCACCTTCCCTTTCTTCTTCCCTCCCTCCCTTTCTCCTTCTGTGAAGCAAATATTCATTAGGGTTGCAGACACCAAGTTCTGGTTTCACAGAGTGTACCTTCCCATGGCAGGAAGAGTAACGCATAGATAAGCAGTAAACACATTCAGATAATGTGCGATGAAAAACCCAGAATGGGGTCGTGTGAAAAGGTAACAGAGAGTGTCTGTGGGATGGTGGGGGGCTTCAGAGACTGAGAGTAGGTAAAGCCTCATTGAGGAGGTGGCTTCAGGGCGGAGACCTACATGGTAGGAAGGATGTAGCCGTGCCAGACCTGGGGAAGTGTCCCAGACAGAGCAGAAAGAAAGGGCAGAGGTTCTGAAGTGGGAATAAACTTGACATTTTCAAGGAATTGAAGGAAAAACACTCAACTCACTGCTGCCCCTTCATCCCTTATCATTTTTCAAATCTATCCCAGGCTGTCTTACACCCCTGAAACTTATTGATAAGACTACCTGTGGATGGTCTCCTCCTTGCCCCATCCAGAGGGCTATTTCTTTTTTCTTTTCTTTCTCTTTCTTTTTTTGAGACAGGGTGTTGCTCTGTCACCCAGGCTGCAGTGCAGTGGTGCACACACAGCTTACTGTAGCCTCGATCTCCTGGGCTCAAGGGATCCTCATGCCTGCACCGCCTAAGTAGCTGGGACTACAGGTGCACAGCACCATGCCCTGCTAATTTTTACATTTTTTTCTAGAGACAAGGTCTTGCTGTGTTTCCCAGACTGCTCTCGAACTCTTGGCCTCAAGTGATCCTTGCACCTCAGCCTCCCAAAGTGCTAGGATTACAAGTATGAGCCACCGCACTCAGGGCAGTGGGCCAATTTCATCCTTATCTTAGTTAACCTTGGTGCAGTGGTTGGCACTGTTGAGCAGGCCCTCACTTATCTGTTGGGTTCCTTGATGCTGCTGTCTTCTGCCCCTCTGAGTGCTTCTGTCATTGGGACTTCTCAGTGACCCTTGCACATCCATGCACTGTGCACCTGAAGGTTTGGCATATCCTGAGCCTGCATCCTGAGCTCATTCTTCTTAATCTACAGACTCTTCCTGGCTGACCTGACCCACATCCACAGCTTCAGCTTACACAGTGGGGATGTCTAAATCTGTATGTCTACAAAAGGCTTGCCCGCCAAGCTTCCAATCTACTCATACACCTCTTCAAATCAGCCCGTCCAAAGCTTAGCTCATAATCCCTGTCTCACCTGTAACTCGAGTCAGCCTCCTTTTCTCCCTCTCCCTCACCTGCCATGACATTTTCTAACAACATTCTCTCAAGCTTTTTTCCACCTCCATTGCCACCATCTTAGTTCAGGCTCTTGTCATTTCCTGCTAAACCATCGTGGTTCTTTCCTTGTTGCTCTCTGATCTCGTTCCCTGCCATCATCCACCTGCGCCCCACACTGCTCTAAGGTGAATATCCTGAAAGATCTCACCTCTCCCATGCTAAAACGCTGACCCGGCTCCCCTTTCCTCTAGGACAGGTTTGCACCTGTGAAGGTGACTTAGGGGATCCACATGATGTGACCCCTCGTCCCGCTCCACGTCGGCCTTTCCAGCATTCTCCCATCCCCCCATTCGTGTCTGCCTGTTGCACTCCAGCCTTGCCGAACTGCCTCAAGGTGGCCAAACATAACAAGCTGGTTTTTCTTACCTTTGCTTCCACGATTATCTTTCCTTAAAATGCTCGCTCTGATGTTGTTGTCTTGGCCAACACATGCTCAGTCTTCAGTTCTGGTAAAAAAACATCTGCTATCAAACTGTCCAGACCCTCCAGTAGGTGGAGATGCCCTCCTTTTTGTTCCCTTATACCATGGGCAGACTCTGTTAAGCATTTATCATCTGAGTCCTGTTCTGTTTACCTGTCTTTCTCTCTAGAATGTGAATCCTGAAAGCACAGTGATTTTATCATGTTCATCTTTTTTATTTTTATTTTATGAGACAGGGTTTCACTCTGTTGCTGAGGCTGGAGTGCAGCAGCGCAATCACAGCTCACTGCAGCCTCCAACTCCTGGGTTTAAGTGATCCTCCTACCTCAGCCTCCTGACTATCTGGGACTACAGGGGCATACAACCATGCCTGGCTAATTTTTAGTATTTTTTGTGGAGACAGGATTTCACCATGTTGCCCAGGCTGATCTGGAACTCCTAGGCTCAAGTGATCCACCTGCCTTGGCCTCCCAAAATTCTGGGATTGCAGGCATGAGCCACCCTGCCTGGACCATGTTTATATCTCTGATATAGAATACAATCCATCATTAATATTAGCCATGCGAAAAAAATTAATAAAAAAAAAAACTAACCAGGTCATTTGCATTTGAACTCCGCGAGGCTGGCAGGCCACTTGAGGAGGAACCCAGGCTTCTACTTCAGTGCTGGAATCCTAACCTGCCTTCATTTTCTACTCATTGTTGATTGCCTGATGGTCTTCATGAGGTGAGAAATACATTGCAGTTCTCTGCAAGGGAAGAAGGGCTCTGAAAAGGAAGTCAACTGCTAGTACTGGCCAGGTGAGGTGGCTCACGCCTGTAATCCCAGCACTTTGGGGGGCCGAGGTAGGTGGATCATGAGGTCCGGAGATGGAGACCATCCTGGCAGACATGGTGAAACCCTGTCTCTACTTAAAAAATAAAAAAAATTAGCCAGTCATGGTGGCGGGCTCCTGTAGTCCCAGCTACTCAGGAGGCTGAGGCAGGAGAATACTGTGAAACCGAGAGTCAGAGCTTGCAGTGAGCCGAGATCGCACCACTGCACTCCAGCCTGGGTGACAGAGTGAGACTCCGTCTCAAAAAAAAAAAAAAAAAAAAAAAAAAAGTCAGCTGCTAGTACCAATGGTGAAATGAGAAGGCACTCTAAGTGAGTTCTTAGACATTTCTGATGGATTAGGAACCAGATACTGGATTTGTCAGCCTGCATCTATGACATAAACAAATACACAACAAATGCAGTGTAGAGAAATAAGAAAAGGGGTTGTATGAATTTCTTCAGCAAGTCTACCAGTCGCTGCAACTATTTCTTATCAGGTAAAAGAAACTTTCAGTGGCAGCTGAAACAGAAATAAAACCAGTGAGGACAAGTCCAGAGCCACTGAACATAGGTGAACTGTGATGCACGGGAAAGTAGGGACATTTCTGTGGCCCCACATGTGAAGACAGCCTTCAAGTAGATAATTTCTGTTGCATTTCATGGGGTGAGTGATTTGCCTTCTAGCGTCTGAGCATGTGAGGATTTATAGCAGTCTTAGGACATCTCTTCCACAAATGTCACAAGTTTACTACTTTACCTATAAAAACAGCTGACAGGTGATGGCACTGTAATAGTGTCTCATTTATCTCATGTGATCTGGGAATGCGATATGCCATCTGAGCAGAATTTTCTGGATAAGTGAGACAACAAAATAGTATAAAAAATAAAAAATACTATTTTAGAGTAAAATACTAAGCATTTACCGGTTCCTTTTTTGAACAGAGTAAGCAGAATGTGTGTTTATGGTGCAAAGCGTAAACAGATTTGTGCTATTGCGGGGATGTCTTCATAGGCAATTTACATGGCTGAAGTGTTTTTTCTTTATCTTAAATGATCATCGCTTCTCAGCCTTTTGGCTAAGATGAAGTATATTAAATGATTTCAGACACTGATAATTAAAAGAAAGTAGTGTTTTGCCCTCTCCCTTCTGTCAGTTGGTTGCCTGACAGTATTTACCACTCTCAGCATTTCTGCCTGTTACAGATTTTCTTTTCCCAAATATTCTTTGTTTTCTTGTTGAACATGTATATTTTTTTTCCATTAAAAATCCCCCCTTTCAAAATTTACCCTTTTCAGTGTGTTGGAGATTGGAACTTCAGATAGCTTTTACTTAAACAACTGTCAAAATTCTATGGTAAGGTTAAAGGAATTCTGTAAGGGTAGGTGTGAGGGTTATCTCTGGGTACAGTGAGTTTTGCTACAGACTTTACCTTGTTTATTCTGACTTCTTGGATGCTCTTTTCATGATCTGGATTCTTTTCTATGTGCTGAGTTATCTTCTTCTGCATATGAAAAGTGACTCCAGGGGGTAAATCCTTCAGTGGGGGTTTATCCCAGGCCTTCATTGACCAGTTAGGCTAACACAAGCGTATCACATCTTCTCTGGGTCTCATTTTGCTCATCTGTGAAATGGTAAGCCTGGACAGGGGGATGCCCAAGATCTTTTCATGTTGTCAGGTGCCCAAACAGTAGTTTAGGAAGAGAGTTTAAAGCTCTAAGACAGAAGTGCCTGAAGAAGAGAGACGGCTTTGCATTGAGAATGTCCTGGGAATCTTCCCATAGCAGAAGGATCAGATTTAAAAGGGGAAGGTGGAAGCATAGACATGTGCATGGGCTGTGTCTGTGAGAAACTGCTAGACTTTTTCAGAGGACAGCAGTTATGGTGGTCAATACGTATAGCATTCACCATTTAAAGCATTTTTTAGTGGACAGTTCAGTGGCCTTAAGTACATTGACATTCTTGCGCATCCATCACCACCATCCATCTTCAGAGTACTTTCATCTTCTCAAACAGAAACTCTGTACCCATTAGACACTCACTCCCCAGTCCCTGCTTCCCCAGCCCCTGGCAACCTCTATTCTACACTCTGTCTCTCTGAACTTGACTACTCTAAGTACCTCCTATCAGCGGGATCTTACAGTATTTGTCTTTTTGTGACTGGCGCATTTCACTTAGCATAATGTCTGCACGATTCATCCATGTTGTAGCATGTATCCGAATTTCCATGCTTGTTAAGGCAGAATGGTACTCTGTTGTATGGGTGGACCACATTTTGTTTATCCATTTATCTGTTGATGGGGGTGTGAGTTGTTTTTATCTTTTGGCTTTTGTGAATAATGCTGCTGTGATCATGAGTTCATAAGTATCTGTTAGGACCCCTGTTTTTAATTCTTTGGGATATAGACCTAGAAATACATAGAATTGCTGAATCATATGGTATTTCTATGTTTAACTTTGTGAGGAAGTACCAAACTGCATTCCGCAGTGGCTGCACCATGTTGCTTCCCGCCGGTAGTGCACAGGATTCCAGTTTCTGCAACTGGAGAAAGTTGTCGGCAGTCCCTAACCTTCTTGGCACCAGGCACCAGTTTTGTGGAAGACAATTCCACAACAAGGGGAAGGTGGTGGTTTTGGGATGAAACTGTTACATCTCAGATCATCAGGCATTATTTCAATTCTCATAAGGAGCATACGCCCTACATCCTTTACATGTGCAGTTCACAGTAGGGTGTTAAGAATGTAATTCTGACAGCAGGCAGAGCTCAGGCAGTCATGCTCACTCACCCACTGCTCCCCTCCTTCTCGGCAGCACAGTTCTGAACAGGCCACGGACTGGTACCATTCCGTGGCTTGGGGACCCCTGGAATCAGTAGTTATATGTGCTTAATATAAACCAGCTTGATTGGTGCCCAGATTTTGTAAAAGGCAAGAACAAGACTTGAAACTAGTACAGTAGGTGGGGCCCTGATTACGGAGCATCTTGAAGGCTGGACTGTGGTATCGATACTTTATTCTGTGGTATGGGATGCTGGCGAGAACTTTGAGCTAGGGAGATGTGGGGTTTGAGTGGTGCTGTGAACACATAAGGGCCAAAATATATATGTGTGGGACCGACTGGGCCCCAGAGGCCAGGATGTGGGTTGGCAGATGCTTCTTGTTATCCAGCTGGGAGACCTTGGCTCCATGTAGGAAGGTAGGGAAGGCAGGGATGAATGTGGAGACTGAGAATGAATGTGGGTGAATGGGGACTGTTGAGAATGAGTGTAATGTGTAACGTTTTGCAGGCAGAAAGTTTAAAGAGAAATTCTGCATAGGCTCAGTAGTGTGACATCTGTCACAACCCGTCTGCACGCATGTCAGTGGGGGCGGGGAATCTGAGTCAGGAGTGGTGCCTTTCTTATCCCTTGTCAAGGTCCTCAGTTGAAGACAGGGCACAGAGAGGGGTCTGCACCTGGTTAGCTCCTGGCCTACTGAAGGAATAGACATTTGTGTGAATAGATTACAGATCTCTGTCTTGGATACATGGAGATGTCCCCACCTAGTTGGGGGTCTTAGATCCTGGCCCATTGAGTAGGAAAAGACCGGCATTGGGATACTTGCACAAGGAGTAATTACACCAAACTCAAAGAAAGCTTAGCATTTATGGAAGGGAGGAAAGACACGGAGGTGCCAGGTAGGGTGTTTAAACAAAGATCTAAGCTAGCTCCAAAGTCCTGATTTTGATCTTTAATTTGCATAGTGCACGAAATGATGCTGTTCTGCACAAGATGACAAGGAAGATGTTTGTGGGGCTGCTTTGCTTTGTACTTGCCATTTGCATGTGTCAGCTTACTGGCTGAAAAACCATTCCTGCCTTGGAATACTTTCCCTTCCCTCACCACCCCTCCCCCCATGCCCAAGTTTGCTCTGTTCCTTTGTGTTTCCACCAATAAAGAGCTCCAGGAGGCAAAAGGATTTTTTTAGGTGTCGTCCTTTGTGTTTAAAGAAGACCAACTGAAAGTTGCTCCCTCTGTGCAGGGATGGGAATGTGTGCCTGTGGGTATGGTGGGTGGATGGCTGGGTATGGCTTTTGCTGGACTTAGGTTGCAAGAGAGTTTTAAATAACGTTTTTAAAAGAGATGAAATTGTGCTATTCACAATAGCGAAGCCATAGAATCAACCTAGATGCCCATCAGCAGTGGACTGGATAAAGAAAATGTGATACTTGTATACCATGGAGTACTACACAGCCATGAAAAAAAGAATGAAATCATGTTCTTTGGAGTAACAGGAATGCAGCTGGAGGCCGTTATTCTAAGTGAATGCAGAAACCGGAAACCAAATAACACATGTTCTCACTTGTAAGTGGGAGGTAAACATTGAGTACACATGGGCACAATGAAGGGAACGTTAGACACTGGGGCCTAACTCAGGGTGGAGAGTAGGAGGAGGGTGAGGATTGGAAAACCACCTATTGGGTACTATGCTCTATGCTGTTTAGCTGGGTGACAAAATTATCTGTACACTAAACCCCTGCAACATGCAGTTTACTTGTGTAACAAACCTACACATGTTCCTTCTGAACCTAAAAGTTGAAAAAAAAAAGAAAACTGATGAAATTAAGGGATCCCAAATCAGATTGATAGGATATAATGAAAATAATTAGCAGAGTATAGAGAAACCAGCTAAAAAATGGATGTAATGACTGTTGCAAGGCATGGTATGTGGAAGACAGAAAGCAGCATAAATTGTGGTGTGTGGGGTGAGCCTGGGTGCTGTGACCTTCCTGATGGGCAGTGTGCCATACCTGGAACCACTGACCATGGCTGGGGATCTCTGTCACCCTGGGCTGATGATGCAGGCACCTCCAAGGCAGCTGGCATTCTGTATTCATAGGAGTTGTTATGAATAAGATTTACTGCATTCTCTAGGTTCTTCATAAATAGATGTCCATCTCTTGAGACAGGTTTAGGTATATTGCTATCTGTATTTTCATCTCTGTGGATTTTGATTTTTAAAAGTTAATGATTCTTAACCTGCCTCTGAGTAAATGACTTCATTGGGAAAAAAAAATCATTCCTCTGCCTGCATACATTTTTATCTGTACGTTAAACTGTCAGCTGCATTTTCTGTGTTTATGACTGTGTGGAGAAGTTATGCTACTGACATGAATAACAGAAACTCAACGAGATGCAGTCACCCACACGGGGAGACCTGTTTCAGTTGTGCAGATATGGCCTCTGTGGCGAATATGGCTCCTCTGCAGTTAGGCCCTCTCTGGTGAATGTGGATGCTTTGCAGATACACCGCCTGTGACAAACGTGGCTGCTGTGCAGATACCATCTGTGGTGAATGTGGCCGCTGTGCAGATACACCCTCCACGGCGAATGTGGCTGCTGTGTGGATAGGCCCTCCATGGCAAATGTCGTTGCTGTGCAGCTATCCTGTCCATGGTGAATGCGGCTGCTGTGCAGATGCGCCCTCTGTGATTAACGTGGGTGCTGTGCGGATACACCCTCCATGGTAAATGTGGCTGCTGTGTGGATACGCCCTCCATGGTGAATGTGGCTGCTGTGCAGATACACCCTCCATGGCTAATGTGGCTGCTGTGGGGATACGCCCTCCATGGTGAATGTGGCTGCTGTGCAGATACGCCCTCCATGGTGAATGTGGCCGCTGTGCGGATACGCCCTCCATGGTGAATGTGTGTGCTGTGCGGATACGCCCCCCATGGTGAATGTGGCCGCTGTGCGGATACGCCCCCCATGGTGAATGTGGCCGCTGTGCGGATACGCCCCCCATGGTGAATGTGGCCGCTGTGCGGATACGCCCCCCATGGTGAATGTGGCCGCTGTGCGGATACGCCCCCCATGGTGAATGTGGCCGCTGTGCGGATACGCCCCCCATGGTGAATGTGGCTGCTGTGCGGATAGGCCCTCCTTGGTGAATGTGGCTGCTGTGCAGTTATGCCCTGCATAGTGAATATGGGTGCTGTGTGGATACACCCTCCATGGTGAATGTGGCTGCTTTCAGACTCAGCCCCACCTCATTTGGGCCCTGGGAGTTGGTGGTTCACCTTGTGATCCCAGACAGCATCAGAGATGGGAAAAGAGCCTGTTGCCTCAGTGAGCACTACATTCCTGAAGGAATGAACCGTCTTTGAAGGGAAACACTTAACGTTTTCAAAGAAGTCCTTTGAGCTTTCTAAGAAATGAACCTTCTTTTCTTCCATGGCTTTTCCCTCTGGGACTTTGAAATCTTTTCCAACATGAGCTCAGCAAAACTCTCAGCTTGCCTGACTTTGAGGGCAGTCAAGCAGGATACCCTTTTACTCAACGCATTGGTGAAGGCTTCCAAAGGGAACTTAGTCCTTGTAATTCCTCCGTGTCTCGGCCTTTAAATAGCTGTGTTCACTGCTGGGGAACTGTGGGTTTGGGTTTTCAGGTGGGGCTGTGAGGACAGCAGGGAGACACGAGACTACCTTGGAAACTCACAGGACCACACTCCTCTCTGTGGCACCTCAAAGAAATCCAATCTTTGAACAGGATCAAAGAGGCTATAAAACCAGTGCTATAGGATGAAAAGCTCCCAGAAGGCAAAAAACAGAGAAGAGAACTTGCGAGGAAGACATGTAGTTCCCACAAAAGAGAAGAAGAGGGAGAGTGAGCAAGAAAAAAGGAGGGGTTTGTGAGAGACCTTGAGAAACTGTAACTGACTCTAGGCAGGAGAGAAATCTATTTATGTACCTTTCAAACTGTATTCCATTGCCGTGTCACTGTAACTGAAACTCCACACAGTGTCACTTGTCAGATTTCTCCCTGGAGATTGATTTCTGTAGCCAGTCAGTGACTGGGAGGTGCATTCTTGGTTCACTGTGGGGATTAAGGAGACATGAATAGAATCCATGGTACTGTCATTCACCCTCATCCTGGGGGATACATTCCAAGACAACAGTGGATGCCCAGAAGCATAGAGAGTTCTGAACCCTAGCTATTGTATGTTTTTCCCCATACATACATACCTGGGATAATGTTTAATTTATAAATTAAGCCCCCAGAAAGAGATTAACAACAATAACCAATAACAAAAGAGAATAATCATAACAATATAAGGTAATAAAAGGTATGTAAACATGGTCTCTTTCTCTCTCTCTCTCTCTGTGTCTCCCTGATTCTCTCTCACTCTCAAAAGGTATTGTACTTCAGGTAACTGAAATGGCAGAAAGTGAAACTAGAAAATGGGGACTGCTGTATAACCCAAAAGCTTTTCTGATTTGTTGGGTTTTACCTTTGTAATGTGTGTGTGTGTATGTGTGTGTGTTTCCTGACTGTAGAGAAAACATTCATAATACCAGAGACAGTGGAAGGAAATGGATCTTTAGGCATGAGGGAAATCATTTGATCCTTACATTGGGAAATTCTGTCACCTAGACCCTAGGGAGGCTTGTTCTGAGAGGGCAGCTGAGATGCTGAGTTCATATCTTCAACCTGACAAGTGACACTCTGTGGAGTTTCAGCCACAGTGACATGGGATGAGACACAGTTTGCACGGTCCCTAGACTTCTCTCCTGCCTCTCTACCTTCTCAGAGAAAGGGGAGTTGTGAAGATGGCTAACATTTATCGAGGGTTTATTGCATGCCTTGTACTGTTCTAACTTCTTTCACATACAAAAACATTCACTCCTCACAGTAACCTTTGGGGAAAATGAGGCACAGGAGCATGAAGTAATTTTTCAAAGCAAACCTGTGGGGCCAGGATTTGAACCCAGGCAGTTTGGCTTGATAGTTTGTGCTCTGATTCCCTGAGTCATGCTGTTTAGAGATGGGAAGGAAGATATGAAACTAAATATCATGTATTGATACCACTGTACTGAATATTTTATGTGTTATTTTAATGCTTCTAGAAGCTTCCAGAGGGTCCCCCAACCCATGTGACCAGAACTGAGCTACTCCCAGGGGTCCCAAATAGATTACTATGGTCAGTTCATCTGAAATGGACATAACTTCTTTCCTTTTTTTTTTTTTTTTTTTTTTTTTGAGATAAAGTTTCGCTCTGTTGCCCATACTGGAGTGAAGTGGTACAAACTTGGCTCACTCCAACCTCTGCCTCCCGAGTTCAAGCGATTCTCCTGCCTCAGCCTCCCAAGTAGCCAGGGTTACAGGCGCACAACATGACGCTCTACTAACTTTTGTATTAGTAGAGATGGGGTTTCACCATAGTGACCAGGCTGTTCTCAGACTCTTAACCTCAGGTGATATGCCCACCTCAGTCTCTCAAAGTACTGGGTTTATAGGCATGAGCCACTGCGCCCAGGCTGAAGTGGTTTAATTTCTAAGACATAATTTTATTGCTGATTTTTAAAATTAAGTATAATTATTTTAATATTCTTCAAATCATATTGCAGGAAATTTGGATACTAGAAGAAAAGAAAAAAACACATAATCCCACTCTATATCATAGTCAGTCTTATTTTGGCCTGTTTCCTAAAAATCCTTTTGCAAATGCCTCTGTATCCTATGAATACAGTTTGTATCCAGCATTTCAAGCTTTTTCCCATGTTTTTATGCAGTCTTCATAACTGTGATTTTAAAATTCATGCTATTTTGACTTCTTTTGGAATTTTTTAATTGGGAGCATTTTGAATTTTCGAATAATTGTTGGAGAGATTTCATCTTAAACACTTTTTAAAGGCATTCTGTGCTAGATCTCGGTTGAAAAACACTCAGCAGCCAAGGTTAATTTTTAGAACTATCTTTCCTTGTTTTTCTCTTAACAGGGATCTACCGAACAGAAAGGGACAAAGGGACATTGTATGAGCTCACCTTCAAAGGGGACCACAAACACGAATTCAAACGGCTCATCTTATTTCGACCATTCGGCCCCATCATGAAAGTGAAAAATGAAAAGCTCAACATGGCCAACACGCTTATCAATGTTATCGTGCCTCTAGCAAAAAGGGTGGACAAGTTCCGGCAGTTCATGCAGAATTTCAGGTTGGTTTGTTCGCACGTGTTTATCTTCCTCCGCATGATGTGTGTTAGAACACTGATATCATTTCCCGTCATCTCCTTCATTTCCCCTGCCGAGTACAAAGCCTCCTTTCTCTTATTCAGCTCTGTTTTCTCCACGTAAAGTTTATCATTTGTATTTGCCTTTCCCTAGAGCAATTAGAAAACTGCCTTACAAGCATATTGACCTTCAGAAGTGAAAAGCAGGAAGGACTGGGTTTTCACCAGGATCTACAAAGATGACTGAATGCCTGTTATGTTCATTCTGACTTGCGGAGGGGCTCAGGTTTGGGGATAGCAGGAACCAAGACTCCCAGGCAAGTGAGCAGCCTTGAGTCTTGAGGAGGAGAGAGGAGCTGGTGGTGGCAGAGCCCACGTTGACAGTTGGCGAGCTATGCAAGGTGTTCTTGATTGGCTCTAGGCTGCCTTCACCTGCTGTCCTGTTCTAGTGGTGGCTGCAATGCATTGAATCCAAATCTATCTTTTATTGTAACCTGCATCATCTTAGACTTAAGTGTAGAATTATACCAAGAAGGTTTCAAGCCCACATTTTTGTAGCTACTCAATGAGACTAAGCTGGGTTTCATTTTTCAGGCCTGCTGATGAAGTTTTTAGATGTGTGCCTTTAAGCCCTTGATTGTGCGGTGTTGGATCTTAGAAGCTGTGATGGCTCAGATGCACATATTGGCTGAGGATAACCAGCTAAGTGATTTCACCAGCTTGTTTTAAACATAGAAAATCCTACTGTCTAATTATAAATCTTGAAAGATCAAGCTGATTTTTTATTTCTTTTTTTTTGAGATGGAGTCTTACTCTGTCACCCAGGCTGGAGTGCAGTGGCACGAACTCTGCTCACTGCAACCTTCACCTCCCAGGTTCAGGTAATTCTCCTGCCTCAGCTTCCCAAGTAGCTGGGATTACAGATGCCCATTACCATGCCCGGCTAATTTTTGCATTTTTAGTAGAGACCGGGTTTCGCCATTTTGGCCGGGCTAGTCTTGAACTCCTGATCTCAGGTGATCTGCTCACCTCGGCCTCTCAAAATGCTGGGATTACAGGCGTGAGCCACCGTGCCCAGCCTTGATTTTTAATCTTAGTAAATTTACATTATTGAAAGGCATAATGTTCAGTATAAGGGTGTGGTTGATACCTTTCAAAATTCTGGTTCATGAGCGTACTCTGTTTGAATTTAAAGGATAACCCACTTATAACTAAGTTTTTTGAAGATTAGAATCAAATAGTCTTAGACCTTTGAGGTCATCTGGTCTAATCTTCCCTTAATTGAGACTGTCTTTCTGACGTAGGGTTCTCTAGGCAATGTGTGTGTGCACCAGGAAGCTGCCTACATTACTAGTCAAGCTGCTGCTTTGTTGATCATCTCTGGATAGGAAGTTCTTTATTGTTTATGCCTGAAGTCGGCTTCCATGTCTTTTCTGCCTGGTGGGTCTAATTCTAGCCTCTGGAGGACTGAACAAGTCTATTTCTTCTTAAACATCATAAGTTTTCAAATATTTGAAGGTGGTCATCACAACTCCCCTAGTCTTTTCTTTCCAAGGTATAGCAGTTCTCAATTCCCTTAGCTTTTTCATATTCCCTAGTTCGTAAATTTCTTTTAATTAGCTGGAGCTTGCCTTTAGCCATGATGTAATCCAAAGTAGAGTGGGCTAATAGATTGATCTTTTCCCAGTTTGTAGAATACTCCTTTGTGCATGATCGCATAATTGTTTGCAGTGTTCCTCTGGCTCCAGTCCTGAAGTGAGTGTTTTTATAGTTTTGGCTTCTTTCAACCTTCTTTTAGTGTTTTTGCTCTCTTTCTCTGTAGGTTTTCCCTTTGGAATGGCACAGTGCCGCTGGTTGATTAAACATTACATCTCCAGAATGACTGAACCTGCGGCGTTCTGAATGCAGTTGTTGAACCTGAATGTGGTTTGCATTAGGCATTAAGTGAAATCATTACTCTCAGCAGCTAGAATGCCCATTTCTAGGACGAGGTTATCGCAAGTTCATTTGGCAAAGAAGCTGCCTATGTCTTACTGGGTTCAGGGTCCTGAGCTTTGATTCTCTGAGTCCTTGGACATGTTAGGCTTGCTGAGGTGGTGCTTACACTAAAGAAGTATCTGCTCGGTGAAAGGACAAGTCCTCACTGTAGGACTCCTGGGCCTGAAATAGCAGGATTCTCTTGGGTATATATGAACAGCTATTTCCTTAGTGTCAGCAGAATTTTAAGCAATTAACAATAGCAATAAAACAGGAAAACAGGAAGGGAAGTTTCATTGAGAATAGTCAAATGAGTAGCTTACAAGCCTCAAAACGGGTGAAATGAAACGTGATTCCAGTTAATGTTTTAAAAGAACACAAAAATCCCAGGGCAGTTTGCCTTGAGCTGATTCATCTCAGCCCACCATATGGACTTTTACTATTTGGATGTCCCTTGCTCGTGGAGGTAGGAAGGGATGGGTGGCGGAAGACTTGTGACCTGGAGAGGATGTTTTGAGAGCCTTTTGCATGTGCTAGACATGCTACCAAGGTGCAGGGGATCAGAAGATGAATTGAAGATGCGGTGCCTACTTTCACTAATAGCAGAAGCTGCAAATGCAGAGCCAGGCGCTGTGGCAGAGATACAGACAGGGGACAATGGGACACAAAGAGAATCTGGCCAGGACAGCTGACACTGGAGCAGGAGGCTGAGTAGGGAGTTTATGTCACAGTCAAGGCATTTCTGAGACTGTTGATGTCTCTGAAAAACTGGGATGCGAGAGGGTAAATACCTGTGGGTATTTAATGCTTCATAAAACCTTATTAAAGATGGCATTTCAAACCCAAAGAAGGGGTTATTCAGGGCATGGTGTCAGGACAACTAGCCAAACATAGCAGAAAAAAATGTGATTCTTATTTCACACCAAAAAAGCAAAGTAAACTCCAATTAAATAATTAAATGCAATTAACATGACCATAAAGTTACTGGGAGAAAATATAAAGGGCTGCTTAATAAATATTTGATGTTGTCTTTATAAATTCCTTTCCATCCCCAGACTGGAGACTGTGAACTGTGGTTGACACTGAGGATGACACTGGAAGCGATTTGTATTTCCTTTTTTGCCTCTGTTTTCTAAATATTTATATAGCTACCATATGTTTTATATTTTGTTTAAAGATTCAGTGAAAGATTATTTTTGGATTTTATAATTTAAACATGACTTTTTAGTTTGTAAAAGGTAATACTTGGCTATTATAAGATGTTTAAGCAGTGTAGAACAGCACGAGGAATAAATTATTTAAAAAGTCACTCCAGGTCTCACCTCCTAGAATTAACCCTTATTAACATGAGTTGAACATCACTTTGGGCAATTTTCTTTGCATATCTGCAGATAGAAGAATTGCTTGCCAGCTGGGAATAAGTCAGTGCAACATGAGATATACTATACATTCTATTTCTACTTATAGAATTAAAATGTATCTTGCTTAAATTTATAGAAAAAAACCGGAAGTATAATAAAGGATTTGCTGAACTTTAAGAAAATGTGTCTTCACTGTGAGAGACATTAGTTCCCAAGAGATCTCGCTGAAGTTAAAAAGTGATTTTTGCAAAACAAAAAGTGGTTGGAAATATTTTTTTTTTTTACTACATTTTGTAAGTTTGATTGAAACATTTCAGTACAAAACGAAATCAGCACAGCTACACTTTCTGCCTTCTGTGTCTCATCTTCTGATTTTTGTTAGCAATCATTTAT
Source organism: Homo sapiens (assembly GCF_000001405.40). NCBI lineage: Eukaryota > Metazoa > Chordata > Mammalia > Primates > Hominidae > Homo > Homo sapiens. The sequence goes on along the minus strand of NC_000008.11, from coordinate 19,454,679 downwards.
TTATTTATTTTGAGACAGAGTCTCACTGTCACCCAGGCTGGAGTGCAGTGGCAGAACCTTAGCTCACCACAGCCTCCATCTCCCAGGTTCAAGCGATTCTCCTGCCTCAGCCTCCCGAGTAGCTGGGATTACAGGCATGTACCACCACACCTGGCTAATTTTTGTATTTTTAGTAGAGACTGGGTTTCACCACGTTGGTCAGGCTGGTCTCAAACTCCTGACGTCAAGTGATCTGACCACCTTGGCCTCCCAAAGTGCTGGGATTACAGGCGTCAGCCACGTGCCTGGCTGCAATCTGTTACTGTGACCTTGACAGGGTTACAACCTTTACATTCTACTTTATAACTACAGTTTCTGCAGTTCTGGATTTAAGTGGATTTAATGTATTCATCAGCAGTCCTCTTCCAATAGCTTTCCATTCCTGAGTTCTTAGTTGGCTATATTGTATGGTCAAGAAATTTTTTCAAGAAACGTCGCAAGTGTTTGAGAATGGAGTATATACTTGTTGTCATCGTGGACAGTCAGCTTAGCTGGGCTTAAAATTCATGGGACACACTGTCATTCCTCAGGACTTTGTAGATATTCTGGCATTAAATGATCTGGTGAAGTGTAAGACCACTTTACTTTGTCTCTCTCGTAAACGGCTTTTGCCAGAATGCCTGAAAAATTCCTTCATTAGTCTTTAATCACATTCACTTAATCAGGATATGTCTCATCTCAGCTTCTATTGTTTCCTCCCTCCCTCCCTCCCTACCTTCCTTCTTTCTCATGGAGGAGTATCACTCTGTCACCCAGGCTGGAGTGCAGTGGCACATTCTTGGCTCACTGCAACCTCTGCCTCCCAGGTTCAAGTGCTTCTCGTACCTCAGCCTCCCGAGTAGCTGGGACTACAGGTGCATGACACGACGCCCAGCTGCTTTTGGTACTTTTAGTAGAGATTGGGTTTCACCATGTTCGCCAGGCTGGTCTTGAACTCCTGACCTCAGGGGATCTGCCCACCTCAGCCTCCCAAAATGCTGGGATTATAAGTGTGAGCCACCACACCTGGCCAACGTCTGTTGTTCTTTAACTGATTTTCCTGTAGTACAGTTTCCTGTTTTGCTTTGTGGGTTCTTTCAGGGAAATTTTTGGATGCTTTATTTTTGAGTTCTGTTTGCTTCATTTATTGGATTCTCTGTTTCATGGACACAATTATATATTTTACAGGTCTTCTCCATTTATTAGCATCTCTGTTTTTTTAACACCCTTAGTCTTTTATCTGCTTTTACTTAAACCTTTATTGTGTCAGTAATTTGATTTTCTGACATATCTATTCTGTACCTTCCTATTTCTAATGCATTACTTCTGTGCATTTTGGCTGTTGATTTATTTTCCGAGCACACAGTGTGCCTGCTAATGTTATTCTGTTGTTTTATTGTTTTCTCTTTGGACTTTTTAAAAATTAAATTCATATTCTTGTTAATAAAGTGTGAAACATGTCTAAGAAATTTTCTTCTGTTTGAGTTACATTTTCTTTCAGACCCATTTTTTCTCTTGCTTTAGATGCTATTTCTTAACTTTTTCTTTTAATTTTATTCTGATTCTTGGGATGTGGTTGCTATGATTTCTTTTTTATCTTTTCTCATTACGTGCAGGGGACTACCCAGCCTTCTGTTTGCTCGAACATAGTTTGGGTGGATTCTCCTTGGCTCTCTCCTCATCTTGACTGAGAATTGTTGTGCATATTTTGAGGACAGGGTATTTCTCTGTTTAGTTTATTTGTAGTGTAAAAGCTGGGTGGAGGAGAGGAAGAACCCCCAGGGGCTTTGTGCAGCCTTTGTTGAAGTTCCCTTTTCTTGTGGCTCTTCTGAGCCCTGGGATGGATATGTGAGTTTTGCCCGGCTCGCTTGGTGTAGGGGGAATTAATTGTTTTCCCAAGGGGTAGAGGTATCATACTTGGCTCTCATAATGGCCTTCAAGTAAGGGTTGAGGCCTGGGACATCACAAAGAGTCAGTCCCACTTACTCACGTCTCCAGCTCACTTGCTCACTTGCTCATCTTCAGCAGCTCTTTCCACGCCTACCAGTCAGAGGAAAAAGGAAAGTTTTGGCTCTGTTTCTATCGCTTCTGTGGGATGTGGGGGAGATGCATATATGTCATCAGCTCTCAGCATGTCTCATCCCTTCTCCTCTAACTCTTCAGATAAAAGATCTTGACTAAATGTGATTAGCTTTTTTCCTTTGCTTATGTCAAATCTCCCCTTCCCTGCTTTTTTTTTTTTTCCCCCAGGGGTTAGTTCACAAGTAATTAGGATGGAATTACCTTCCCTCTCCACTTTCATTAAAATTTGTAGAAATACCAAAATAGCCTGCTGTGGCTCTTCCTGCTGCTGGTGCCAAGGTCCTAGGTGGAAGCCAAGGTCTCTTGTGTCTTCCCTAGGTCCCCCAGGCTGCCTTCTCTCACCTGAATCTGTGTCTCCTCTGTTTTCTCGCCAACGAGCTTCCCTTTTGGAGGCGGTCAGTGGGGCCAGGAGCCACAGGAAGCTAATGTAGAAACTTCCATTTCTTTCCTTGGTCTCCACTCTGTTGAAATTGACAGCAGAAGATTATGTCTCCCTCATTGGTCATTTATTGGTGGCAAAATTGTTGCCATTTTCAACTATTTTTGGCACACAGTTTGCAATGATTGCTATTTCAGATTAATGTATTTAAAGCATTATCCTTCCCATGCATCACCTTTAAAATATCAACACCCTTTGCTCTCATACAGTTGGTTGAGGAATCTTTTATGTGTTGCTTCATATATCTCAGCTTTAGTATCTTCTGTAAAAGGAAAATCTTGGTCCAGATGGGCCCTATCGCCTTGCAGTTCTATGCGGATTATTATCAGGGGCAGGTTTTTCCACATCAGCATCAATTTGTTAATTATTTACCTAGAAAAGACTTGCATGGCTTCAACTTACAATAAATATGTCTTCTTGGACAGAAGGAAGAGATGTGGAGCCTGGAATTCCCAAGAAAGAGCAGCCCTGGTCACAAGGCACAAAGCGGTCTTGGGGAAGGCTAGGTCTGCAGAAAACAGCTCACCCGGCGTACTGGCCAGGCACGGGTATATTCTGGAAGGAGGCAAAGGCCACGTCTTTGTGCTCTAGAACGGTGCTTGGGGTGATCCATGGGGACAAAATTTATTCCTGGGTGCACACAGTGTGTGCACTAAGTTATTTATTGTCATTATTATTTCTTCTCATTATAGTCATCTCACCTACTCTCAAAAAGTATTTGTGTTTTAAAAAATACAAGTTTAATAAAACGATTTTTATAAAGTTCAATGAACAAGGACTCAATAACAATATGGGAAGAGGGACAGGTCCACCTAGAAATTGGGACTAATAGAAAATTGGAACTTGTCAAAAACACTAGGTTTCAGGACATCCCAACAGGCAAGGAGAAAGGGGTAAAACAAAGGCCAGAGTCCTCCAGCTGTTCATATTTAATGAAGAGAAGTCTGTCATCTGTTGGGTGAGATGAGGTTTCTCCTAGCACCCAGACCCTAAGGGCCTTCATTTAAGAAGCATTGAACCACCAAATAAATGATATTCCTCAGATTTACAAGAAATCATGATGCTAAAGCTTGACACTAAAGCTTGAGTATTGTTATCTCTGAGTAAGAATAAAAGCCCCACTGCACCCCTTGATAGCAATAAAGACTGCTCTGTTCTTGGTGCTGTAGGGCTATGTATGTGCTGTGTGAGTCCTTTTTTTTTATTATTTTTTATTTTTTTTTGAAGACAGGGTCTCTAAAAAAGCTCAGTAGCCCAGTCTGGTGTGCAGTGGTGCCATCATGGCTCACTGCAGCCTCAAACTCCTGGGCTCCAGTGATCCTCCCCCCTCAGACTCCTGAGTAGCTGGGGCTACGGATGCATGCCACCACATCCAGCCAGATTTTTTGTAGAGACAAAGTCTTGCTCTGTTGCCCAGGCTGGTTTCAAACTCCTGACCTCAAGTGATCATCTGTAAAGATCACTTTACAGCCTGCCTCAGCCTCCCAAAGTGTTGGGATTACAGGCGTGAGCTACTGTACCTGCAAATGACTTCATTTTTGTTTGTGGAAATCAAATGCCTGGAACTGTGGCAGGCTCCTTCACTCCTGCTGTCATTGTCCTGGCTGATGTGGGACCCTCACAGGCTTCACGTGAAGTTTCTTCTCCCCCGGATGCCCCACCCGCCTCCCTTGGGTCTCTGCAGTCTCTACCTGTGGCTGGTAACAGAGGGAGCTCACCAGGGAAAGTTTGCTTTAAATGTAGCTCCTGCTGTTTTTCTGTTTCCTTTTTGTCCAGTCACATATTGGCTTAAACCTACTTACTCTTCCTCTTCCTCTCCTCCTCCTCCTCCTATTCCTCCTCCTCCTTCTCCTCCTCCCTCTCCTCCCCCCTCTCCTCCCCTGTTCCTCCCCCTCTTCCTCCCTGCCCCCTCCCCCTCCCTCTTCCTCCCGCTCTTTCTCCCCTCCCCCTCTCCCTCTTCCTCACTCTCCCCCTTCTCCCTCTCCTCCTCCTCCTTTTCCCCCTCCACCTCCTCCTCTTCTCCCTCCTCTTCCCCTTCCTCCTCCCCCTCCTCCTCCCCCTCCTCCCCCTCTTTCTTCTTTCTTCTTCCACCCCATTTTGCCCTTGAAACTATTCTCAAATTTGGTTTTCGGCTGCTTTGTTTCTTACCTTCCATATTCTAGATTTTAAGCCAGCCGGTTACTTCATTGTCTGTTTTGTTTGTGATAGCAGGAAGAACTTCATAATAACAAAGCTATAGATTTTCTTTGGTCTTTATCTCTGAGCCTCTCTGAGGGGAAAAAGGCAGAATTTTTATGGAAAATATTCTTCACTTTGCTTTAAAAAAAATCTTTCTCAATTCCAAGTTTACTTGATTTTTTTATTTTGACTGCTTCCAGCTAGACTGAGAACCCTTTTTCATGTTGCTATATTCCTCCTCAGACTTGACTGGTAATTTTTGTCTTAATGTTCTCTTTCTAACATTTATGATATTTTAATACAGTATCAAGGAAATCTTGTACTTGAATTTTCTATAGCAGTTCTCTTTTATTCATTTTTTTGGCCTAGAACCATTAAGGTGGTTCTGAAAATTTCAGGAAAATTATTTTAAAGCAGTAAGTGTAGAGTCTCGGAAATTGAAATGAGCCTGGAATGTTATAGTGAGGCTGGTATATATGACAGAAAGGCCTCAGGTCAGCAAATGTTGGATCATGATAGAGATTCCCAGTTTCTTTGTGTTCCCCAACAGGAAAATGATGTCTTTTGCATAGTCTAGTTCTCCTGCCATCCTTAAGCCCCTCTACCTCTCCCATAGGCCATTTCACTTTGTACAACAGAGCTGCAAGTTGGATGGCTAATGGGTTTGAGAGATGCTAATCTATATCATTCATGTATTTAGATAACGGTTTCTCTTTGAAGACTTAATAGAAGTTGGTTTTGATTTCACTTGAGCCAGGGGTTATGTATGAACATCCATCCAAGAGTAAAAAATGACCAAATGGAAAATGATCTCATTTTCTATTTTGAAATGGACAGTCAGGAAAATAGGTCCCAATTGCTTGATTGAGAGTCAAAATTCACTCATTTCTTAACACTGATCAGACTACTCAAATGATGGAATAGAATAATTATATATTAATAAATTTATCTCGACACAGGGGAGGGGAGATGACCCTCCAAACCAAAGGAAGAATACTGATTTTAAAGCCAGGTTTTACTTAGCCCCACTAACTCTGTTCCTTATTTCCAGTTCCTTTGTGCCAAGGAATTTCTTCTTGTAACCACAGAAGACTACAGATAGAGTTTGGGAACATCAGGTCTTTTACATGTCATTTCATTTGCATGGGACACTACTTAAAGCCTAAATAGGTATTCATCACATACCTGAACATTTGAGTAGCAAATTGACTCAGGAAAGAATGGTGATGTGATTTCCTTGCATCTGTGTCTTTCTCAGCTGTGAAAGCCCTGCCTCTGCCCTTGTTCATGTGCGGGGTGGCTACTCACCTATCAAGGCTCAGCCTGGATCCCCCTCCTCCTCAGTCCCCCTTTCCCTGGCACCCAGTGGAAATAACCGTGCTCTCCTCTCAGCCTTTTAGTTCATTTTACCTCTGTTACCGTGGTTATTCCATCCTGCATTATATTATGGCTCTTTAGTTGTCTGTTTCTTCCAAAAAACTATAAAGTTCCTGCAGTAGGGAGGGTGACCAGTTGTCCCAATTTGCTTGGGACTGAGAAATTTTCTCGGATATAGGATTTCCATTGCTAAAATCTGGAAAATCGCAGGAAAACCTGGTTGATTGGTTCTACTACAAAGACCATACATGGTCATCCTTTGTAACTCTTCCTACAATGAGGATAATTAATTGCACCCAAAGGTGCCCAGTAAGTGTTTATTATTGAATCCACGATTCCCTAGACCACATAATATGAGTTATAAAGAGAGGTATCCTTAACTGCAAGAAACACAATTTTTCCCACTCTCTCTCTCCCCTACTCTGGCAAGATCTCCAACCTTCTCTGGCCCTCTCAGTCTTTCTAGGTATCCTCAGTGATAACTCACACATGTGCAGATGTTAAGTTCAACCTCCACTGGCTGTACAAGCATCAGTTGTTTGAAGCAAACCCATGCTTCTGACAACAGCCAGAGGGGCTATCACTCCCTAATGGCATGAGGCTGCTGCTGCTACCGTACCCACCACCAGCATGTCTATCACACTAACACCATTACATTCCCCAAAAGTCCTGGCTTGAGCTCCCAGTATCCTCATAGTTTTGTTTGCTGTAAAGAAAGCCTCACGTTTTTTGTAGCTTTGTCTCTCTAGGACTCACAGGTGAGTCCACAAAAGCTGGTTGGAGAACAGGACCCACCCTAGGGGTGTGCATCACTTTGACAACCACACTCCCTCTCTGACAAGTCAGTTTTTATTACTGAGCTTGTTTCTCCGTCAAGACAGTGGTCGAGAACCAAGGCTATTTTGTACACCCACCTCCCCCTGCTCTGGGACATCTGGCAAGGTCTGGAGATCTGTTTGGTTGTCACATCTGGGATAGGTGGGTGCTCCAGGGATGCTGCCACACATCCTATTGTGTACATCACAGCACCTCCCACAATAGTTAGTGGGTCTAAACTGTTAGCAGTGCAGAGGTTGAAAAAGACTTCTTTAGGATGAGTTATCACCCTAAGGGTACAACCCCTCCTCAAATCAGGCCTCAGATCAGCCTGTCACCAGTCCATCATATCTGCCCATTCTATCTGTCTGGTTCCCATCAGAAACTCAGGTTGAACAGTCCTTCCCCACAGCCTATTTACGTTTGGAGTTTTCTTGTGGCTTTTCCCTTCCACCTGGCCATACCAGTCCCCCAGCTTTGTAGTGGGGTCCTAGACAGTGAGTTCAAAGCTGTCAGACTTAACAGATGCATTCCTCATGTGGCTCAGGTGACCTGGGGAGCTGACTACCAGGCAGGTGCTTAGGAAACCTGGCTTTTGTGCCTTGCTGCCTCCATAGCTCTGTCAGGTCATTGGAACTCCTTCCCTCACCTGTATGCTAAGGCTACGAACAACGGCCCTCCACAGGGCAGGCGTGCAGATTCATAACAGAACTCAAAGACCATGAAGGGCTTTTGGCTCTTGGGAAACAGAAATATAGGTGTCTAAGTGACTGTGATACATGTTTTGTGATAGGAAATACATCTTAATTAGCCTCTGTACTCTCCATACTCTCTTGTTACAATATGTGGGGGAAGAACTGGTTTATGGGTTTATGGGTTTATGGGTTTATTTTTGTTGTTGTTTTAAGAAAAAACATCCTAAAAAGAGTCTTTGTGGAATACAAACAGAATATTCAGGCCGGACATGGCGGCTCACACCTTTAATCCCAGCACTTTGGGAGGCCAAGGCGAGTGGCTCACCCGAGGTCAGGAGTTCGAGACCAGCCTGGCCAACATGGTGAAACCCTGTCTCCACTGAAAATACAAAAATTAGCTGGGCATGATGGCACACACCTGTGGTCCCAGCTGCTCGGGAAGTTAGGGTGGGAGGATCACTTGAACCTGGGAGGTTGATGCTTTGGTGAGCCAAGATGGCACCGTTGCCTGGGTGAGAGAGCGAGACTCTCTCTCAGTAACTGAATGAGTGAATGAATGAATGAATGAATGAATGAATTTTCAGGCTTCCAGGTTCAGGCAGAAGAATGACCCAGTGGGAATGGGGAGCTCGTGCACGGAGACTATGGGAAAATGATGAGCTCCCTGGAGGGATCTTAGGAAGTTGGAGTTTCCTGAGATTCATGGCAAAGGCTTCGTAGACAATTTTACCAAGGTGTTTATAGAGAAGTGCTATCAGAGGCAAGTAAGTCAGCCCAAGGGACCCAGGTACCATGTGTCCAGGTATGAATAACCGTGCAAAGCCCGGAGTTTGAATACGTAACGAATACCATTTTCCTCCTTTCTCATGCATTTTACTTACTTACTTACTTATTTATTTTGAGATGGAGTCTCGCTCTGTCGCCCAGGCTGGAGTGCACTGGCACCATCTCAGCTCACTGTAACCTCTAGCTCCCAGGTTCAAGTCATTCTCCTCCCTCGGCCTCCCAAATAGCTGCTATTACAGGCCTGTATCACCAGGCCTGACTAATTTTTGTATTTTTAATAGACATGGGGTTTCACCATGTTGGCCAGGGTGGTCTTGAACTCCTGACCTCAAGTGATCCTCCTGCCTCGGCCTCTCAAAGTGCTGAGATTATAGGCATGAGCCACCACGCCCAGCTTACTTTACTTTTTAAACTTTTGCCTCCAAACCAAAAACATATGGACACATTCACTCACATACACACTCTCACACACACACCTTTCCAGTGGATGGAGTTTACTCAGAATTATTTAGAGGAAAACAAAGATCATTCAGCCGGCCAGCCATGGTTTTTCATGGTATGAGACTCATATTCTTGTAAAGTACTTGTTAGTTATATTACAGATAGTTTCAGTTTTGCACAGTACATGGAGAACTCAAGGGCAGACATGTCTTACTCATTTCTTAAGATCCACTGGTAGAGTATCTGGTCCATGATATGTTGTCACCAAGTGTTTGTTGAATGAATGAAAGAGAAGAGTACACGAATGAATGCAACGGAACCTTGGAGGTAGACCTCACAACAAATTCTACTTTGCCTTTTTTAAGACGCCTCACCTAGTCACAGCATCTGTCTTATTGCTTAAAAACAGGAAGTTCTTTGAATGGATTTAAAAATACCAGAGAGGGAGACAGCAAAGATGTTATTAGAAAAATGAGAATGCTTTTTCTTCACACTTAGCAGGTGACCCTCTCCTGATTCTAGGATGGATTTTTCCCACTGCATGCACAAATTTCAAGCAATTTTTCTGGCACTTGGCCCTGTGTGTGTGCTTGTATTCTACCGTGGCAGAGGAAGTTAAGGCATTGTCTGGGAAGTTTGCAAAAGGGATCTTTTATGTACAGAGGATTTCATTGTTGATTGGTGATGATTCAGTCTGCAGGGACTGTGGCTAAGTGGGAGCTCCTGGTTTCAAAACATATCGTTACATCCTAGGCCTCTATTCCCTGTCCTTTGTCTGCTTTTAAATCTCTGCCATTGCTCTGGGTTCCTGAGGTGCTCTTTCTTCCACCAGAAAGAGACAGAATTCTCAGAATCAAACCTGTGACCAGAGTGAGCCCTGCATGCGTCTTGCCTGGGTCAGTATCATCTTCCCTATTTCTTCCATCTGGAATTCTCTTCTTTCTTACCTCTGCCTTTCTAAACTTTATCCCTCCTTCACTGACCCCAGCCATTCCACCCCACAGCATTTGCTGTACCTTCTCAATTCCCTGTTCTTTATATCAGTGCCATGAGATGTCTGATGGTTTTAATTGAGCTCATTTGATTTCCTAAGTAAGTGTTATGAGGGCAAGAACCGTGTCTTCTATTGCTGTGGATTTATCCCAGCAACCCCAGGAAGGCGGTCATTTCTTTTAGGTGTCATCATTAAAAGCATTGAACAAACTGGCCTCTGCATTTAGAGCTCAAGGATCTTTAGAAATTATGATGTGGATTATTGCTTGGGGGTTAGGGTAAGTAGCCAACACTGAGATAAAAGAAACCAAATGGAAGCACATGTAAAATATCAATATCACAAAATATCCTACCAGTAGAACCTTTCCATTAACTTGTTTCCAGAAACTCAGGTTAAAATTACACACATACACGTATGCAGTTGGCCCACTGTATCCAAGGGTACCACACCCTCCGATTCAAGCAATCAAGGACTGGAAATATTCCAAAAAACAAAACAGGAATGGCTGCGTCTGTACTGAATATGCACAAACTTTTTTTTCCTTGTCATTATTCCCTAGATGATACAGAACAAAAACACTTTACATAGCATTTACATTGCGTTGGGTGTTAAAAGTAATCTGGAAATGATTTAAAGTCTACAAGAGGATGTATGTAGGTTATATCCCAATATCACACCATGTTATAAGACAGGGGGCCCCAACTCCTGGTCCACACACCATTACTGGTCTGTGGCCTGTTAGGAACTAGGCCACACAGCAGGAGGTGAGTAGCTGGTAAGTGAGCATTACCACCTGAGTGCCACCTCTTGTCAGATCAGCTGTAGCATTAGATTCTTATAGGAGGGTGAACCTTATTGTGAACCGCAGATGTAAGGGATCTAGGTTGTGTGTTCCTTATGAGACTCTAATGCTTGATGATCTGAGATGGAACAGTTTCATGCTGAAACCATAAGCCCACCTCCACCCCCACCCCCAGTGTGGAAAAATTGTCTTCCATGAAACTGGTCCCTGATGCTGCAAAATTTGGGGGCTGCTGATATAAGGGCCATGAACATCTGGATTTTGGTATCCCCAGGGGGTTTCTGGAATCAGTCCCTCATGGATAGTAATATGGTTTAGCTATATCCCCACCCACATCTCAGCTTGAATTGTAATCTCCATGTGTCAAGGGCAGGGCCAGGTGGAGATCATTGAATCACGAGTGCAGTTTCTCTCATACTGTTCTTGTGGTAGTGAATAAGTCTCACAAGATCTGATGGTTTTATAAATGGGAATCCCCCTGCACAAGCTCTCTTGCCTGCCACCATGTAAGATGTGCCTTTGATCCTCCTTTGCCTTCTGCCATGATTGTGAGACCTCCCCATCCATGTGGAACTGTGAGTCCATTAAACCTCTTTCCTTTATAAATGACCCAGTCTTGGGTATGTCTTTATTAGCAGCATGAGAATAGACTAATACAGATACTGAGGGGAAACTGTACACATGTGTACATAATATATGCATATATGTGTACATAAACAGTGATTTACGCACTTGCATATATTTACATATCTACACATACATACATTTACATGCACATATATTCACATTTACACATACACACCTGCGTTTACATACATACACATATACATAAATGAACTAAACCGTCAGCAGAGGACCTTCCCAGGTTAGCCACTGCTTTCTCTTGAGAGGACAGGACATGGGCAAAACACAAATAGCTGATGTGGGAAAGCAGGTCAGGACCAGGCCAGAGCTAGAGGTCTGGCCCCAGGAGGGTGCAGCCGAATGGTGGTTTTGTCAGAAAGCTGGAGCATGAGGTGCTCGGTGCCTGGGATCGTTAGAGTCACGGAGAGGAGAAATGGGGACATGGTGAAGGTGATGATATCTGCTTGGGAAGGGTGAACTTCAGTGACTGTTCTGCCTTGCCATTTCCTCAGATAGTCATAACATTGGGTGCTTCCAAGGCACTCTAGAGTCCTAAACAGGAGAATGACTGTTGACCTTTGCTCATTCAGTCTTTAAGACTCTGTGTTTGGCCCACATAAGAAAAGAGAGTCATGGGCAAGGATTCTAGTCTCATCCTCTCTGGACTTTAGCTTTCTCATCTTTCGTACTTCATAGTCTTTTTTTTTTTTTATACTTTAAGTTTTAGGGTACATGTGCACAATGTGCAGGTTTGTTACATATGTATACATGTGCCATGTTGGTGTGCTGCACCCACTAACTCGTCATTTACATTAGGCATATATCCTAATGCTATCCCTCCCCCCTCCCCCAACGCCACAACAGTCCCCAGAGTGTGATGTTCCCCTTCCTGTGTCCGTGTGTTCTCATTGTTCAATTCCCACCTATGAGTGAGAACATGCAGTGTTTGGTTTTTTGTCCTTATGATAGTTTGCTGAGAATGATGGTTTCCAGTTTCATCCATGTCCCTACAAAGGACATGAGCTCTTCATTTTTTTATGGCTGCATAGTATTCCATGGTGTATATGTGCCACATTTTCTTAATCCACTCTGTCATTGTTGGACATTTGGGTTGGTTCCAAGTCTTTGCTATTGTGAATAGTGCCGCAATAAACATACATGTGCATGTGTCTTTATAGCAGCATGATTTATAGTCCTTTGGGTATATATCCAGTAATGGGATGGCTGGGTCAAACGGTATTTCTAGTTCTAGATCCCTGAGGAATCGCCACACTGACTTCCACAATGGTTGAACTAGTTTACATTCCCACCAACAGTGTAAAAAGTGTTCCTATTTCTCCACATCCTCTCCAGCACCTGTTGTTTCCTGACTTTTTAATGATCACCATTCTAACTGGTGTGAGATGGTATCTCATTGTGGTTTTGATTTGCATTTCTCTGATTGCCAGGGATGATGATCATTTTTTCATGTGTTTTTGGCTGCATAAATGTCTTCTTTTGAGAAGTGTCTGTTCATATCCTTCGCCCACTTTTTGATGGGGTTGTTTGTTTTTTCTTGTAAATTTGTTGGAGTTCATTGTAGATTCTGGATATTAGCCCTTTGTCAGATGAGTAGGTTGCAAAAATTTTCTCCCATTCTGTAGGTTGCCTGTTCACTCTGATGGTAGTTTCTTTTGCTGTGCAGAAGCTCTTTAGTTTAATTAGATCCCATTTGTCAATTTTGGCTTTTGTTGCCATTGCTTTTGGTGTTTTAGACATGAAGTCCTTGCCCATGCCTATGTCCTGAATCGTATTGTCTAGGTTTTCTTCTAGGGTTTTTATGGTTTTAGGTCTAACATGTAAGTCTTTAATCCATCTTGAATTCATTTTTGTATAAGGTGTAAGGAAGGGATCCAGTTTCAGCTTTCTACATATGGCTAGCCAGTTTTCCCAGCACCATTTATTAAGTAGGGAATCCTTTCCCCATTTCTTGTTTTTGTCAGGTTTGTCAAAGATCAGATGGTTGTAGATATGCTGCATTATTTCTGAGGGCTCTGTTCTGTTCCATTGATCTATATCTCTGTTTTGGTACCACTACCATGCTGTTTTGGTGACTGTAGCCTTGTGGTATAGTTTGAAGTCAGGTAGTGTGATGCCTCCGGCTTTGATCTTTTGGCTTAGGATTGACTTGGCGATGCAGGCTCTTTTTTGGTTCCATATGAACTTTAGAGTAGTTTTTTCCAATTCTGTGAAGAAAGTCATTGGTAGCTTGATGGGGATGGCATTGAATCTACAAATTACCTTGGGCAGTATGACCATTTTCACGATATTGATTCTTCCTACCCATGAGCATGGAATGTTCTTCCATTTGGTTGTATCCTCTTTTATTTCATTGAGCAGTGGTTTGTAGTTCTCCTTGAAGAGGTCCTTCATATTCCTTGTAAGTTGGATTCCTAGGTATTTTATTCTCTTTGAAGCAATTGTGACTGGGAGTTCACTCATGATTGGGCTCTCTGTTTGTCTGTTATTGGTGTATAAGAATGCTTGTGATTTTTGTACATTGATTTTATATCCTGAGACTTTGCTGAAGTTGCTTATCAGCTTAGGGAGATTTTGGGCTGAGACAATGGGGTTTTCTAGATATACAATCATGTCATCTGCAAACAGGGACAATTTGACTTCCTCTTTTCCTAATTGAATGCCCTTTATTTCCTTCTCCTGCCTAATTGCCCTGGCCAGAACTTCCAACACTATGTTGAATAGGAGTGGTGAGAGAGGGCATCCCTGTCTTGTGCCAGTTTTCAAAGGGAATGCTTCCAGTTTTTGCCCATTCAATATGATATTGGCTGTGTGTTTGTCATAGATAGCTCTTATTATTTTGAAATACGTCCCATCAATACCTAATTTATTGAGAGTTTTTAGCATGAAGGGTTGTTGAATTTTGTCAAAGGCCTTTTCTGCATCTATTGAGATAATCATGTGGTTTTTGTCTTTGGTTCTGTTTATATGCTGGATTACATTTATTGATTTGCATATATTGAACCAGCCTTGCATCCCAGGGATGAAGCCCACTTGATCATGGTGGATAAGCTTTTTGATGTGCTGCTGAATTCGGTTTGCCAGTATTTTATTGAGGATTTTTGCATCAATGTTCATCAAGGATATTGGTCTAAAATAGTCTTTTTATGGGGTAAGAACCAGGGACCCCAAGGACCCAATTCCATGACACTGTCTAGGCCCGGTGGGCTAGGACTGTGGCAGATTGGACCTGAGGTGCCTTGCATCAGAGTTTTGATTTACTGCATGTTTAAATTTCCTTGTTGTCCCGATAAGATGAATACAAATACAGATAGTTGGAATGGCCAACCAGAAAGGTTCTGGATTCCCATCTCGGCTCTCCTGGAAGTTTACCTAGTTTCCTTCAAGACCCTTTTGCACTTTACAAAAAGGTATTGGTTTGTGCTGTGCCTGTCAGTGTGAAAACAGGTGCCAGACATGCATGTGTTTTGTTTTCCAGGGAGATGTGCATTGAGCAGGATGGGAGAGTCCATCTCACTGTTGTTTACTTTGGGAAAGAAGAAATAAATGAAGTCAAAGGAATACTTGAAAACACTTCCAAGTGAGTACAATACGGAGCTGTCATAAGGAATCCTGGTAACTGAGCTCAGAAGCACACATCCAAGGCTGAAACTTCTGCTTAATTTTATTTTCCTTTACACTGTGGGTGAACTGGGATGGATTGATTGCTGGCTGTGTTCAGGGAAAAGTCTGCACTCCTCTTCCGCAGGAGACTACCCTGTCTGACACTGGTTTTCAATGTGCATGGGTGATGACTTTGACATTGGAGATAAACTGCGCACAGCAGGGGTGAGGGGAGTGTGAGCTCCTTTGAGCTTCCATATAACTGGGTGTCATCATTTTTAGCACTATAGATGTGGGGACTTCTTTATGTTGCAGAGTAGGAATTAGGGAGAGCACAGCTGGGCAGTGAGCTCCGTCTCAGCCACAGCTTCAGAGCCTAAGAGTGAAGTCTATGCTCAGATCTCATCCACTTAGCAAACAGTCTCACCCTTTGGGCTTTCATTCGTTAAGTATTTTAAGACATTCAGGGGAAACCAGACGTGGTGGCCAAGGCAGGATCCTTGATCAAACTTACTCAGTTGAGTACAAATTATTTAACCAAAAACTTGAGACCTCCAGTTGTACATTTATACCTAGTTGATCAATTGCATGGGGAATAAATGTATTCAAAAGCAGCATAGATGGATTTTTTTCCCTATAAAAATAAATGAATAAGTAATCCCCATGGCATCTTCTACCAGTATGTAAGCCAGAATGGCGCTGCACGCTGGCCTGTAGTTTGCCCTGGAGGTTTGCAGGGGGGCAATTTGAGTAATCAGGTGGGTGGTTTCTGTGCAAGTGAAGGTTTGAGTATGGCCAGTGGTACTCAGGGGCAGACATAGTCTGAGTAGATCCATATCATTTAGATATAAACAGTGTCCTCTGTTTTGAGTTTCTGGTAAATGGTAATAGGATGATAGTCGAAGGGTAAGATTCTAAGACTGAGTGTACTTTTTATTTTTATGCTTTGTTACTAGTTTTGTATTAATGGGCCCAAGATCTGAATGCTAGTTATAATTATTCAAGCATTCTTAAGCAGGAGATCAGCAAACTACAGCCCACTGGCCAAATTTTGTCTTGCACCTGTCTTTGTAAATAAAGTTTTACTGGAATGCAGGCATGCCCGTTTGTTTACATATTATTTGTGGCTGCCTTTGTCTACAGCTGTGCAGCTGAGTAGTCACCACAAAGACTGTGTGACTCACAAAGCCTAAACTGTTTACTGTCTGGCTCTTTACAGACAAATTGTGCCCATCCCTGCTCTAAAGCAATAATGAGTGCTTAAGAGTTTAAAACCAGCAACAACTTAAAGCTATGGCCTGTGTCTAAGATCAAATAGAATAAAATAATCGAATATCCTAAATGCAGGTGACATAGAAATTCCTCGACTCCAGTACATTACAAATGTTCTCACCTCTGCTTAGAAACGAAGAACATGAATGATATAAATTCATGTCCTCTGCCCAGTGGGTAGGTTTTAACGTCTCTGTCAATGTCAATTCCTAGATAGGGGTTCTTTAAAGTTTCCCGGATGATTCTAAAGTGAAGCCACAATTGAGAACAATTGTATCAGAAGGTGGTAGTCCACCTGGGGGCTGCTCCCTTAAGTGCAGCCAGCTGGCTGCCCCCCGACCCCCGCCCCGGCCAAGAGATTTTAAGCAGCTCCCCAGGTGACTCTGAAGTACAGCTGGGCTTCACAGCCTCCTTCCTATGGGTATGGCAGATTTCCAGCACATCAAAGAATGACCAGGCATTTGCTGACGGTTACACGTAACCACATTTAAATGAGTCCCATGGATAAGTAGAAGGACAGTTTAGACCCCTTGTAGTGACTGGAATGCTTAAGGCTATACCTTTATCAATACATTCTTCTCCATATCAAATTACCTGGCAAGGTGAATTCTCAACCAGAAGGTAGCTTGCTGAGGAAAGAATGCATAGAATCTGATTAAGAAAAGTAAAATCATTTGAGTGGTAGAGATGGTTTGCCTCAAACTTTGGCAAACATCTAGTCATCAATCTACCCAATTCACTTCATGCTAGAGACCAGGTTGGTTGGTGTTTAAAGTAACGCTATGTAAACTTTGGCAAAATTAACCCGAACTTCTTAAATTGTGTATGTATATACCTATACCTGGTATATGTATTAGTTGTATATGTATATACCTATACCTATACCTGGTTGACTAGTTGCATAGGGAATAAAATAAATAATTTTTTGGTGTTGATCTCCTCATTCTGTTAACCAGTGATATCTGTAGTGTTGATGTCACTGATGCTTTGGGCCATGTCCTGCCCTCTCTTATGGTGTTGCTGGTCAGGCCACCTCTCCTAGGAATGCCCAGACCTCTGCAGCCAGCCTGAGTTGACTTCACAGTACCATACCACACTCTACCTTCCAGATCAATCTTCCTACCTCCCTCACTGCCTTAGCCTGGTCCCCAGATGGGCTGTTGCTTCTAATCCTGTCTTTACGACTCACTGCTCCCTAGCCAAACTGGGAGCAGAATTTGATCTTTGTCTGCACTCCCATTATTCTCTTCTTTTGGGAGTTCCTTCCACCCTCCTTTTTGTTAATTCAAACCTCAACCCCCATCACTCCCCACCTAAGTTCCCACCTCTGGAGCTCTTTCTGACTTCCAGTCCTTTTCTCTGAATTCCAACTATACTCACTTTCTGCACCTCTAAATCTGGCACTTGGTGCGCGATTTGATGATTTACATTTCTTCCTGTTGTCCTAAGTCTGCAACTAGATTATAACCTGCTCAATAAGTGGTACTGTGTCTCATGACTCCTTAATTCCAGCACTTAGCACAACACCATACGGAGAAAATGTTCAAGGTTTCTTCATCAAGAGAAAAATAATGCCAGGTATATAGTAAATTTGTGCACATAGTAATGTGTTTTGTATATTTTTGAGACAAGGTCTTGCTCTGTCGCCCAGACTAGAGTGCAGTGGTGTGATCATACCTCACTGCACCCTCCAACTCCTGGGCTCACATGGTCTTCCCAACTTAGCCTCCTTAGTAGCTGGGACTACAAGCATGTGCCACCATGCCCGGCTAATTTTTATATATAGTTTTTGTAGAGCCAGTGTCTCCCTATGTTTCCCAGGCTGGTTTCAAACCCCTGGCCTTGAGCAATCCTCTTGCCTCATCCTCCCAAAGTTCTGGGATTATGGGTGTGATCCTCTACACCCAGCCTCCCATAGTAATCTATATATGAGCTTATACATGAAACTTTATTTAAACATTTTTAAATTATTTTTAAGGTGATAAAGCTTTTGTTCAGAGGTATCTTATTTCTGAATAATGTAACTTGCATAAATTATAGTATTTAATATTCATTACCTGATGAGATAGACACTGTTTTGGGCTCTACTTCACATGTAAAGACACTGAGGCTTAATGAGGTCGTTACTCAGGCTGTGATCCCTGCCAGATGGGAGAGCCAGAATCAGAGCCTCCTGTTAAGGTCTAGACTCACAGTGTTAGCATACCACCACCTGTTCACTCTAATATGCTCGCTCCTAAAACCCATAGTTGTTAGTTGAAAGTAGTAAGATTTATAGTCACACTAAATGAAATTTATGTTATTTGGAAATCAGTATTGTGATTAAGCTGTTTTAAATCCAGCTAAATGCATGTACTTTAATATCTTTTTAAAAATCTTGTTTAGTGACCAGTATGCAATATTTCACACTCTCTCTCCCTAGTTTATTCTTAGTCAGTTGAGCTTTACATTTCAGTTGATTGCTATAGATCAGTGTTCTGCAAACACCAGTTTGTGATTTATTAGAGGGTTGTGAAATCGATTTTGTGGCTTATGTCCAATTTTTAAAAAGTGAAGTAGGATAGGATAGAAAATATCAGAGTGAAGCACAAGTAGTAAGGATAAATATTCTTTCATGAAAGTTTAATTTCAATGTGTGTGCGTGTGTGTGTGTGTGCTGCATAAGGATGCGTAATATATTCCTTTATAAGGATCATGGTCAAAATGTTTAAAAGCTACTAACATAGACAGAAATACAAATCGATTCTCAATATCTGATTCTTATTCTGTAGATTTTTCCAAGCTTCAGTTAATCTCAGATGAGCTCACTGGTTCTTCATTATTAACATGCTTTGGAATAACCTGTGGTGCTTTTAAAAATGCAGACTCCTGGGACCCAGGCCCAGAAATCCTGAATCAGTGGGCCTGAGATGAAGCCTGGGAACCATCACTGAACTAGTTCCACATGTGTTGCTGATGTGGGTGGTTCATGGACCATACTGTGAGAAATGCTGCTTTAGATACTCGCTTGGAGCTATGTAATAGGAATTTTTTTTTTTTTTTTGATTCAGAGTCTCACTTTTTTACCAGGCTGGAGTGCAGTGGCACAGTCTCGGCTCCCTGCAACCTCCACCTCTTGGGTTCAAGCAATTCTCCTGCCTCAGCCTCCCAGGTAGCTAGGACTATAGGCGCACGCCACCACACCCAGCGAATTCTTGTATTTTTAGAAGAGATGGGGTTTCACCAAGTTGGCCAGGATGGTCTCGATCTCTTGACCTTGTGATCCGCCCACCTCGGCCTCCCAAAGTCCTGGGATTACAGGCGTGAGCAACCGCGCCTGGCCAAAAAGTTATTTTAATGTAACTGATAGATGAATTGGCATTGACCACATTGTAAGTTGACATTTACTACATTACAAGTTCATCTTTGCCCAGGAGCAAGGACATGAAAGCATCCTTCAGAGGAATCATCTCTGAGATTGAGATGCTAGAAATGAGACACTGCCCTGCCAGAGTGTATGTGATGCTAGGAGAGGGTTGTTGTCGTTATCAGGGACCCACCTTGCAATGTTTGTGTCAGCATTTCACACCTCTTTCAAATGATTTGACAGATACCCCCAGGAAGATTATTTTCTGGGGGAAATGGTTTGTTCCAGGCTTTTTGTTTGTCCATTTTCAGAAATTTGAGCAGCATTGTTGATTTGCTTTTTTTTTTTTCTTAAACAAGGATTTTTAGATAACCATCTCATTTGCTAAAATGAAATAAGCTGCACAGTAGATCCCTCCCAAGCAGATAATTAGTCTCGGACCCTGGGAAACAGGGACAGGGAGTAGCACCTTGCAGATGAAGGCAGTATCTCAGGCCTCTGACCATCTCACCTGGCATTTGCCAGAGGCTTTGCTAAGCGTGATTCTGCTTTGTGTGCCAACTCTTTGTGGAGATGTGCCTGCATTCTGAATTGTTTACTGGGGATTTGAATATGCTATATAAATTATGATGTAAAAATGTTAATTTCCTGAGTATGATTATTATATTTTTCTAATGAACCAGGAGAGTATCTTGCTTCTTGGGAGATGCATGTCTTCAAGGGTGAAGTTGTCATGATGTCTGAAACTAACTCTCAAATCCTTCAGAGAGAGAAAAAAAGCAAATGTGGTAAAATGTTAACACTTAGTGAATCTAGCCAAGGGTATGTGGGCACTTATTATACTATTCTTATAGCTTTTCTGAAGGTTTAGAATTTCTCCAAATAAAAATGTGGGGAAAATATATTATGAAAAACAATTAAATGATATTAGTGCATGCAGTGGAATAGAATGCACTGTTTAAAAGAAGAAGAGTCAGAGCAGTGAAAATGGAGTAAAGGCCTCTGCAAACACTCCTCTCTACAAAAGCAGTAAGAAAATTGGAAAAAAATAGAATCACTTTTCTCAGAACTCTAAAAATTAACCAAAGTTTGCAACAATCTGGAGAGCATTTATCCAAGAAACATGGATGAATTTTGGTGTGAAAGGGAGCTTTATGGAGGTTTAACTTGCTCTATTCCCATCCCTGACTCCAGCTCTCTGGTAAGCTGGAAATTCAACAGCCCACAAGCACAGTGATCACCACAGCCTGGCAGCCAGTGGTGAAACAAAATGGGGTTGGAGATATTTAAAGCAGGTGTGTCCAATCTTTTGGCTTCTCTGGGCCACACTGAAATAAGAAGAATTGTGTTGGGCCACACATAAAATATACTAATACTAATGATACCTGAAGAGCTAAAAATAAAATCTCGTAATGTTTAAAGAAAGTTTATGATGTTGTGTTGGGTTGCATTCAAAGCTGTCCTGGGCCACATGCATTGGACAAGCTTGCTTTAAAACATCACAACCAGAGAGTTGTCACTATTTGAACTGTCCGGAGGTTCCTCGGAAGACACCACTCACAAGGTTGTCTTTATTTGACCTGACTCAGAGCTCTTCCAATGCAGAAAGTATTTTCTTCAGGGAGAGCATTTGTCTAAAACAATTATAGGAAGTGTTTAACTTTGTGGCTGCCCGAGGCAGTGGTTAAGAGTTGGGGCAAACAATAGACTAATCAAAAAGCTTAAAAGGAAATACTGGGAGATTAGATATTCATAGGGCCTTTGAAAAGCTCCAGCACATTCCTGAAAACCTAAGGACCATGTACCTCTCTAGGGCTATGCTCCTACTTAAAACCCATGTATGTCCTAAGCTCCCACTTGTGGCTGACCTTCAGGCTCTGTGGAAGCAAGAAGTAAAGGATAAATAAGGCATTGATTGCCTGGCTGAGTGCTGAAGGTGTATCCCAATATGCAAACAGAATCCCTCAGCGAAATCAGAGAGACTTACTGGTTCCAGTCATTTAAGGAAAATGTTGTCCACTCATTAGCTGACCATTAAGTGGTCGCACAATAAAGAATTGAGACTTTATAGAATTAGTTCAGAAAAGTCACTAAACAAACAACAAAAAACCTGGGAGAAGGAGGAGATTCTACTTTCTAGGCTTACCATAATACATTTTTTTAAATGTTCAATTTTTAGCAAAAATTATGAGGCATGTGAAGAAACTAAGGCTCATGCACGAGAAAAAAAAAATCGGTCATTAGAACTTGTCCTTAAAGAAGCTTAGATGTTTGACTTAATAGACAAAAATTTTTAATCAGTTGTATTAAGTATATTCACAAAAGTAAAAACACATTTAAAGAACTGAAGTATATGAAAAACATGCTATACTAAATACAGAATATCAACAAGGAAGTAGAAACTATTTAAAAGAACCAAATAGAAATTGTAGTGTTGAAAACTACAATAACAAAAACGAAAAATTAATAAGGCAGAGGAGGCTTAACAGCAGGTTTGAAGAAGCAGAAGAAATAATTGGCAAACTTCAAGATAAGCCAACTGCAATGACTCAGTCTCAGAAAAAAACAGAAAAAAGAATGAAGAAAATGAACAAACCTGAGATTCATGGGATACCATCAAGCATACAAACATATGAATAATGGGAGTCAAGAAGGGGATAGAGAAGGGCACCTAAAAATATTTGAAGAAATAATGGCTAAAAATTTCTCAAATTTGATGGAAAACATTAATCTACATATCTAATAATCTTAACTCCAAATAGAATAAATTCATAGAAATCCACATTAAACTTATAATCACATTTTTGAAATCCAAAGACAGAGAAAGAGAAGCAACTCATCCAGTACAATGGATCCTTGATAAGATTAATAGCTGAATTCTCATCAGAAACAATGGAGGCCAGAAAGTGGGATAACATTTTCAAAGTGAGAAAAAGATTTCAACTAATAATTCTGTTATCAGCAAAACCATTCCTTACAAATGAAGGCAAAATTAGGACATTCCCAGATAAACAAATAAAGAGACTTCATCACTAATAAACATGCCCTGTATGAAATACTAAGAGGAGTCCTTGGGGCGGACATGAAAGGACACTAGACAAATCCACATGAAGACGTAAAGATTGCCAGTGAAGTAACTACATAGGCAAATATAAACGATAGTATAAATGTATTTTTGTTTGTGACTCTTTTTTTTGTGCTGATTTAAAAGACAGCTTCATAGAAAAAAATTATAAATCTGTGTTGATGGGCACACAGTGCACAAAGATGTAATATTAATACAATAACAGCACAGGAATGGAGAGGGAACAGAGGAATACAAAATCTAACTAGACTTATAACAAGCAAATGGATTGATTTAATTAAAAAAAAAAAGAAAAAAGAACTTTCCACAGAGGAAAGCCCAGGCTTCGCTGCTGATTTCTACCAAGTGTTTAAAGAATTAACACTAGTGTGTCAAAAACTCTTCCAAAAAAATTGGAAGAGGAGAGAACACTTTCCAACTTACTCTTTGAAGCCAGCATTACCCTGATAACCTAACCAGACAAAGACAGAACAAGGAAAGAAAACTATAGATCAGTATCCCTATGAATATAAATGCAAAACCCTCAACAAAACACTAGCAAACTGAATCCAACAACATAAAAAAAAAGAATTATATGCAATTACCAAGTGTGATTTTTTTTTCAGGAATGCAAGTTTGGCTCAATATACGAAAATCAATGAAATATGCCATATTAATAGACTCAAGGACAAAAATCACATGACCATCTCAATATGCATAGGAAAAGCATTTGTTAAAAATCCAACATCCTTTTATGATAAAAATCCTCAAACTAGGACTAGAAGAGAACTTCTTTAACCTAATAAAGGACACATACAAAAAACCATCTATGAAAAACATCATACTTAATGGTGAAATACTGAATGTTCTCCCCATAAGATCAAGAACAAGACAAAGGTGTCTGCTTTCACTATTCAATATTGTACTGGGTGTTCTAGCCAGGACAGTTGGATAAGAAAAAGAAATAACAGTCATCCAGATTGGAAAGGAAAAAGTAAATGCTATTCACAGATGATATAATCTTCTATATAGAAAATTACAAGGAATCCACAAAACTATTAGAGCTAAGAACAAATTCAGTAAAGTTGTGAGGTACAAGATCAATATACAAAGGTTAATTGTATTTCTATACACGAGCAATAAACAATCTGAAAATGAAATTAAGAAAACAATTTTCATAGTAAT
Organism: Homo sapiens; assembly: GCF_000001405.40. Lineage (NCBI taxonomy): Eukaryota > Metazoa > Chordata > Mammalia > Primates > Hominidae > Homo > Homo sapiens. Next base: position 19,430,939 of record NC_000008.11, on the reverse strand, counting down.
ATAAAAAAGGTTTAGAAACATAGAAATGAATGTAATAAAAAAGTGCAAGAATTTTATGCTGAAAACTACAACACAACTTTGAAAGGAATTAAAGAAGGCCTAAATAAATGGAAAGACATCCCATGTTCATTAATATTCTTCAAATGACAGTACTCAGTCAGTCGATCTATAGTTTCAGTACAATCCCTATTAAAATCCAAGATGACTTTCTTGTAGATATGGACAAGCTGATTCTAAAACTCACGTGGAAATGCAAGGGCCCAAAATAGCCAGAACAATCTTAACAGAACAAAATTGGAGGACTCATACTCTCAATTTCAAAACTTATTATAAAATTACAGTAGTTAAGACTTTGCTACTGCTATAAAAATATAGATCAATGGATGGAAAGCAGAGTTCGGAAATAAACCTATACATTTATGGTCATTTGATTTTTAACAAGGGTACCAGATCATCATATGGGGGAAAGAATCATCTTTTTAAGAACGGTTCTGGGATGACTGGATATTCATGTGCAGAGAACGAAAGTTGTTTTCTGTAGTTGATAGGTATACATCCACTATATATACAAAACTTGAAGTCAAAATGGATCAACGACTTAAATGTAAGAGCTATAATTATCAAAGTTTTAAGAGAAAACATAGGTGTAAGTCTTCATGACCTTGGATTAGGCAGTGATTTCTTAGGTGTGACTTTTAAACCCTAGCAACTAGAGAATAAGCAGATAAGTTGAACTTTATCAAAATTAAAAACTTTTGTGCTACCATAAAAGTGAAAAGACAGCTTATATAATGGGATAAAATATTTGCAAATCATAATCTGATAAGGGTCTATATTCAATAACTAGAGAGAGAATTTAACAGTAAAAAGACAACCCAATTTAAAAATGAACAAAAGACTTGGATGTACATTTCTCCAAAGATGATACACAAGTGGCCAATAAGCACAGCAGGACAAGATGGTCAACATCATTAGTCACTAGAAAAATGCAAATGAAACCTACAATGCAAACTACACTCACCGGGATGGCTGTAATCCACAAGTCAATTACAAGTGTCTCTGAGGAGGCAGAGAAATTGGAACTCTTGTCTATTGCTCTTGGGAATGAAAAATGGTGCAGCCACTGTGGAAAACAGTGTGGCAGTTCCTTACATGGTTAAACGTAGTATTATTATCTGACTCAGCAGTTCTGATCCCAGGTATATACCCAAAAGAACAGAAAGTAAGTATTGAAACAAATAACTGTACATGAATGTTCATAGCTGCATTATTCACAATATCCAAAAGGTAGAAACAACTCAAATATCTATCAGCTGATGAATGAAAAGCAAAATATAACATAAGCACACAATGGAATATTATTCAGACATAAAGAGAATGAAGTACTAATGTATGCTGCAATGGGATGAACCTCAAAAACATTGTGATAAATGAAAGTAGCCAGATGTAAAAGGTCAATAATGGCCAGGTGCCAGTGGCTCACGCCTGTTATCCCAGCCTTTTGGGAGGCTGAGGCAGGCAGATCACCTGAGGTCAGGCGTTTGAGACCAGCCTGGCCAACATGGTGAAACCCCATATCTACTAAAAATATAAAAATTAGCCAGGTGTGGTGGCTCACACCTGTAATCCCAGGTACTGGGGAGGCTGAGGCAGGAGAATCACTTGAAACCAGGAGGTGGAGGTTGTGGTGAACCAAGATTGCACCACTGTACTCCAGCCTGGGTGACAGAGTAGGACTCTGTCTCAAAAGAAAAACAACAACAACAAAAAAGGTTGATAATGTATAATCCCATTTATAGGAAATATTCTTTATACATAAATCCATGAAGACAGAAAGTAGATTAAGAGTTGCCAGGGGCTGGGGATATGAGGGGATTAGAACTGACTGTTTCTTGGGTATAGGATTTCCTTTTGGGGTGATGAAAACATTTTGTAACTAGAAAGAGGTGACGGTTTACAGCATCGCGAATGTACTAAATGACACTGATTTATACACTTTAAAATTTTATGTTGTGTGAATTTTAACTCAATAAAAAGTATACATATAAATACACAGCATGCATACACACACACACACACACACACACACACACACACACACACACACACACACATATCATGTCTTATGTGAGAAGGGTGTTTTGTCCTAATCAATGTCTTAAACACCTTGTGTCCTCTGCAGAGCCAGGCATACTTTCCCTCTGTGGAACCAAATTGAACGTGCTGCTGTATAGTAGTTTATTTAAGACATAAAAGAAGCATCGTACTTAATGATGTAAAAGCACAGTATCCACTATTCGCCAGTCCTTATGTAGGGCAGCTTACCCAGGCTTTTTGAGGAAAGTCTCTGATATGGTTTGGCTGTGTTCCCACCGAAGTCTCATCTTGAACTGTAGCTCCCGTAATTCCCACGTGTTGTGGGAGGGACCTGGCGAGAGAGCATTTAATCATGGGGGCATTTTCCCCCACACAGTTCTCATGGTGGTGAATAAGTCTCACGAGATCTGATGGTTTTACAAGGGGAGATCTCTTTTGCTTGGTTCTCATTCTCCCTCACCTGCCGCCACGTAAGATGTGACTTTGCTCCTCTTCTGCCTTCCGCCATGAATGTGAGGCCTCCCCAGCCACATGGAACTGTGAGGCAATTAAACTTCTTTCCTTTAGAAATTACCCAGTCTTCGATATGTCTTTATTAGCAGTGTGAAAACAGACTGATACAGACTCCGATGCTGGTGTACATTCGGGTATTGTGTGGGAAACGGAGGGATGCATGCCTCAGGGTGCAGGGCAAGACAGGAGCTGGGAATTATCCATCCAGACTTTACAGAGCAAGGAGAAATGGCACATGCAATGAGCTAAGTCTGAGGATGGAGGCCACCTGCAGGGGATCCAGAGGAGAAGGAGGAAGGATTGTGTCCTCCTAAGGTAGCAACCTTGAGCCTCTGCCCAGGTTCTTTATGTGTCTTATCCTACACCTACGATGAGACTGCTTCCCTCACCTGGGGCACAGGGAGATACACTGATTAGGAAGAAGGCTTCCCTTCCTCACTTGCCTTGTGCACAGTTACTCACACTTCCCTGTGGCAAAGGTGCATGAGGGCTTGGCATGGTGTTAAGATTGCCACCCTCTAATTTTCTTTCTTTTTTTTTTTGAAGTGGAGTCTTGCTGTGTTGCCCAGGCTGGAGTGCAGTGGCGCGATCTCGGCTAACGGCAAGCTTCGCCCACTGGGTTCACACCATTCTTTTGCCTCAGCCTCCCAAGTAGCTGGGACTACAGGTGCCCGCCACCATGCCTGGCTAATTTTTTGGATTTTTAGTAGAGACAGGGTTTCACCGTGTTAGCCAGGATGGTCTCGATCTCCTGACCTCGTGATCCGCCCGCCTCGGCCTCCCAAAGTGCTGGGATTACAAGCATGAGCCACCACACCCGGCTGCCACCCCCTAATTTTCTAAGGAAACTCCATGCTGGAGGCCTCATGCCAGATGTTTGAATCTCACCATTTTCCTGTGCATCGGCAAATTTGTTTGGTGCCCGCTGAAGCTGGCTTTGATTTCTCGATTCAAAACACAAGCAAACAAAACAAAATTGTATGCATTCGGTGGGCAAGAAAAGACAATCTGAGGATGTAGCCTGGAAGATGGTGAATTCTAATCAGCTGATGCCTGCATTGTGACCATTCTGAGATTCAGAGATGTTCATTTGCTCTTCTTAATGAACTGTGCCTCATGCTCACATGAACTTTTAGAACCGATGGAAAGGCAAAAATGAAGTTCCTAAAGAAACTTGCTAAAACAGGCTTAAAGAAGCTCAGAATCTAGGCAATTCTAAATTAATTATTTAAAGTGCCTACTATGAAAAATTGGATGATAACATGTTCAGCTTTAAATTCTTCACTGTATTCCAATATCTTCAAGAAGTAGAGCTCATAAGTGATTTCAGTATTTAGAGCTGTGAGATTTAAAATCATACATTGGATATAATACTAGTTTTCTATGTAAATTTTTAAAGATTTTTTACAATGAAAGGCTATTGTGAGAAGCGTTACATGAAGAGACTATCCTTGCAGTTGTGGGGAAAAGTCTATATTAGAGTAAATCATATTAGACAGGAAGATCTATCGTTTTTAATCCAGTAATTCTGGGAAATGCAAGTCAATTAGGGAAATTAAATCTCCTGTAGAAACAGTAGCTTTGTCAGGTCATTATAACCTCTATAAAAATGACTCTGTGTAACTTAGAGGAGTCTCCGTGCACCAGATTTATTATATAAAAACAGGAATTGACTGGGAAATGGAAGAGTTTTGTCAGTTGATAATACAATTCAAGAAAAGAAAAAGAAATAATTATAAGCAAATCATGTGATGTTAGTGGAACTGCACGTTCAGTTTCATAACAGGAAGTTATGTAATATAAAATGTAGTGCCCCCATCCTACCGTAATAAATGCACATTTCTTTGCCATTGCTTTAGGGTAACACTAAACATTGTATTTCTTTGTATGAGTAACTTCAACTTTGAACCATATTGCAGTGTATTTTTCTCATCTCTTTTCTGTTATTTACATATTTTTCATCTTCTTAAAAGCTTGGGTTTGTGCCTGTCCTTCAGAATCCATTGGTCACAGCCTCTTTCTGATGTTGGAGGTGGGTGTATATACACAAGGGAGGGGTTTCTCTGGTGCCCATCTGAGTGGGCTGAGCTTTCTTTGGCAGGGAGGCATCTCCATGCAGCACCCTCCTCAGGACAGATCTGAAATGTGCCTGTGTTTTCCATTTGTTCAGCTCTTGATTCGTCCAGTGGATATTGGTCACCCCGTGTGTGCCGTTTACTGCACAGTGCTGGATAATCTCTGAAGGTAGAAAAAAAGTAAGGCAATTGCTGTCCTTGAAGCCTGTGGAGTCTGCTAGAGCCCCTCATACAGATCTGTGCAAGCAAAGGCACTTGAAGGCACCAGGACACAGAGGGACAGAGGCAGGGCTGGGTCAAATGTTGGGAGCTCAGAGTGCGCACTGTAAGTTTGCGGCGAGGCACAGGAGGGGCGGTGATTCTTGACATGGGCCTTAAAGACCGAGTGATGTTCGCAGGAGTAGATGCAGAGCGCGTATTTGAGGGAAGAGAACAGTGAGAAGATAGGATGCCCCAGCCATGCCCACACCTTGGTGAGTCGTCTGTTATGTAAACCAAAAAGAGACTGAGGGAAGGCTCAGTCTATCCGAGTTTTATTTAGCCGAGGTTGAGGATGCACCTAGGAAAATCACAAACCACAGGAGCATCTGCAACCTCTGCTTTTTCCAAAGGGGAAAGAGCTAGGAGGAGGACGAACAAAGGGATGGAGAGCAGGCAGTGAGGTAGATGCTTCCACTCTTGTGAGGCTCTGATTAGCCTCAGTAATTCTCTGTTTTACATGCAAAAAGAGGGAACAGAGGAAAAAATCGATTCTGCATTGCCTCATGCTCAGTAAATCTACATTTTACATCTGAAAAAATGAACACACATAAAAGGAGGGAGTCACGAAAATGAGACTGTGACACGGGGTTGTGAAGTTACAGCTACTGTCAGTGAACAGCAGGAAAATGGTTTTTTGGTTTGTTTGTGTTTTTGAGATGGAATGTAGCTCTGTTGCCCAAGTTAGAGCACAATGGCACGATCTCGGCTCACAGCAACCTCCATTTCCCAGATTCAAGCGATTCTCCTGCCTCAGCCTCCCAAGTAGTGAGGACTACAGGCGCCACCACCACGCCTGGCTAATTCTGTATTTTTAATAGAAATGGGGTTTCACCATGTTGGTCAGTTCAGTCTCGAACTCCTGACCTCAAGTGATCTGCCTGTCTCGGCCTCCCAAAGTGCTAGAATTACAAGCATGAGCCACTGCACCTGGTCAGGAGAACAGTCTTGGTGACTCAGTTCTCAAGCTTAATTCTCCTTTTGGCATGGTGAGTTTGGGGTCCTGAGATTCTATTTTTCTTTCACAATCGGAATCATCTGCTCCTGGCTGGTTACTTGGAAGGGGGGAAGCAGGACAGAGAATAAAGCAGCATGCCTGCCTGGCAACCACTACAGTCTGCATTTGGGGGCTGCAGCCTCATGGCCATGGTGCGGACCTTCCCAAACCACACCATCACACTACGTTGGGCACATCAGTGATTTGAGTTGAAGTGTGTCATTGTGTTTGAATGGTTCTGCTGCCTTTCAATCCACTGTTGAGCAGGGGGCACTCTAGTCTAGTGATGGAGTCCCTGCCCAATGAGCACTGCTTCAAAATGAGGATATGGGGCATTGATAAGTGGCCTGACTACTTGAAGAAGCCAATTCCTCCTCATCTTGTCATATCCTGTTCTAGAGCCCACATGGCCAGTACTGGTAAGTTTCAGATGAGGAGGCTGCCCCACTTCTAGGCCCAGGAGGTTTGGCAAAGACAGGAAGTTGTCTTGATTTTTTTTCATGGTTTTTCCAGTTCAGTCCTCTTTTTTGGCAGAGGGTCTTGGTAATTATCAGAGGCTCTTCCTGATGGCAAGAGAGGAGTTGGAGGGGTTCTTTCAGATCACTGGTTTATTGGAAAAAAGCCTTGGGTTGAGGAATCAGGAAGGAAAATTGTACCATTATTCATCCTCAGACGGACCCCTAGCTGAGCATAATGACCTGGCAGCCACCCTGGGAAACACAGATGGATGACAGAGTTAGCACTCTGGGCCTTCTCCAGTGTCTGTGACTGCCTGATGGTGCTTCCCAAGCCAGCAGTGACTCTGTCCCCACCCTGCCTTCTGTGCACACTCATGTTCAGCTCTCTCATCAGGACCTGGTGAGTGGTCAGGGCTTCAGAGCAGCTCTAACATGGACCCATACTGCCAAGCCAGCAATGTTGCCTTCTGGCCAGTGTTGATCAGGGTGGATGAAAGTCCCAGGCAAAGCTAGATCAGGGCAGAGTCCTGCGTGGGGCAGGGAGAACAGGCAAGCCGAGGTGTCTGGTGCTGTGTGTGTGTGCGCCGGCCCCCATATGGTCCACATGGAAACAGTGCGTGGACAGAGCTGGGTACCACTTCCCAGGGCTTTCTGTGCAGCCTGTGGACACATGAAGTGAATTCAAAATGCATATTCAGATTGGGTAGTGCCATGGATATAACATGCATTGTCTTTTCCTTGTAGAAAGGTTGCATGAAGAGAAAGGAAGCAAATTGCCTTTTGCATTAGGCCATATAAAGTGTTCCCCAGCATCCATTTGCCTGAATTTTCTTTCTCTAGAAGCAACACATCATGGAAGCATAGGGATTTACATTTTAAGGCTTAAAAAAAAAGTTCTTCCAAATTAAGGTCATGTCAGACACTAGGTACCTTAAGTTCTTCCCACCCCTTTTCCCATGACTATGACAGGAAGCCCATCCTGTACCCAATCCTCTGTTGCAGCAGAGGAGAGAACAGCATTTATTAGCAACAGCTCAAGCCAGGGTTAGGGGATTCATGCACAGAATAAACTAGATTAACTTGTGCATTAGGTAAGCATGCACACCACCAAATTACCACTCTTCCCTCTAAATTTGTAGCACTGTCTCTACCGTTCACTCAGCAGTTAATCAATCACTTGTAGACTCGTCATTTCTTTCATGCTGTTTCCTCAGTTTCTAACACTGTCTTGTATTCTTATTTAATTACTCAACATGATTTAACTTTTGTAAATATTTGGCCTATCTATACAAATGGACTGTAGGCTGTTCAAGGGGGAGATTCTTGATGTCGCAGCTCATTTAATGCAGCCTATTAAGAGCCTATGTTCTTCTTCCCTTGGCAAAAGTCACTTGCTGTTGTTCAGGTATTTTTGTAGTTGAACTCTCCTGTAGTAGATCCTAGAAACCCTCCTGGAGAAGGTACCTGAATTATGAGTCAGGTGCAACCTGAGTGAGGAAGGACTTGCTCATACATTGTGTTTGTGCTCTGAAAGTTAGAAGATATCCCTGTATAATGGGGAGGAAGAGGTCCCAAAAGATAGGAACCTGGAAACAGCGAAGAAAGAGAATTGCTACTGGCTGTATATATTAAATACATAGAAAGTTAAAGCAAGATGGACTCCAGGATCAGGTGCCTTTAGATGAACAGGTAAAAATCCAGGCATCTCCCATGGGTAAACCTTTCCTGGAAACTGACCAAACCGGGAAGGGAAAAATGGGTTGACCTGACTTACAGGAGCTGGGGCTGCAGACACCTCTAAGAGACATGAAGGTGCTCGCAGTGACCTCACACCATCTGAATGTCTTTGGAGACGGGAGGATAGCGTGTCCTTGACTGGTGCCATACCTAATACTGAAAAGGTTTTGAGCATAACTTCAATGCAACACACAGAAAATGTGCAATGGGGGCACCCCCCCAGAGAAAAGACTCAAGATAAAGTTCTGAAAGAGGAAGAGAATCCCTGCAAATGTAGAGTGGTGCTGAAGTGAATGCAGGATCATAGGAAAAATAGAGTCTTGTCCAGGTGTGGTATCTCATGCCTGTAATCCTAGCACTTTGGGAGGCCGAGGCAGTAGTACCGCATGAAGCCAAGAGTTGGGCAACAAAGTGAGACTCTGTCTCTATAAAAAATTTTTAAGAATTAGCTGGGCATGGTAGCATGCACTTGTAGTCCCAGCTACTTGGGACTTGGCTGAGAGAAGAGGATTGCTTGAGCCCAGGAGTTTGAGGCTGTAGTGAGCTATGATCATGCCACTGCACTCCAGCCTGGGTGACAGAGCAAGACCCTGTCTCTAAAAGAAAAAGTGTATTATATACAAGTATATATAATGTACATATGTAAAGTAAGTTTTTTTAACCAAAGAAAAATAGCGTCTTAGTGTGTAAAGGGGAATTTGAGCTCTGTAACCACTGGATTTTGTACCTGGAAACAGAGACAAAAGGGGTAGAGTGACTTGCCTCAAATCCATCAGAGGCACAGCTAGGTTTAGAATGATTCATACATTCATACACTCATTCAGAAACATCTGTTGAACACTTATGGGGCCCCAGGCACAGTTCTAGTCCTGGATCCAGGTTTCCAGACTCCTAGACCAGTGCTCTACCCATCATGAGGCCTCCTAACCTGATCCAAATCTGAAAGGCATGTTTGGCATCAAACTCTGACATGGGCTCACTGATCCCTAAGATAAGAATCCAAGCTCACTCCCAGATCCAAAAGAAGAAGATGAGTCAAGGAGGGAGTCGCAGAACTAGTTTTACTGATTCAATTCCAGATACAAATACAACTTAGCATTTTAAAAGTTTATGACTCTATGTTTGCGTTGGCCTTTACCCGAGACGGGTACTTGGAATGCAAACTTTACAAACTGGAAATGAGTTTCTGTACCTTTTGGAAAGAAACAGTAGAGAGAAGTTGGGGCATGGGGATAGGCCAGGTAGCTGGTAGGACGGGGAGTGTGAGAGGAAAGGAAGCCATTAGGAAAAGAAGGGTGTCGTTGACAGGAAAAGGGATTTGCTAGGCTGAAAGAAGACTGAAGGTGGTTCTCTAGTATTATCTGGTAGAAGACAATACCTGTCCCACTGGGCATGGAATGAATTCGTGGAACGTTAGCTTAAGACAGGCCCCATTTCAGAAGGTTCTGCTGTCCCTGGGAAAGAACAACGAATGCGAGAAACATCCTGGCTTCACTGCCTGGGGCCTGGGAATCCTTGCCCATGCTAATCACAGCAATAGCTGATGCTTACAGAGTGCTGTATACTCTTGGCACTGTTTATCTCACTAATAACCCTGTGGGATAGTGAAGGAAGGTGTTACTACACCTATTTAGCAGATGAGGCAACTGAGGTTCAGGAAGATTCATGGGCTGGCCTAGATCACAGAGCTATCTGTAGGAGAGCCAGGCCTGAAACAGTCCTCTTCTAACTGCAAGTTGGTCATTTTTCCTGCCATGCTGTGCTGCTTTACCCGAGGATGCGGAAGGAATCTGGGTTTAAATCTGTTTGGAGGAAAGATTCACATCAAGAACATTTTGCCTGGCTCCTGGATGTGAATGCAGATGAAAAGATGCTAAGTGGGGCCATTGCAATGTGATCTTATTTCCTTGGCTCAGTGGCCTCATTCGGTTGGCTCAGGATGCACGAAGATTTTCCAGGGTTGTGTTTCTAGTCTTACCTGGTTCAAGTTTTCTCCATCACAAAGAATAGTCATTAATGATGACAAGAGTGTTTTCAATACGGGGAAACTGCCAGAGAAACAAGGAAGAAATTAGTGTTAAAACTCCACTAGGTGTTCTTGGTACCTTCGATCCCAGTGAGTATCCTGTGAGTCTGGGCCGTTCTGTAACTTCTTGGGGAGTCCCAGTGCCCTCAGGTTACAAAAGAAATGGGTCAAGATGTGGATGGGCCCTGATTACATATTTTCTCAGGGGATGCTGCCAACATGTGGGAATGTGAGTGACAGTACCTGGTCTTGCCTTTCAGAGCTGCCAACTTCAGGAACTTTACCTTCATCCAGCTGAATGGAGAATTTTCTCGGGGAAAGGGACTTGATGTTGGAGCCCGCTTCTGGAAGGGAAGCAACGTCCTTCTCTTTTTCTGTGATGTGGACATCTACTTCACATCTGAATTCCTCAATACGTGTAGGCTGAATACACAGCCAGGTATGGATCATCTCTCTGTCACGCTCAGGTGGCCCCCAGCCCTCTCGGGCCCATGTGTCGTCCTCTTGATGGGTCAGTCACTCTGATGTCCTGCTTCTGAATCAGCCTGTTTTACTTCAATAGCAAAGAAAAGGAAAACCATCTGTATTAGTCTGTTCTCACGCGGCTAATAAAGACACACCTGAGACTGGGTAATTTATAAAGGAAAGAGGTTTAATGGACTCATAGTTCTGCATGGCTGGGGAGGCCTCACAATCATGGAAGAAGGTGAAGGAGGAGCAAAGGGAAGTCTATCATGGCAGCAGGCGAGACAGTGTGTGTAAGGGAACTCCCATGTACAAAACCATCAAATCTCTTGAGACTTATTTACTATCATGAGTACAGCATGGGAAAACCTGTCCCCATCATTCAGTTACCTCCCACCAGGTCCCTTCCAGGATATCTGGGGATTATGGGAGCTACAATTCAAGATGAGATTTGGGTGGGGACACAGCCAAACCACGTCACCATCTGGTTTGACTTCTCCTTTGAGGCCACATCATGGGCCTGTCAGCCACCATAATTCTGGGACTCTTTTCCCAAGTTCATGTCCATAACCCCTCTTCCGTCTGCAACTGGGAGGTCAGCTTTCATGAACATTCCCAGGAGAAAGCGAGGTGGGGAGGAGGTGGAGCTGGAAAACTGCCAACCCTAAAGAGAAAGGAGTACCTTTGGGCAGTTACCTAGGGTAGAAGAGCTATTCGCACAAAGAACCCACAGTACTAAAATGACTTTCACAGACTCCACTCATAGGCAAGGCTGCTATTGAGCTGATGAACACTGGCACAGCCATGCCAGTTGCTAAAATACAGAAATTCTTTTGTGTAAATTGATAAAGAGCAACCACCCTGGACACTCTAAGTCTAGTCCAACTGCCCAAAGTCACCCTGACCCAAAGTCAACCATTTAAGATGATCCCATGAGCCAGCAAGTAAAGGGTTAATGTTTGGCGGGGCTGGGGCACCAGGACTCTCTTTCACACCCCCTCCCAAGGCGTGATGCCCAGTGCTTGGTCATGGTCTGTCAGTATTCCAAATATCATTCCTGCGCTGGGAGATCAGAAATATTTGCAGATATGACTGTCTGGTCCACTTGGTGCTGCACTTCTAAGACCCATTTTAGAGTTGAGTCAAGGGAAAAGGAAAAGTGGCTGCAGGCCGGGCGCAGTGGCTCATGCCTGTAATCCCAGCACTTTGGGAGGCCGAGGCGGGTGGATCATTTGAGATCAGGAGTTTGAGACCAGCCTGACCAACATGGTGAAACCCCATCTCTACTAAAATAAAAAAATTGGCCGGGTGTGGTGGCGGGCACCTGTAATCTCAGCTACTCAAGAGGCTGAGGCAGTAGAATCACTTGAACCCAGGAGGCAGAGATTGCAATGAGCCAAGATTGTGCCACTCTATTGCAGCCTGGGTGACAGTGAGACTGCCTCTCAAAGAAAAAAAAAGTGGGTGCAAATATCTGGGGTGTTTCAGAGGGCCAAATGTCAAGGAACAAACCTACTACTTGGATCTGTCACTTTAAGTGAATGTTTGTTTTCTGGTTTGTAGGGAAGAAGGTATTTTATCCAGTTCTTTTCAGTCAGTACAATCCTGGCATAATATACGGCCACCATGATGCAGTCCCTCCCTTGGAACAGCAGCTGGTGAGTAATTACCCTGCAGATGGCTCTGTGTGGCTCTGTTTAGTGTCTGTCATTACCAGGGGTACCTGACCATGAGCAAAGGTGAGTAGAAATCTGTGCAATGATTCCCTTAGTAGTTTTTACGTTTGGCAGATGTGCTGGCCTCTGCTCCCGGCGCCTCGTTGATTAAAAGTGCTTGCAATATTTAAAGTGGAAAATAAATGGAAGCAGTACTTTACAGAGAGGTAATTTCACACCTTCATAGTTTCCATCACTGGTTTTTGGAAACTGGTATTGTTGCATTATGGATGCAGTACAGTTTCTCTTGATTTTTGCAAAATCCTACAAGGTAACAAAGGTGAGATTTATGTTCCCATTTGACAGAAATCAGAATGGGGTGGCTCACCCCAGAGAGGGCCAGAGCAATTCCCTGGACCTTGCAGGCAAATAAGGTCTTTGTGAATTTGAAGTGGAAACTCCCAGTGTGCTCCCAGTGCCCTTCCCGTCATGCCACCGTTCCCTTCCCATCATGCCACTGTTCCCACACATCACAGTGTTTGGGTAGACGTTAGCATTAAAGGTGTCACTGGCAAGGTGGCTCTCAAAGGAATATTGGAAGGACTTCTCTGCTAAGATCCTGGCTGCACAGGTGATGGATAGTGGATGCACACAGCCCCCAAGGGTCCCTGTAGGGTGAGATGTCTCTGTTGTCACAGGCAGTTAGTCCACTTTGCAGAGAAGCAATGCAAGCAGCAGGAGGAAAGGCAAGCCAGAAGAGGATCTCTGTGTCTTCTGGGCATGGCCCCCATGGATGGAATTTCCCGGTATTGTTGACAGCATTGGCAGAGAGGGAAAAGGCCCTTCTCCCACCTCAAGTTGGGCTGTGATTTTTTCCTGCGGGGAGATGAGCCAGGTTTGTCTGAAGCTGTGTTCTGGCCCAGGCTGTATCTCATGGTGGCCTTCCCATCTGAGGGACGTCTGTTCTTCTTTGCTGTGGGTAGCTCTGCCTCTTGCTAAAGAAAATCCATGCTTCTTCCCACTGAGGACCCCTTAGGGTGGAGGAAGGACATCTGCTGTGGGAACCTGAAGACACGATAGCACCAGGCCTCTGATGCTTCCGTACAATGGGAGAGTAAACTGATTTCCATCCAAAACCCATGTTCTGGATGCGTTTGAGGATTGACTTTGTGTGTAAGCTTCTAGAAATAGCAAAACCTGTTGTTTCCAGCCCCATCCTGTGCCTTTCATCCTCTCTCCCCAAGTTAACCTCTGGCAACTGATATTATGATATTTTCCAGAAAGTTTCAACTTTGGGGCCCTCAGGTTGGACAATGTCATGTCTTATATCCTAGCATGGCTTCATTTTGGGGTGCACCAGGTTTACTAATAATACAGTTCTCTTTTCCCCTAGTGGAATTGCAATACCACAGATATACTGTGTATCTGTTTTTGTAGTGTATCTGTATCTGTGCTTTATACATAAAAACAGTAAGAGTTTTTCACGTCTTAAGAATCAGTTTTCAGCTGGGTTTGGTGGCTCATGTCTTTAATGCCAGCACTTTGGGAGGCCGAGATGGGCAGATCACTTGAGGCCAGGAGTTTGAGACCAGCCTAGCCAATGTGTCAAAACCCATCTCTACTAAAAAATAAAAAATTAGGCGTGCATAGTGGCACACACCTACAGTCCCAGCTACTAGGCAGGTTGAAAATCGCTTGAGCCTGGGAGGCAGAGGCTGTAGTGAGCTGAGATCGCACCACTGCACTCCATCCTGGGTGATGGAGTGAGACCCTGTCTCAAAGAAAAAAAAAAAGTGAGTTTTCATCTATAGTCATGTGTTACTTAACAATAGAGAGATGTCATGTATCGTCAGGCAATTTCATCATTGTGCAAACATCATACAGCGCACTTATGCAATCCTACATAACATAGCCAACTACACACGTAGGCTGTATGGTACAGGCTGTTGCTCCTAGGTTACAAACCTGTACAGCATGTGACTGTCCTGAATACTACAGGCAATTGAAGCACGATGGTATTCAGTATCTAAACATAGAAATGGCACAGGAAAAATATGGTATAAAAGATTTTAAAAATGGTTCCCATGAGTGGAGCTTGTAATACAGGACTAGAATTTGCTCTGGGTGAGTAAATGAGTGGATGGTGAGTGAATGTGAAGGCCTGTGACATTACTGTCCACTACTGTGGACTTTATAACCACTGTAGACTTAGGTGACACTAAACTTATTTTTTAAAAGTTTTCCTTGGCCGGGTGTGGTGGCCCACACCTGTAATCCCAGCACTTTGGGAGGCCGAAGCAGGTGAATCATGAGGTCAGGAGTTCGAGACCAGCCTGGCTAACATGATGAAACCCCATCTCTACTAAAAATTCAAAAATTAGCTGGGCATGGTGGTATGCGCCTGTAATCCCAACTACTCCACAGGCTGAGGCAGGAGAATCACTTAAACCCGGGAGGCAGAGGTTGCAGTGAGCCGAGATCGTGCCACTGCACTCCAGCCTGGGCAACAGAGCAAGACTCTGTCTCAGAAAAAAAAAAAAAAAAAAAAAGTTTTCATTTCTTTAATAATAAGTTAACCTTGCCTTCCTGGGTGATCACCATCTCATATGCAGCCTGTTGTTGACGGAAATGTTGTTAGGCAGCACATGAGTTACACTTACAAGAAAATGTTTTTAAATCTTTTACATCAGATTTTTCCTGTACCTTTTCTATGTTCAGATACACAAATACCATTGTGTTACAATTGCTTATGCTTACAGTTGTGTCGTTAAGCAGCACGTATCACCCTCATTGACAGAGAAACTTCTCGCTTCCTTTCCCAGAGTTCTAAGCTTCTAATTGGATTGAAAGGGAAACAGGATATAGGATTTATTTTCTTTCTGCCAATCAAAGTTAAAGTTCCTTTGGGTTTAAGTAATGTGTTGTTTTGCATTTGACATAGAATGTGATTAACATTTCCATTTCAAATTCATAAAGACCTTATTTGCTTGCAAGGAATTGTTTTCGTTTTACAATCCAAAAGATTTTTCTTTGTATTATTATTCCTGCAGGGTAGGAGTTGCGAAGGGAATCAGAGGCACAGTGCAGTTAGGCAAGTTTCTCACATCCTCAGAATTAGTGGTGAAAGCAGAAACCACTCAGATTCCCTGTGTCCATTGTTGCCACAGGCTGTGAATTATCCTGCAGCCTCTGACATTTACTTCCAAATGCAATTTTGACCTTTCCTAGACCACAGAAGTCTGATATTTTAGAGTTCAGTATTTATGACTATTTAGTTTGGTGAAACAGCAATTCTTCTCCTTGAGATGAAGGACTCCCCCTTCCCAAAAGAAGAGTATGCTTATGTTTTTTACTGGACAAACCAGTTCTTGAGTGCTCGCTGCCTACGGGGGACTGGCCTAGGTGCGAGAGGAGAAGTCAGAAGAAATGAAACGCTTTCATTACTTGGTAGTAATTTGTGAGAGTGTTTCCTCACTTTCTTCTTTTTATAGAGGTGAACTGGCTTGTTCAGGATTGTACAGCTAGCTAGTGGCAGAGCTCAGGGCAAGAGATTTCCTTCTATCAGTACAGAGGCAAGAGATTTGCTTAGGATCTAGATGAGAACTGACGTATGAAGGAAAAGTCTTGACAAAAATTCCAAAGGAGAACTTGAAACTATAGAAAGTAATAGAATGGAGATGGATTATTTAGGTGGGGAGAAGATGTAAAATTAAAAGTAATGGTTGGAGATGGATCAGTTAGTAATGACTTCCTACTAAGGGTACGTTCTGACTCAGTCTTGAAAGAGATGGTACCTATATATTAATTACTACATCCTTGATAGCCTTCTTGGAATACATCAGTATCAAAGGTGAAGGGAGAACAGAGATCCAGAATGCTGCTCTAATGAAAGTTAGTTTTGCAAACAAAAGACAATCTTTACTAGCAGCCTTTGAAATAGGATCACATTAGTCAATGTATGTTATTCCTTCTTGTGACTGTTGCCACTGTCATTTGATAGTGTTTTGCCTGCAGACAAAAGCAAGAAACCACATTTATGATAGTGTGTGTGTGTGTGTGTGTGTATGTGTGTGTTTTGACTACTGTTTTTTCCTTGTATGTATAGACCAGCAGTAATTCATATTAAGTGAAACTATGGGATTTTATACTAACATTTAAATTTTTTTAGTTTAAACCATGAGATAAAACTTGCTGGTGCTTTCATGTGTAGAAACAGTTCGCTGAGAAAGGAATGACTATAATTTAAACAAACATTAACTTTAGACGTTTCACATTCCTGGTTCAAGCTTTGCCAGTTCCTGTTTAGGTCACTGCAGGAGCCTCCTACCACTTCTATCTTAAGCCTCCTTCCCTCCCCTAGACTCCGGTTTTTTGTTCACCCTCTGCCAGAGATAGGTTTCTAAATCACAGATTCATTCAGTTTTTTAAGCAATCTTTGGGCACAGAGCCAGAGATGTGCTGGTAAATATTTAACAACCTGCTCTCTGAAGAGGGGGTGCAGGAGAAAGACCTGATTTATAGCATTTGCCAATTTCCATGGTGTAAATACTCCCACCGTGGCCTATTTCAGGCTACCAGCATGACGTCACTGAACACAAGGTTGGGAAGAGATTTGTCCAATCCTTGTGAGCTGGTGCAAGCTGGCTCCAGCACAGCACTGCAAGCCCTGAGCCCTTGTTGGGATTCATTGTCTTCCACAGACCAACTCTCAAATGGATGCAGAGAAAATATCTGTAAACCCCAGAACCTGGCACATGGTACCAGCTCCATAGTCACCCAAGCCAGCCTTGTTGCCAGGTGAGCACACCTGCTCAGTCTCCCTGGCTGTCTCTGCTCCTCAAGGCCACCTCCTTATCATTTCTAATGCCCACGGCATCCGACATGCACATCTTAGTCTGCCATGTGGTCTTACCCGTCAGTTAAATCTGATGACTTTGTGATACTGTTCAGTGTGTGCATAGCATGCTGGCTTCTGTCCTTGCCCTCTCTCTGGTCACACCCTTGACCTCTCTACCTCCCTTCAGAAAGTATTTTACTATTGCAGTTCAGTTGAAACCTTTTTGTAAATTGCCAAATGAGCATGGCACATCCTATGCATCCTTGCATTCTGTTTCTATTTATTCAGGAAACATACACCCGCTGAATACCAAAATTAATGTGAACAGAGGCCCTTTATGGAGCCTTTCCAGAAGCCAGTCCGGTGCCCACGTTATCTCACGTAATACTCAATAAGGGGAAGAGGTGCTATTATTCTCATTTCACAGATGAGGAATTGAGGGCCAGATGCCTGTAGCGGCTAAGTGGCAGGGGTGAGAACTCGAGTGCCACACTATGTGACCGCACCTGGGCTGAGGATGCTGGGCAACAGGGGATACATCCTTTGCCCTCAAAGCGCTTCATGGGGGCAACGAGGGCATTTAGTTTTAGATGATAGGTTCCTGGAAATGGCAGAACCTGGATGACTCCTTGTCCAGCATGATTCCCTTGAAGACACAATGTGTTTTCTATGAAAACACCTAGAAAAGACTTACAGGAAATTGTGAATAAGTGCAAATACATCTGGAAGGAGATGGCCTTTGACTGTGTTCTTAAATGAGTCTTCTAAAGCTGTGGATGTAGGATACCTTATTTCTCAAGATGTGGAACTGTCCCCGGAGTCTTAGAATTGTTTTGGGCTTGGCAACATTGGCTGGGTGATCTTGGGCAAGTCATTCTGTCTTCATACTAAGAAGCCACAAGAAGAGGGCATGCAGCCCTCCTGGCACCCTGTGCAGCATGATCACTGAGCCCTCAGGGCCCAGATAGTAAGGAATGGACAGCCTGGGCTGGGGGCCCCCAGCCTGGACACAGACGTCCTCATAGCTCAGGGAGTCTTCTCCTCCCAGGCCAGAAACTGCTATGTAATTGACATGACCCAATACAAGATGAAAATGTGAGCCCCTGATCAAAAGGTATTACAAATTTCACAACAGTGACAGCAGGCCTTGGGGCCTTCCATGTATGGGGGCCCTGTGCAGCTACATGGGTCACTTTGTAAGCCGGCCCTGCTAACGGGCGTTGCTGTGAATGCAAGGTAGACCAGACGCAGCCTCAGTGCTGAGGAGAGACTCTGATTGAAAGGAGGCGCTCTGCCTGAGTAGTTGCTATTTATTTTATTTTAGGGTCCAGATTGCTTCATGGGCAAGTGGCCAAGTCGGCACCATTAAACCAGACAGGCACTGACCACGGCCCCAGCTCACATGCAGCTGCAGGGCGGCTGCCTTCCCACATCTTTGGGGAGAGATGCTGATTTGTGCTTTGTGTTTTGGTCCTAATAGAAAATAATCATCCCTGTCACGTGAATCGTCCACAGAGCTGTGGCTCTGGAAACTTCCTGTGAGAGAGCAGGGCTGACAACTGTCCTTTTGTGGTACATTCATGCCCTGCAGTGCTCTGCTGGGATCTCAGGTGGGGAGGAAGTGGGTGCTGCAGAGAGAGTTGAGAGGAGGCCAGCTATCAGAGGACATTTTAGAAAATGAGGATAGCAGGCTGGGTGCGGTGGCCCATGCCTGTGATCCCAGCACTTTAGGAGGCTGAGGCAGGTGGATCACCTGAGGTCAGGAGTTCGAGACCAGCCTGGCCAACATGGCAAAACCCCTTCTTTACTAAAAATATAAAAAATGTAGCCGGGCATGGTGGTACGTGCCTGTAATCCCAGCTACTCGGGAGGCTGAGGCACGAGAATTGCTTGAACCCAGGAGGCGGAGGTTGCAGTGAGCCGAGGTCACACCACTGCACTCCAGCCTGGGCAACACAGCAAGACTCCGTCAAAAAAAAAAAAAAAAAGGAGGATAGTGCTTGGAAACAGATCAGTGAAATCCAGAACAGGAGGAATAGATGTTTTTCTTTTAAAGTCTCCTCTTTATCTTAGGGTTCCTTCCTCCTCTATTGTAGCAGACATCATTGGTGCATCACTTGTCAGTGCTTGAACAGAATGGTGGAGCTTCTCACACTTGCAGCAAAGTTTCTAAGAAGTCACACACTCCACCTTAGACCCCAGGGAGGTGAAAACATTTTTGTCTCTTGGTCCAGAGCCACAGGATTCTGAGAGGTTCTCACCACTGCATTTCCCAGGCCTTTGCTGGGCCACTTGCTGGCGAACATCTTGCAACGTGTCTGTTTCCACTGGCTTGGAACCATCTCTGCCCTAGGGACGGCTCTTGGTTCATTCATTGAGGAAGTATTTACTGAGTACCTGCTGTGTGCTGGACAATGTTCTGGGTGCTGGAGATGTAGTCGTGAACAAGAACAAGCCCTGAGCTTACATTCACCAGGGCTAGTGACTGAAGACAGTCAGCAAACAGAGAAGCAGATGCATCAACGGGATCATTTCAGAAGCCAGAATTGTTACAGAGAAAATAAACCAGGGGTCCAGTGCAGCAAGTGGCATTAGGGTGGCAGGTGCATAACATGGGCCAGGAGGGTCAGGACGACCACTCTGAATAGTGACATTGGAGCACAGCTTAGTGGTGTGTGGGGAAAGGGTGACCCAGGCAGGAAGGACTGCAAGTATCTGGCCTTGGAGACCTGTGAGCATGGAGAATCCAAGAGGGAGAAAATGGGCCTTATATAGGGCAGAAGGATAAGAAGAAATGAGATGGCTGACGATTAGGGAACCCTTGCAGGGCTTCACATGGGAACGTGATATAATCGGATGTGTGCTTGAGGGCACACACTCCCGCCAGACTGCTATTGAGCGCGTCCTTCCAGTTAGCGACCCAGCACAGCTGTGGGTGGTGGAACCTCGACTGAGGGAACTCCGTCTTGCCCTGAAATTACATGCTGTGGGCATGACCAGATGAGTTTCCACAAAGGGCTAAATTTCAACAAGCTCTTCAGATAGTGGCTTTTTGTGGCTTGCCAACTTCCAAACTGACTTTAATAAATGTTTACACAACTCACTCCCCAGCTCATAAGCCAGACTGCCTCCATCACGCTGTTCCCATGTGAGGGTCCCCCTTCACCTTGTTCAACCTCGAAAGGCCCTACATCAGTGCAGCCCAGAGTCTCTGGATGCCTCCCTCTTGTCTTCCTTCCCAAGGCTTGGCCAATTGTTTTTCCTGTTCGGAGCGTTCCTTTTTAAATTCCATGTGATCCTCAGCGAAATATTTGAAGATTGGATACTGGCACTTCTCTTTGACTCCATTTTTACCCATAAGCTTAGGGAACTTGTCTAGGTTGCCAGCAGAAGGAATATTAGTCTATTCGCTGCAATGGAAACCATGTACCTGGTAAGGCGGGGATGGAACAAAGTCCATATTTTAAAAAATGACTCCGTGGAGACTTTTCCAGACTTTGCCGCCTTACAAAATCTTTCCAGTTGATACTAATGAAATTGACTTGTCATTTGGGAGATACTGTATAACGGTCCCGTACTCTGAAGTAGAACTTGAGAATACTTGCTGGGGACAACTTTAAGCAACAGAAACTCTCTTGGTTCTACTTTCCTTGAGCAGTCCTGATGCTTGCAGGAGAGGGTGGCAGCAGGTCCCCATTCCCTGTGGAATGTAAGTGACATGGTGGAAGTGACATCTACCTGTAGATTGTAGTGAAAGTAAGACAGTTTCATATGTTACAGAGTTAAAGAACATTTAAGATTCATCAGCCCTTCTGCAAGCCATTTATCAAATATAATTAGCCTGTGGTGAAACTTCAGGAAGGGGGAAGATGTGATAAACACTTGGATGTGAAAGCTGAAAGACACCTAAGGGATGAGTGAATTTAACCCCCTTGTTTTATAAGGAAAAAAAAATAGATGCATGAAGAAGTGAAGGAGGCTGCCTGAAGTGAAAAAGCCAGCCAGTGGTCACATTGGGCCAAGACTCTGATGCTTCTCCCCTCTCATGTACCGTTTCTAATTAACGATGAACAGAACCAGATGTCCCCAACAAAATCTATACAAATCCAAGTGGGGAAAGAGGAACCTGCTGCTGCCCTCTCTACCTTTCCCCAGAGGACAGGATGTGGGGGTGTCCTTTCACCTAAGCACCTATGTTAACTGCAAGAATGAATTATGAAAAATAACTAAGATCTCAAAACTGTTCCCAGAGTTCTCTCAGCTGAATACGTGTTTGTGTATATGTGTTTGTGTGTGTGTTTCTCTCTCTCTCTCTCTCTCTATATATATATATATGTACACATGCAGTTTTGAAAAGCCTTGCTGTTTCAGCAAATATATTGGAAATTTACTTGCAGAGTAAGAGACTGGGCAGTGTCTGGATGGCCTCTCCGCAGCCCTGCAGGCTGGCACCACGGTAGATGCTTTTGGGAGCAGTTTGGTTTTAAAATAGCGTGAAGATGAATGGACAGAGTCTTTCTTCAGAAGCTGGACTTCTAGTGCCCTTTTCCTCAGCAAGCGAGAGTTAACAGAGTTGGAGAGCTGGTAACATACTGAAGTCTCTCAGATATTTCTTTTTATTCCCCAAGGGAGTCCTGTGAGTGGACCGTGCCAGGGCAGCTGAATTCTGAGTTGTTCTCTATCCCTTTTCTCAACTTCCTGAGCCCTTTGCTGGCTCGCTGCCCAGGCTTGTGTAAGGGGCCCAAGCCTCCGATTCTCGCTGGCACTGGTGTGGGGCCAGGCACGTAGGTGGCTTTTCCACGGCACTGCTCAAAGACTGGCTCTCCCGGTTTTTGTTTTTGATTGTGTGTGTGTGTGTGTGTGTGTGTGTGTTTTCATATCTATGCCCTAGAAACATTCCAGCCAGAGGTGCCAAAAATCACAAGACCTTGTTTTGGGACTGGTGTGTGTACTGTATTCCTGACTGTCTGCAAGGACTCAAATCCATCTGCGTTTCCTGCACCAGTGGAGGCTGTTTATCAGTGATGGGATGGGCTCCACACTCCACGGTGGCTCACAGGAGTTTGTGAACACTCTATTTTTGTCCACCCTAAACTTTCCCCTCAAATGACAGTGCTTTTCTTGCAGGTCATAAAGAAGGAAACTGGATTTTGGAGAGACTTTGGATTTGGGATGACGTGTCAGTATCGGTCAGACTTCATCAATATAGGTAGGACAAATCTGCATCTCTACTGCCACCCAGAGGCCACGGGCCCATGTAGGCCTTGAAGGAATCAAGTAGGGTTTCCAAGGAGTCTGGTTGGGAAGGTGGTACCATTGCCTTCAAAAAAAAAAAAAAAAAAAAAAAAAAAAAGCTATTCCAGACTAGGTGCGGTGGCTCACACCTGTAATCCCAGTGCTTTGGGAGGTTAGAGGAGGGGGGATCACTTGAGGCCAGGAGTTCAAGACCAACTTGGACAACATAGCGATTCTCCTAAAGAGAATCACTCCAAAAAGAAAATCAAATGCTGTTCCTGATGTCATAGACTCAGGGCTGGACCAAGAGGGGGCCTGGTAGTAGGTGGCATTTTAGCCCCTATGATCTCCACCAGCACCTCTCAGTCATTCCAAATAAGACACACAATCTGAGATTAAAGGCTGCTTATTGCATCCAGGCAGCTTTGCAGCAAGTCTTCCAGTGCCTCCTCCCAGCGGGGTCCTGGCTGCTCTGCCCTCTCCTGTAGAACATCCTAAGCCTCCCAGTAAGGGTATGAGGGAAATAGGGGAACTGGGAGGAAGCACATATTCAAAAAGACCCACATTTCTCTCTGCTAACCTTCAAAATTCCAAATGTCACTTTAAGCTCTGACTAAATGTGCAGTTGCTGCCAATACACACACACACACACACACACACACACACACACACACACACACAATTCATATACACAAATGTCCACATGCACACACAATTCATATACACAAATGCCCACATGCGCACACAATTCATATACACAAATGTCCACATGCGCACACAATTCATATACACAAATGTCCACATGTGCACACAATTCATATACACAAATGTCCACATGCACACACAATTCATACACAAATATGCACATGCGCACGCCTGTGGTTTTCTAGAGCACAGAGAGAAAAGGCCCTTGGGATCTAGGTGAGGAGACCAAGCATGTCAAAGGGAAAGAGATCCTCCCAGGCCTCACAGCAGGTAAGAGGCAGAGTCAGGATGAGAATAGAGGCCTCCTGTCCCCCTTGGAAATGCCACCCCACCTTCCCATAGCAATACTGACTCTTGGATCTCGAAAGAGATAGAGTTGCAGATTATGCACGACCTGGGTATGAATGAACAGTCCCGAAACGTTGATCTCAGGTGCAGGGGCTCAGCTGCGATGGAGTCAGGGGGACCGTGCCCTCAGGGTGTGGCATGGAGCGTCCCATCCCCAGGCTCCCCACGAGCTGCTGGTCTCGCTGGCTTCTAGGCACCTCCCCCTCAGGTCCAAGACCTAAAGCTACTCACTTTAAAATCAGGGACGAGGGGTAGACCCACGATTGTTTTGTTCAGAGATGACATGAACTACAAGGACTACAGAACCCCCCAAGGAAATCACCAGGTTAAAGATTTAAAAAAAAAATGTTGAAGTCAAGTCCTGTTGGAAGGAGCAGAGCACCCAGGATGCAGGTCTCTGAGTGGTGGGTGCCCTGCAGACACTCAACAACTAACAGCAGGTGTTCTTGGACATCTCTGAGAGAAATATTCCTAAATGGTTATGTGCAAATCAGCTTCCCAAAAAGGACATTTAAAAATTTTCTAGGCCGAGCGTGGTGGCTCATGCCTGTATTCCCAGCACTCTGGGAGGCCAAGGTGGGCAGATCACTTGAGGCCAGGAGTTCAAGACCAGTCTGGCCAAAACGGTGAAACCCCGTCTCTACTAAAAACACAAAAGTTACCCAGGCATGGTGACATGTGCCTGTTGTCCTAGCTACTTGGGAGGCTGAGGCAGGAGAATCACTTGAACCCAGTAGGTGGAGATTGCAGTGAGCCGAGAGGCACTGCAAGCCCCTCGTTTCTTCTCTGTTTGCAGTGGCAGGAGAAGGCCACCTCCTCACAGAAGCACAAGAATCTGCATTCAGAGGTTTCAAGCTGAAAAGTGGGGATGGTGTAGAAGCTCTTTTTTTTTTTTTTTTTTTTTTTTTTTACGAAACCTCTATTTTTAATTATTATGCGCATGTTTATGGGGTACATGTGATGTTTTGATACAGGCATACAATGTGTAATCATCACATCAGGGTCATGGGAGGTATCCATCATTTCAATTATTTATCATATTTATCAGTCTTCTAGCTATTTTTAAATATACAATAAATTGTTAACAATAGCTAATTCATAATCACAATAAGTCTGTCAGTAATAATGCTACCGAATACTAGATCTTATTTTTGTACCCATTAACCACGAGGCTGGGGCTGTTCATTAGCATTGCTGATAACTCTTGAATGCAGGCAAATGCTTGGAATTTTCTTGGAGGTCCTGTCATCTGAAGAAGTCGGTGCTGTCTGCCATAAAAGTCGTCTTTGTTGGGGAATTCTCGGGGCTTCTGACCCAGGTGGACACTCTCGTACCTTGGAGGGGTGGTGGTGAAGCACGCATCCCCCCCAGTCATGTCTTAATGAAAAGTTTGTGCTTGTTGCAACTCAGGGAAGCAAAACAGATCAGTGCAGTGTGATTCAACAGTGTGTTCTGTCCCGACAGGTGGGTTTGATCTGGACATCAAAGGCTGGGGCGGAGAGGATGTGCACCTTTATCGCAAGTATCTCCACAGCAACCTCATAGTGGTACGGACGCCTGTGCGAGGACTCTTCCACCTCTGGCATGAGAAGCGCTGCATGGACGAGCTGACCCCCGAGCAGTACAAGATGTGCATGCAGTCCAAGGCCATGAACGAGGCATCCCACGGCCAGCTGGGCATGCTGGTGTTCAGGCACGAGATAGAGGCTCACCTTCGCAAACAGAAACAGAAGACAAGTAGCAAAAAAACATGAACTCCCAGAGAAGGATTGTGGGAGACACTTTTTCTTTCCTTTTGCAATTACTGAAAGTGGCTGCAACAGAGAAAAGACTTCCATAAAGGACGACAAAAGAATTGGACTGATGGGTCAGAGATGAGAAAGCCTCCGATTTCTCTCTGTTGGGCTTTTTACAACAGAAATCAAAATCTCCGCTTTGCCTGCAAAAGTAACCCAGTTGCACCCTGTGAAGTGTCTGACAAAGGCAGAATGCTTGTGAGATTATAAGCCTAATGGTGTGGAGGTTTTGATGGTGTTTACAACACACTGAGACCTGTTGTTTTGTGTGCTCATTGAAATATTCATGATTTAAGAGCAGTTTTGTAAAAAATTCATTAGCATGAAAGGCAAGCATATTTCTCCTCATATGAATGAGCCTATCAGCAGGGCTCTAGTTTCTAGGAATGCTAAAATATCAGAAGGCAGGAGAGGAGATAGGCTTATTATGATACTAGTGAGTACATTAAGTAAAATAAAATGGACCAGAAAAGAAAAGAAACCATAAATATCGTGTCATATTTTCCCCAAGATTAACCAAAAATAATCTGCTTATCTTTTTGGTTGTCCTTTTAACTGTCTCCGTTTTTTTCTTTTATTTAAAAATGCACTTTTTTTCCCTTGTGAGTTATAGTCTGCTTATTTAATTACCACTTTGCAAGCCTTACAAGAGAGCACAAGTTGGCCTACATTTTTATATTTTTTAAGAAGATACTTTGAGATGCATTATGAGAACTTTCAGTTCAAAGCATCAAATTGATGCCATATCCAAGGACATGCCAAATGCTGATTCTGTCAGGCACTGAATGTCAGGCATTGAGACATAGGGAAGGAATGGTTTGTACTAATACAGACGTACAGATACTTTCTCTGAAGAGTATTTTCGAAGAGGAGCAACTGAACACTGGAGGAAAAGAAAATGACACTTTCTGCTTTACAGAAAAGGAAACTCATTCAGACTGGTGATATCGTGATGTACCTAAAAGTCAGAAACCACATTTTCTCCTCAGAAGTAGGGACCGCTTTCTTACCTGTTTAAATAAACCAAAGTATACCGTGTGAACCAAACAATCTCTTTTCAAAACAGGGTGCTCCTCCTGGCTTCTGGCTTCCATAAGAAGAAATGGAGAAAAAAATATATATATATATATTGTGAAAGATCAATCCATCTGCCAGAATCTAGTGGGATGGAAGTTTTTGCTACATGTTATCCACCCCAGGCCAGGTGGAAGTAACTGAATTATTTTTTAAATTAAGCAGTTCTACTCGATCACCAAGATGCTTCTGAAAATTGCATTTTATTACCATTTCAAACTATTTTTTAAAAATAAATACAGTTAACATAGAGTGGTTTCTTCATTCATGTGAAAATTATTAGCCAGCACCAGATGCATGAGCTAATTATCTCTTTGAGTCCTTGCTTCTGTTTGCTCACAGTAAACTCATTGTTTAAAAGCTTCAAGAACATTCAAGCTGTTGGTGTGTTAAAAAATGCATTGTATTGATTTGTACTGGTAGTTTATGAAATTTAATTAAAACACAGGCCATGAATGGAAGGTGGTATTGCACAGCTAATAAAATATGATTTGTGGATATGACTGCTTTGTGGAGTAAGAATGTCATTTTGTTTAGTTTTTGGAAATAGTATATTGTGCATGGACCATGGTTTCTCAGCCTTGGCACTACTGACACGTTAGACTAGATAACTCTTTGCTGTGGAGGGCTGTCTTCTATACTGTGGGATGTTTAACCACATCCCGAGCCTATACCCACTAGAGGCCAGGAGCATCTCCCACCCAGTTTTGACAATCAGATTGTCTCCAGTCATGCTCAAATGTCCTCTGAGGGGAAATCACCCCTGGTTAAGAACCACGGGGCTAGAGGGAGAAGAGAACCATAATGAAAAACCTGAATTATTAATACATTAACTTGTCTGTTTTCATTAGAGGAAATTGAGAAATGATTTCCAAGGCCCCTTTCAACTCTGTGCTTAATATTGTCACGTGTGGCTGGGCACTGTGGTTAATGCCTGTAATCCCAGCACCTTGGGAGGTCAAAGTGGGAGGATCGCTTGAGCCTGGGAGTTTGAGACCAGCCTGGGCAACATAGTGAGACCCTGTCTCTACAAAAAAATACATAATTAGGTGTGGTGGTACACACCTGTAGTCCCATATACTCAGGAGGCTGAGGTGGGAGGATCACTTGAGTCCAGGAGGTCAAGGCTGCAGTGGTGAGCCCTGATTGCACCACTGCACTCCAGCCTGGGTAACAGAGTGAGACCTGGTCTCAAATATATATACTTTTTTCTGTGCTCTGATGATACTAGTAACTTCAGGGCATGTGTTTGGCCTGTCTCTGGCATGGTTCTGATGGATTTGTGGTGAGTGCCCTGCATGCTCTTGTCCATATCCTCCCAGCGTAAGAAGGATGGGTGTCTAATGAGGCTGGCAGTGGCAATCCAATATTCTGACTGTGGAACTGGACAGGTCTGAGAGTCTCACAGGTGGTCCCATCCGGGCTGCACTCTGTGGGCTCATCAGCCATTTTTGTGCTTGTTTACATTTCATATCACAGATGCCCAAGACAGTGGTGAAGAATTTTTTTCCTTTCCAACTTTTTAGGAGGTTCCTGTGCTGATTTGTCACATGGGTAAAATGCGTGTTGCGGGGGTCTGGTGTGCAGATTCTTCGGTCACCCAGGTAATAACTGCAGCACGTATTTTTCAGTCCTCACCCTCCTCCCACAGTCCACCCTCAAGTAGGCCCCGGTGTCTTTTGTTCCCTTCTTTGTGTTCATGGGTTCTTAGCATTTAGCTCCCACTTGTAAGTAAGAACATGCAGTGTTTGGTTTTCTGTTCTTGTGTTGATTCGTTTAGGAGAATAGTCTCCTGTTCCATCCATGTTGCTGCAAAAGACATTATTTTTTTCTTTTTTATGGCTGTGTAGTTAAGAATTAAGAATTGGGTTTTTTAAAGTTGTGGAGAGTAGCTGATGAGGAGATGGGACAGCATAATATTCAACTACGGTATTTCTTTTTCAAAGCTTATTCAGGTAAAACAGTTTCATTAAAGGGTAGAGGCCCTCTTTAGCAACATGCTAGTGGAGAATACCCCCCTTTGCCTGCCCAAGACATACAGAAAAGAAGGATTGTAGAAGGTCCCACGAAAACATTAGAATTAGGAGGCTGGAATTTAAACTTAGCAAAGGAAAGCAGTATCGGAACAGTGGTTTCAAGAACCCAGTCACGTCGCACATTCTCAAG
This sequence comes from Homo sapiens, assembly GCF_000001405.40. Classification (NCBI taxonomy): domain Eukaryota; kingdom Metazoa; phylum Chordata; class Mammalia; order Primates; family Hominidae; genus Homo; species Homo sapiens. The sequence continues at coordinate 19,402,497 of NC_000008.11, read as the reverse complement.
GATGCTGCTGAGAAAACAGTGAGTCTTGGGCTTGCCTAAGGCCCCTTCCAACTCTGCATGCTCTCTCTGTTCCTATCCCTAAATTGTCCAGTGACCAGCACAGGTTATCTTACTGAGCTGGGCTTTCTAATACAGTGGAGGTCTCCTCCAGGCGGTGGTGTACTGGTACAGCCTCGTGGGAGCCAGTTTTCAGCACTTCTTTCCAGTCCTCACTCCGTGTTGACAGGGTGGTAGCTTGAAATCCATCACGGTGGAAGTATTTACACCATGGAAACTGGCAATTGGCAAATGCTGCCAATCAGCCATCCTTACCACCTCTGGGCCCCTAGGCCTGGCCCATTGTTAAATTATATCCACATATCATTGCCTCTAAGTGACATACCTGGGCTACCTGGGCTGTTTTCTCTGCAGTGATCTACTTCCTAGCCCCTCTTTGTATTTATAAATGTGGTTGACTGCCCCTTTCCACATCACTGATGAAGATCAGGCCTAGGAAAATAGCTACCCGGAATCTAATTTTAGTAATGTTTTTGTTTCAGGAAAAATCGTCTTATCTAATTTTACGTAATAGGGGTTCAGCGCAGTAGAGTAGTTGATATCATGGTTTTTCCAGCCAGACAACCTGGGTTCAGATTCCAGTTATTTTATTTGCAATTTACAGGATCTTAAAGGAGTTGCTAGATGTCTTCATACCTTGATGTCCTCATTCAGGGTGATGGATTCAATCCTTGTATATCATGCAGTTGTTTTAAAGATTAAATGGGTTCATATGTATGAAGCACTTAGGAAACATCAGGCACACGGTAGGTGTTGTTAGTATTCAGCACACAATTCCACATGTACAAATGTGTATCTGGCAGTGTCTGTTAAGCTTCTCGGTATGCCCAGTGCTGCTTGGATATAATCAGATGGCTATTATAGGCAATACAGTAAAGATGATGAAGCCGTCATGTACACTGTTGTTCTTTTTGTCATTCTCAAAACTTAATCTATCTGAAGGAGAAGGGTTACTAGGAGTGTGAAATTTAATGGGTAATTTCTACCTTACAATCCACGCTCAGTAATATGGAGTTGATACCCTCCTAGGGAGCTGGGAGACTTTACAGGTTTTTTAAGTCAGGAGCATAGCTAGGAACCTTATGTTCATTACTTCAAACTTCTAAGCTAGATAATATCATTACTTGGATTTTCCAGGTGCAGAGAATGAGGATCAGAAATGTTGAAGAGTTTGCCCAGAGATCCAGCTAGCAAATAGCCAGCTTCAGGGCTGATAGGACCGTCATTGTCCCTGACCATGACCCGTCACATGGCCAGCTCCAGATGGATTGGAAGGTCTGCGGGAACTAGCTTTGGCCTAGGGTAAGTCGCCAGCCTGTTGTTTTTGATTCTCGTTTCTCACCATTTCTCTGCTCTCTAGTCCCACCTGAGAAATCACGTAACAAGGAAAGAAAGCTTGCTAACACAGGGATGGAGGAACAGCTAAGGCATCTGGCCACCCCACTCCAGCCACTGTGCAATGACCGGCAGTGTTAGGACTCCATATGGGATCAAAGCCCTGGAATCTGGCTCTCATGCAGGATTCCAACATGTTACATTGAAAGAGTGATGGCCGGGCGCGGTGGCTCACGCCTGTAATCCCAACACTTTGGGAGGCCGAGGCGGGTGGATCATGAGGTCAGGAGTTCAAGACCAGCCTGGCCAAGATGGTGAAACCCCGTCTCTACTGAAAATAAAAAAGAGTTAGCCGGGCTTGGTGGTGGGTGCCTGTAATCCCAGCTACTTGGGAGGCTGAGGCAGAGAATTGTTTGAACCCGGGAGGCAAAGGTTGCTGTGAGCTGAGATCGCGCCACTGCACTCCAGCCTGGGTGACAGAGTGAGACTCCATCTCAAAAAAAAAAAAAAAAAGAAAAGAAAAAATGATTTGAGTAGGAGGGGACAGCAGGTGGGAATACTTGCTTTTTTTAAAAAAAGACTTGATAACTGTTTGTGAGAATTGCTGATAAGAGACAATGACCTTGGGCAGTTTCTTAGCAGGGCAGGGGTGTTTTACTCCCCACACACATCAAATGACTGGCAGCTTTGTGTGATCCATATTCTGATTAGCTTTATATTTTAATTCAAAGCTGTTTCTCCTGGCAGGGCTCCGTGCTTTGCTGTTGCTGCCAAAAACTATGGGGATGGTGCCAGTTGGTTGGGGGGTTTTGATGGTAGTTTTTTCCAACACACAGAATATGTTCTTTCCTGTCAGCAGAGGTGCCTTTCAAACTGTGCATTACTGATCCTTTGAACATGCCCTCTGGAGTAGTCACCCCGAGTGTCTCCTCGGCTGTGTCTGGCATATCTGCTATTCTAGCAAGAAGGTGGACAGAACCATAGGGGAGGAGGGGCAGGGCAGAGCCGCCTTGGGGAAGGTCACAGGCTGGGAAGGGCAGGCATTGCTGTGGGGAGAGAAGTAGGGCTGTGCTCCTTCAAGACCCTTCTGCAGCCTCCACAGTCGCCCCAGGGACTCAGTGAGGGCCAGCCATCCATGGCAGCCTCCGTCCGGGACTCACCCGGCACAGAGTGAGCCGACTCTCTGCAGGTCAACTGGCAAATGAATGTATTGTGTGGTTCGTCATTATATACCTTACTCTTCAGAAGTTTCCCCTTCCTTCTTAAAATTGATCCCAGAAATTCTAGGAAACAAGGGTGGGGGATAAACAGCCCAGTGGTCACATAAACTGAGTTGGCAAAGGGGAAGGCTGGAGTGCAAGGATCCTGGCTTTGTTGGACTCATAATTCACTAGGAAAAGGAAAATGCAATTACCCAATTACTATTTATGGAGAGCTGGCTTTCTTTTCTCTCTTTTTTTTTTCTTTCTAAAGACAGGGTCTCACTCTGTCGCCCAGGCTGGAGTGCATTGGTACAATCATAGCTCACTGTAGCCTCGAACTCTTGGGCTCACGTGATCCTGTGGCTTCAGCTTCCTGAGTAGCTGGGACTACAGGCACATGCCAACCACACCTGGCTAATTTTTGTATGTTTTGTAGAGATGTGGGTTCTCACTATGTGGGCCAGGCGGGTCTCAAAATCCTGGGCTCAAATGGTCTTCCTGTGTCAGCTTCCCAAGGAGCAGGGATTTCAGGTATAAGCCACCATGCTGGGCCCATGGAGCGCTTACTCTATGCCAGATATTTAACATATTTCTTTCCTAATCGTCAGAACCCAGGTGACTTTAGTAACGACTGTCTGAGAAATGAAATTGAAGCTCAGACAGGCTTAGTTACTGTTTTTCTTTAACGACTCCACACAGCTAGTTATGGTATACCCAGGACCGCACCCCAAACCTGCTGGGCCTGCTCTCTACTATACTGAGCAGCCTGATTATCAAATAATGTGTTTTTACCACAATTAAAACAGGGTACTTTTATCATTTAAGCTTCCTGACAATTGTCAGTCTGGGGAAGCAGTGGGAAGCCTAAAGATCTTTGCATAGGGAGAGAAGGTAGGATGGGAAGTAGCTAGACATGTAAAAGTGGTACTAAAATCCACCTGGAGGCAGTGAAGTGCAGAATTAACATTGCTGAAAATTTAATCACTGATGGGAAAAGGACAGATGCAAGAGCTCTCCCAAAATACAACAGAAAAGAAGGGAGAGATGAAAACAATGGGGGTGAGAATACCAAATGAAAAGCAAAGAAAAATCCAACATTTATAGCTATTCCCAAGGAAGAGAAAAGCTAAATTCAAACAGATTATTTAAAGATACAGTCGTTGAAAACGTATGTTCTAAAACAAAACAAAACAAACCCTGTGAATTGCAGCCTGAAAGGAAAGCATGTACCACGTTCTGGATAAATATGAAAGCAAAGAGGCCCCATGGAAACATATCCATGCATAGCCCATGCATTTGTGTCTTCTCTCACCAAATAGCAGGAGCCCCAAAATATGTATGTGTGGGCCATAAACATGTTAGAACTCCAGTGCATTAAGAAAACTGCCTTTACAAAAGGTGGCAGTTGCAAAACTTTAAGCCATGAATTTTTCTTTTTTTAATCTAAAAGCAGATTTCATGTCATATTAGCAAAGGATGCTTAATTCCAAAGCATTAGCTCAGATAGGCAATTTTGGGTGGAAATGTCCCGGAGGTATTTTTGGTGACCTGACTGACCATTGCCCATCTACTTTTTTCTTTCTCTGATCCTTTTTTTCCTAACTTGCCCTGTGTTTTCTCCATTTTTAGGGTAAGCTTTGGGCCAGAAAGCACCTTTTTTTTTTTTAGACGGACTTTTGCTCTGTCACCAGGCTGGAGTGCAGTGGTCTCGGCTCACTGCAACCTCCGGCTCACTGCAACCTCCGACTCACTGCAACCTCTGACTCCCAAGCTATCTCCTGCCTCAGCCTCCTGAGTAGCTGGAATTACAAGGCATGTGCCACCAAGCCCAGCTAATTTTTGTATTTTTTTTTTTTTTTTTTTTTTAGTAGAGACGGGGTTTCACCATGTTGGCCAGGATGGTCCCGATCTCCTGACCTCGTGATCCACTTGCCTTGGCCTCCCAAAATGCTGGGATTACAGGCATGAGCCACCGTGCCCAGCCAGAAAACACTTTTTCAGACTGACTAGCACTGCTGGTGACACTCAGGGCCAAGCGACCTTCCTTGTGCATCCTACTGCAGCAGGGTAGGGCAGGAGGCCAGAAGCAGGGTCCTTGCAAGTGACCTGATAGGTCTGTGAGCATCTGGCAATACGGTGGCAGCCAGAAAATCTTACATGACTGTGGGCGGGAGATTCCAGAATTGTGGGAGAGAAGAATCTAGATGGGCAGGAGTATTTGGCCACAGTCCCAGTGAGTCAGGGTCTGCAGACCAGAGCCCCTAGGCTTGAGAACCAGGACAGTAACATGAAAGCAGCATTCCTAGACCCAGAAACCTTGCGCAGGCAGGTCAAGGAGCTGGGCTTGCAGAGGCAACAGGAGGAGGAGACCAGGGTCAGAGTTTGGACATCTTCACCTCAGACCGTAACTCAGGGTAAATGTAGGCAGGACAGAGACCACAGCACTGCTCGGATGACCATTCAGGCCTCCTGAATTCCATTCGGTTGAATTCAGTTTCTGAAATCTGTAAACCATTCTCCTTCCCTAAGAATTTCAAGTGTCATTCGTGCCATCATATCATCCAACACTGGACAGTGTATTCCTCTATCAATCAGCAACCAACAGGATAAACTAGTCCGGAACCCACATCTGCTCCCCTGTGTAATATTGGGTGAATTCAGTTGGGTGACTTCCTGTTTTCTAAATCTTCCTTTAATAGGATGTTGCTTTGTGTAGTTATATCTGGATATGGCCACAATTATTTCCTACAAGATAACTGTAGGCACAGGGGGGTATTGGATTTTTTTTTCCCCCAGCACGTAGTCTTGCTTTGTAGCCAGACTGGAGTACAGTGGTGTGATCTCGGCTCACTGCAACTTTCGCCTCCCAGGTTCAAGCAATTCTCCTGCTTCAGCCTCCAGAGTAGCTGAGATTACAGGTGCATGCCACCGTCCCCGGCTAATTTTTGTATTTTGAGTAGAGACGGGGTTTCACCATGTTGGCCAGGCTGGTCTTGAACTCCTGAACTCATGATCCACCCACTTTGGCCTCCCAAATTGATGGGATTGCAGGCATGAGCAACTGCACCTGGCCAGTACTGGAATCTTACATCTTCCTAATTATTAGTGGTGACAAGTGGGTACTTTCCATTCATTCCAGTGAGAAGCACTAGAACCTTAAAATTTCAGAATTGGATGAAAATAACAAAGATCACCCAGTTGAATCATATTTTTTTTTGTTCAGAAGCAAAAACTGAGGCTCAGAGACAAACTGTCCTGTCCAAGATTATACAGAAAATGGTAGGAAGAGTTGAGAAGTTTCTCAATAATGCCATGACTGTTGAATCATAGGAACAAAAGCCAAGAGATGGATCCTTACAATAGTTTAACAATATAAACCACATGGAACATTTCAAGAAAGAGTTAAACAATGATCTATGTTTAAAAGCTATCTCTACCTGGCATAGTATCTCACATCTATAATCCTAGCACTTTGGGGGTTTGAGGCAGGAGGATCGCTTGAGGCTGAAGTGAGCTGTGATCGCACTACTGCATGCCAGCCAGGGTGTCAGAACAAGACTCTGTCTCTAAAAATAATAATCACCATCATCTTTCTCATTAGAACACACATGCCAACCATCCCCTTCTCTGGCTACATTTTATAGTCAATGAGTGCTGTACGCAACCAACAAGCTTGTAACAACACTGCTGTATCATTCTGCTTTTATTAGAAGGCAATGTAAAAGAGTATTGACCTACACAGTTAGGCCAGAGGTACTAGCCAATCTCCATCCTCCAAGAAAAATGATCTCCAGTGGCTCAGAGCCACCTCAGTCCCTGTCCAGAGGCCGTTCGCCTGACTGGGACTGGACTGAGGTGGGCGGGGGTTCCAGGAGGGCATAAGATTCCTGACGGGACAAATATGTGTGCCAGGGCTAAACAGAACTGGCTGGAATGTTTTTCTTACCTCCCATTTCTACTTCATTATGAAAATGGTGGACTGGGCAGCAGTGAATGGGTCGATCTTGTGTGTCAGGTTATGTAATTACATAAACGACTGTATTAGCTTTCTGGGGCTATAGTAACAAGTCAGCATGAACTCAGCATGAACTAAGCAGCTTAAAACAACAGACATTTATTCTTCCAGTTCTGGAGTCTGGAATTCTGAAGTCAGGGCCATGCTTCCTTCTAAGGCTTGTGGGGAACCTGTCCCATGCCTCTCTGCTGGCTTCTGCTGGTGGCCGGAGATCCTTGGTGTCCCTTCCCTTCCGGCTGCATCACTCCAACTTGCCTCTTGTCCCCTGGTCTTCTTCCCACTGCATTTGTGTCTATTACCAAAACTCTCTCTTCTCCTAAGGATGCCAGTCATTGGATTTGGGGCCCACCCTAATCCAATGTGACCTCATCTTGACTATATCTGCAAAGACCCTATTTCCAAACAAGGTCCCATTCACGGGGATGGGGGTTAAGACTTCACCATATATTTTGGGGGAACACAATTCAACCACAAGTAGCATCCAAACAGCCTGCTTATTCTGTTCTTGTCTAAGCACTTCTGATAAAAAATAAAAAAATACATGTACAGATGCTTTATCCTTTTGGTGCACTATAGAGTATATCCAGGGGAGGCCAGGCCAGCCCCGGCCCCATTCTCCCGAACAAGAAAACAAACTCAGCGATGTTTGCTCACTTTCCTGCAGGTCCATCTGTATTTTCATGCATGTTAAGCCTCTCATTCAATTTACATTCATGACTTCTGTTTTTCTATGTCTCTCATGTCCTGGTTCCAACATGTACAATAAGTGAGGTGTGTTTTAAGCATCATCTCAGCCAGGAAAGGCTTTTGCTACCATTCCAAAGCCAACATGAAACTTCGAAACTTCATGTCAACAGGCCCCTGAAACCTCCTGAGATGATACAGAGGGAGTGCAGGGGTCATATGATAGATATTCGTTTTCAAGTACACCTTAATTTCTAAAAGTTTTCCATTTCTTCATTTGTTTTATTTTATGTACATCATTAAGGTCATACCCTTCATGACAGGTACTTGCTGAAATTGAGACTCTTCTCCCTTTTGAGCAGAGGTCATTTTCTCTTGACATTGAATTCCAGTATTTGTGCAGAAAAGAGGTGTCAATGAGGACTCCATGGATACTTTACTTTCAGTTGATCAGTATTGGCTCTGCTGCAGGGTGATTTTGGCTTCACACATAAATGTTGCAGTGGCATTTGTCCAGGGGAAAGCCCGCTTGGAGGCTGTAGGATGACCCTGATGGAGGCTGTCACTCAAACAGCTCCAGGTAGTCAGGCAGCTGGTCCTGCTGACCACAGGGATAGAGAAGGAGCTCCTTCCCCAGGGAAGTGATGGGTTCCTCCTGTCAATCAGAAGGCACGGGGTCAGATAGTGTAAGTAGTGACCACATGCTCTTCCTACTTCCTCAGAGGACATCACTAGCTGCCTACCCATGATTTACACAAAGCTTTTGTGGTTTATGATCATCTTAAAAGGCATTTTTCTTATCTACATGTGACCAGGTACTCCTTTCCCTTCAGGGCTTGAATTCTAACTTAAGGCCTATGAATTCTCATAGGTCAGGGGTCCCCAACCCCAGGGCCATGGACCAGTACCAGTCTGTGGCCTGTTAGAACTGGGCTGTATAGCAGGAGGTGAGCAGTGGAGTGAAGCTTCATCTGTATTTACATCTGCTCCCTGTCATTCACATTATCGCCTGAGCTCTGCCTCCTGTCAGATCAGTAGCAGCATTAGATTTTCATAGGAACACAAACCTTATTGTGAACTGTGCATGGGAGGGATCTCAGTTGTGCGCTCCTTAGGAAAATCTAATGCCTGATGATCTGTCACAGTCCCCCATCACCTCCAGATGGGACTGTCTAGTTGCAGGAAAACAAGTTCGGGGCTCCCACTGATTCTACACTATGTTGAACTGTATAATTATTTCATTATATATAACAATGTAATAATAAAATGCACAATCAATGTAATGTGCTTAAATCATCCTGAAACCATCCCCCAACACTGAGTCCATGGAGAAATTGTCATCCAGGAAACTGGTGTCACAAAGTTTGGGGATTGCTGTCATATGTGATCCATGTGGGTACAGCTTTTATTTTTTTGTTTTAGCATTTCCCGTATTCTCTGCCCCAGTGGGGTTCCCTGAGTATTTAAGGAAGAACTAGGTTCTAAGATAAATGAAATGTGATTAACAATCCTGATTATCAGGAAGAATTATCAAAGACAAGCCCCCACCCCTGTCCCCTCCCCAGTACTTGTCTCAGTCCTTTTCTTTGTAATTGTCATTCATTGTTAGAGCTGCTACAGGACAGTAACTCAGAAGGCAAATTAAGTTTATGCATTGCTTCACCTTGTGATATTCCACCAAATCCGCCAAGGTGGCATGCTGTAGCTGGTCCACGCCCAGGAAGCTGTAGGCGTCTGCAGAGGCATCGATGAGGAAATGTTTACAGCCGTCCTCCGACAGATAGGACAGGGCATAGCCTTTGATCCTTTCACTGACTCGGATGAGAAAACTGCCGGGCATGCCTGTGCTCAGAAGAAGTTCATTTGCTTTCTTGAGTGTGAGAATTCCTGTGGCAAAGCAAAAAAAGGCAGGTATTTCAGCCAAATCATTCCAGAAAATCCCCTCTGTTAAATCCAGCTGCATGGATATAGAGTCAATGACGCCTAAATAAGACACAATAAGAGCAATTTTAAGTCTGTTTTGGGCTTCTTAGGAATACGGAATATTCTTCTGGTATTTGCTAATTAGACATGAACAGGTTATAGAGGCAAACTGTATAAAAATCATGTATAGAGGTATACATGAGAGCTTAAATGTCAACCTTAAAAGAAGAATATATTTCTGGGCCAGGCGTGGTGGCTCACGCCTGTAATCCCAGCACTTTGAGAGGCCGAGGTGGGTGGATCACGAGGTCAGGAGATCGAGACCATCCTGACTAATACGGTGAAACCCCATGTCTACTAAAAATACAAAAAATTAGCCGGGCGTTTTGGCGAGCACCTGTAGTCCCAGCTACTCAGGAGGCTGAGGCAGGAGAATGGTGTGAACCCAGGAAACGGAGCTTGCAGTGAGCCGAGATCATGCCACTGCACTCCCTCCAGCCTGGGCAACAGAGCAAGACTCCATCTCAAAAAACAAAACAAAAAAAAAAGGAATATATTTCTACTTATACACCCATTTAGAGCAACACACAGGTGTTAGACGGTTTATAAGGGTCTAACAGAACGCCTTGATGGTCATCCTGGGAATGTTAGATCTGGGAGGGGATTTAAAGATACTCTCCCTAGGCTACCTCAGTTTACCAACAAGGACTCAATGGCCTGGGGAGTGATTTGACTTGGTCTAGGACAGTGGTTCTCAACCACTCGGACAAAGGTGTCCGAGAGACATCTTTGGTTGTCATGGATGGAGGATGGGGTTAGAGGTCAGGGATGTTGCTAAACAGCCTATGAGACACAGAACAGCCCCACACTGCAGAGAATTATCCAGCCCCAGATAGCAGTAGTGCTGAAATTGAGACTCCCTGGTGTGGGAGGCTCAGTAATTTAGTGACAGAGCCAAGTCAGACTCAGTTCTACTCAGTTCTATAAAGTACCTTAGCCTGTAGCTATTGCTAAATGACACTACACTGGCATTTAAAGGAATAAAACTATATGTGTGTCTTTATATACACATATGAAGTTATATATAGACATAGCTTAGATGCCTCAGGAATTCACACTCTTACTCCAGACCAGCCTTTTCCCCAGTTAGTCCAAACTCATGAGGTCTGACTCATGTTCCAAATTTTTTATTCCCATCATAATCCATCAATGAATAGATAATGCTGTAAAACTCACAGAGTAGAAACGCATCTTGGAAAGATGGGGAAGTCAATGAATTATTCAGTGAGCTGAGATCTGGGAGGGAGGAGCAGCGTTCTACGCGTGCCCTTTTTCATTTCAGCAAAGCTCTTGCCTTCTCTTGTTGGCTCCCTGTTGATACTCAGTACCTTATTATCAGGAAAACAAAACAATAACAGAACCACCTCAGGAAAAGGCAAGGGGCTGCCATAGCCCTTTTGTCTTGTTAGTACAGCTAATTGAGAAGTGAACTCTCTCCAGAGTAAAATAAAACCATGTCTGTTCTCTTTTCTGTAAACAGACCCTTGAATGACAGGAGGATTTTAAAAATTGTCTGTTTTCTTCTAGCCAAGATCATCCAACCAGACCTTCTCCTGCTTCCTATTTAGGAGAACACAGACCCCAGGTGTCCCACTGCAGAGTCCCAGTGTATGAAGGTCAACCCAGTGTGAGACCTCCAGGTAAGAGCTGGGAGTGGGTGAAAAGGCCAGTCTCCCCGACTTGCAGATAGTCAACATCCTCGAAACAGACCAGGGCCTTGCTCCTAGGGGCAGTGGCTCTATTACACTCATTCCCAGCAGACGACTGATGCACATGCATTGCATGTATCATGTCCAGTCGCTTTTCCACCCCTTCCCTGCTGAGACAGACCCATGGAACACCGTAGGTACCATGGACACAGAAAGCCTCTTGGTTCAGATGCTCCACTATCCCCATGAGGTACTCAAATCATGGCTAAGTTCCAACAGATACGGGCTGCTCCTTCTGTTTGTCTATTTCCCCTTCCTAAGCATACCTGGTCCCATTGATAAATTACAAATGACAACCATACGTTGAAACAAGGCGCCAGGTACCAGCCCATGCGGGGACTGCACATGGCAAATCTCTAAAGACACTGTATGAGACTGACTCCGAAACCCAGGGATGTTTTCAATGACCCTGAAAAGTCCCCTTCAGAAACAAGGAGCCACGACCGGAGGAGAAGCAGCATCTTGGAAAAAGATCTCTCCCTCCTCCTAGGCTGACGGCTCACTATGAAATTCCAGGCTGTTTCAACAGATGGGGCAGGTGTTACAATTTATGACATCTGGAAATTATCCAGATGAATCTGGATTCCTAAAATTAAAGCTATTCTGGAAATTTATAACCAAACCTCGGCTAAGTAAGGTCAAATTCCTTTTAAAATGAGGTCGTAGTGACTGTAACTGAAACTTTCCAAAAGCCCCTTAGCCTTACGCATAGATCTTGGTGCCATCTAATCTCCTGGGACACCAGGACCCAATCAATCATGTTGATGGCAAAGCACAGGTCATAGTGGAGACTCCTTGTACACCATGGGACAGAGGGCAGGTTCCAAAGGGCAGTGCCCTGGAGCCTAGGCTTTGAATGATCCAAGTGGTAGTTTGTCTTTGCTTTTTTTGCTTTGTAAGAGGATTACTATTCCTTAATAGCAAACTGGCTTGGTGCAGCTAAATACACAGGTCAATGTACAGTTTGTCATGAATCCATCTGTCATGAATCCATCAGGGGCACTGTGTGCATTTGGGGTGTCCTGGCTGTGATTACTGCCAAGCAATGAGGTTCATCTGCTGGGATAGGGAATTCTTGAGCACAAAACCAAAATCTAATGTTAGATATTGATTACTGAGGACTTATTCCACGTTTTCTTTTTTTTAAACAGTCACTCAAGCTGCAGTGCAGTGGTGCGATCTCGGCTCACTGCAACTTCTGACTCCTGGGTTCAAGCGATTCTCATGCCTTAGCCTCCTGTGTAGCTGGGATTACAGGAGCCCACTACCATGCCCAGCTAATTTTTGTATTTTTAGCAGAGATAGGGTTTTACCATGTTGGCCAGGCAGGTCTCAAACTCCTGGCCTCAAATGATCTGCCCACCTCGGCCTCCCAAAGTGCTGGGATGATAGTGGGATGATAGGCGTGAGCCACTGCACCCGGCCTCAGTCAACCTAACGGTACTTGTCCCCTGCATTGCCCTTTGCACAACTCTAAGAATTCTGAAGCAGGGGTCTTCATCCCAGCCCCTAAAGGCTATGACACATTGGTGCTGCTTCCCTCTGACCTGCCCTCTCTGCACAGCTTAAAGAAACCAAACCTGATGTCATAGGAGGATTTCTGTGCTAGAGAAAAGCAGTAATTTTTATTTGTTTTTTTAAGACAGGGTCTTACTCCATTGCCCAAGCTGGAGCAGTGTGGCACAATCTCAGCTCACTGCAGCCTCAACCTCCTGGGTACCTGGGACTGCAAGCACGTGCCACCATGCCTGGCCAATTTTCATAGAGATGGGGTTTCGCCATGTTGCCCAGGTTGGAATATTTTAGGCTATCAGTTTAGTGACCTATATCTTCACCCAGGCAACAGTCTGTTGATTTTAGAGTTGAATCCAGGCCAGGACTGGCAGAACTCTGGCAGCCCACAAGAAAGTAGATGTCACTGCGTGAGGTCTGATGGGCAGTGTCTGGCCCTGAAGAGCCTGGGGCAGAGCAGGAACTGAAACTCCTGAGCCTACACCCTACAAAACAGCAGCAGCACAAGGGTCCGTCGCAGCTGGAGGAGGTCCCACTCCTCTCTGTGTGTGATAATGAAAATATTGCCACATGTGCTACTGAACTCTGAAATAGGGCTTGTGATTCATTTTGATGGGAAAAGCCACATGTGTTTAGGGGCTACCCTAACTGGACAGCGTAGCTCTAAACCTCTCTAGAATAAACATTTTGCCCAGGAAAGGCCCCGGGGAAACATTTTTTGCATAGGAGATGGTAAACAGACCCAAGAGCCCAGAAGTAACTCAAACACCAGCAGGCTCTGGTTGGAAATCCAAGTGGCAGGGACTGCCCCACAGGGCAGTTCAATGGTATTTTTCTCCACAGCTTCCTCCTGGAAAACTCCTACTCACTCTGCAAGATTCAACTCCAGAACATGACGTGTCCTGATCCTAGTCTAGGCAGTCAGTCTCAGTTTCTCCTAGACCTGCTGAGCACCTGCTCCCACCTCCATCTGAGCACTCAAGTGGTCAATGCAGGGTTTCACCTGTACTTACCTCCATCTGTGTACTCAGCTAGTTTTCCCCTCCATCCAAGAATCCTCCAAGAATTCACAGAACCTTCTGCCATGACTGTCCTGCCCTCCCCCACTTCCATGTGAGCTCCTAGAGGCCAACTACTCCATCTTATTTATTTTTACACACTCAGCACCTGCCACTTAGAAGATGACCGAAAAAGAGTTTAATGAATGCTTGTGTCTTATAATCAAGTCTGAAACTTCCTTCTGTGGGACACTTCCGTGCAGCCACTGCCTCTATTCTAAGAATTGTGATCATAGGGACAAGAGATGCATTTCATTTTTCTTTGAAGTGCCACGAGGTCTAATATTATTTGGGTACATCTGTACAACTTCCTGTGTCTGGAAAATGTGTTTAAAAATCAGATGAAAGATGGCCAAATAAAGTTTGTATCACCTCCTTTTATCCTCACCGCAACCCTACATAGATATATTGTTATTATCCTCAAATAATTGGTGAGAAAACTTGCAAACCCTGCTTAAGGTCATTTGGGTAGGTCAGGAGAAGCACTGGAATTGGACCCAGGCTGGCTGACCTCAGAGCCCCTGCTCTCACCCATTCTCTCAGACAGAACACCTGCTTTGCCCTGGCATACCACACTGTTCAATGTGCTTCCACTGCATTTTAGAGTTGCTTCCTCTAAAAAGCAGAGCTGATATTATCGTCATCTGTATTTTATAGATGAGGAAACTAACGCAGAAAAGGCAAGTGCCCAAGCTTGCAGGATTAGCAAATGACACTTCCAGGGCTCTTGTCTCTTATTCTGGGGTTTTGCTTTTAACTCACTATGCTTTTTAACCCACTAGGCTCATGGAATTTTCCTGGAATGAGCCGAAAATAAAATGAGTCTTTATTTCACAAAGGGGTGTTCATTTCTCACCTTGGCAACTTAAAGAAGATGCATTTTTGATTGGTTACGTATGTGTAGTATGCCTTGATGTGGGGACAGTGCATCATGGACTCTTCCAACATCTGAGCTTAGCATTCATGCTGCTGAGGACTGAGAAGCTCCTTAATGAGTCAAGGATCAGAACTATTAGCGTTATTCATCCTCACTTCATTATCTTAAATGGCTAACGCTTATTAACTAGGGCTTATTATGTGCCACACAGTTCTTCATGCTTTACAAATATTACCAACAAATTACATGCACATATTGAGGCAGGAACAACCCTACTGATCTGCATTATACAGATCAGGGACAGAAGGACAGAGTCATGTGACTGCCTAAAGCCACACAAGTAATTAATGGGGAGACTCAGATTTGAAGCCAGGCACTGTGGCCCCAGGGACATGCTCTTAACCACTACTTACTTACTTACTTTCCCTTGGCATAAAGAAGTCAGGCATCATGATCTGGCTGTGTCAGAAGAAACTGTCCAGAAAGCATGTGATGGTACAAAAATAAAAAAGCATGTGATGGCCATGGCCAGATGCCGTGTCTCATGCCCATAATCCCAGCACTTTGGGAGGCTGACGCGGGAGGATCACTTGAGACCAGGAGTTTGAGACTAGCCTGGGCAACATGGCAAGACCCCATCTCTACAAAGAACAACAAAAACTATTAGCTGGGTGTGGTGGTGTACACCTGCATTTCCAGCTTGGCAAGACCCCATCTCTACAAAGAACAACAAAAACTATTAGCTGGGTGTGGTGGTATACACCTGCATTTCCAGCTTGGCAAGACCCCATCTCTACAAAGAACAACAAAAACTATTAGCTGGGTGTGGTGGTGTACACCTGCATTTCCAGCTTGGCAAGACCCCATCTCTACAAAGAACAACAAAAACTATTAGCTGGGTGTGGTGGTGTACACCTGCATTTCCAGCTTGGCAAGACCCCATCTCTACAAAGAACAACAAAAACTATTAGCTGGGTGTGGTGGTGTACACCTGCATTTCCAGCTTGGCAAGACCCCATCTCTACAAAGAACAACAAAAACTATTAGCTGGGTGTGGTGGTATACACCTGCATTTCCAGCTTGGCAAGACCCCATCTCTACAAAGAACAACAAAAAGTATCATCTGGGTGTGGTGGTATACACCTGCATTCCCAGCTGTTCAGGAGCCTGAAGTGGGAGAATCACCTGAGCCCAGACAGTCAAGGCTGCAGTGAGTTGTGATCACCCCACTGCATTCCAACCTGAGTGACAGAGCAACACCCTGTCTTTTTTTTAAAAAAAGCATGTGATAACAAATGTTTGATGACAAACACATGGCTTTTAAAATACTAAATTAAACAGTAGAACCCCTTTTCTATTCAAAATTCCAAGTGAAACCCCCAAAGCAGACTCTCTCTTCTTAGGTTCTCACACACCCACTGTACCTGCCCCTTGCCTCTGAGGCCCCTCTAGGCAACCTCAGGACTCCAAGAGCAGGACAGGGAACTACAAGGGTCCAGTCCTGGGCATGTGTAGTGGGAAGCTTGGGGCTCCCGGGCACAGCCACTGCCATCCTCTGATAGTGTCAGGATGAGGACTCAAGTGCATCATCTGCAAAAACCCAAGTAAGAGCCTGGAGCTAATGGGCTATTCCCCACATTACTGGCAAACACAGTGACATTTTTGCAGGAAGCCTGCTGCACTAATTTATGAGAAAAGTCAGCTTCTTCCAGGAAAAAGCCAGCATTACATAGAATGTTCTGCAGAAAAGCTAGCTCTTCCCAAATCCGAATTAATGTGTGTAGTTTTAGCCTCTTTGTTTCATCTTCTCCAGCTGCTTTACAATCTGAACAAATACTAGGCAATTTTATAGGGGGACCATGGAGGATAATTTGGACAAAACGTGCTTTGCTTTAATGACATTAATGTAGGTGAAGCCTTCATACTAAAAGGAGCCCTGCCTGGGAATGGACTTCCAGCTGTCCTTCTCTGCCACACACCGGCAGTGATATATGATTGTTGCTGGCCACAGCCTCTCCACGCCATAAAATGTGTGAGTCATCCATGTAAATGAGGCAGGATATATGTGTCATCTGAGGTTTAAGAACAAAAAGGCTTTGAGAAATCACATAAATAACTACTCTGTGCTCAGTGAAGACAGAAGCTTGAAAATCCCTTTGTGACAGGTGGGCAGAATATTGATAGCCCCACAATTAAGAAATCTCCATTCTTCAGCAAAATAGTAGAAGGATAGATGATCACTTAGGGGTAGTGACTCAGGTCTGCTAAGATCTTAGACAGAAAGAAATTTTGGGAAGCCTCCATGAGCCCTTCTTAATGCAACCTATTCAGTGACATATGCTCTGTTGGGGGTGGTATCTGGTCCCCGTTTTGAAGGAGCTGTGTATGACAAACTGTCAGGAGTAGAAGAAGGGAAGTTGGGAGGAGTGGGACACAGGATTCCACCTTAAAACCATCTCTAGGGAACAACAATTCCAGAGAATACCTCCAAGAGGTTCAGAGTGACCCTCTGAAGAGTCAGTAGGATGTATCAAAAAATGGAAGAAATCAAAATAGCTGAAGTGTGGCCAGGCGTGGTGGCTCAGGCCTGTAATCCCAGCACTTTGGGAGGCCAAGGTGGGTGGATCACTTGAAGTCAGAAGTTCAAGACCAGCCTGGCCAACATGGTCTCTACTAAAAATACAAAACTTAGCAGGGTGTGGTGGCCCATGCCTTGTAATTCCAACTACCTGGGAGGCAGAGGCAGGAGAATCATTTGAACCTGGGAGGTGGAGGCTACAGTGAGCTGAGATCGCATCACTGCACTCTAGCCTGGGTAGTGGAGCAAGACTCTGTCTCAAAAAAAAAAAAAACAAAAAAACAGCTGAAGTGTGAACTATATTGCTATCCCACCAAAGTAAAAAGGATGTGCTTGCTAAGTAGATTAAAATATAAAATACTGGGACCAAAGCACGAGGAGGGTAGGTTCAGTTGTATGCCATGACAGCAAAAGACAGCCACAAGAAACAAATCAAGATGGAAAGATTTCATCAACAGTCTAATTACATCCACATTTGAGTAAGAGTGTTCATTAAATTTCAGAGGAATAATGATCAACTATTGATACATAAAGCAAATATGTGAATTTTTGTCTAAATCATAAACTTGTTTATACACAGATTTCTTTTTACCCATCTTCCCACTCCCAGTCCCTGCCAGTTTCTGAGCTGCAATAAACTGCTGTATTTTTAGCAGAAGTAGGAAAATGTTGATAGAATGAAGAAATGAACCTGTGGGTTTCTGGACAGAACTTCAGATCTCAATTTTATTTATTCTTTGGCCCTGTCTTGGGGAACTTTAAAAGCATGTTAGTGGGTAAAATGAATTATGTATCTACACACTTTGGAGACTCATAATCTGAAGCCAGAATAACTGGGATGACTCTTCAGTCAGCAGGATGTTAAATTTGGCCAGAAGGACTTTCCAACATTACTTACTTAGTTTACAAATATTACAGACTGTAAGGTCTTTCTTAATGTTGGAATCTGGCTATCAGATGCAAGAATAAAATGAATAAAACAAGGATTGCATGTGAAGGTCAAGACAGTCCGGAACTGAAAAAATGGGTGTTCAAGGACAATGGGATAAGAAGAGATAAAGGGTGACAAAATCAGGCAGACTTAAGCAATTACAATATTTAGAAGATCATTAATCTAGAAAATGGTGGCTATTCCTTTAGCAATGCTAAGACTCACCCCTGTCTCTTTGCACCATCCCTCCCAAACCCAAGCTCAACCTTAACCTGCAATGTCCTGGCAAACTTACCCAAAAAACTTCATTCTCTGTTGGTGAGGGTGTTGACCCTCTGTCCTTCCAAATTACTGTTGCCTTCTGAGGTGACCTCCTAGCTTTTAAAGACAGGCCCTAAATAAACACTTGTAGAAATAACATAGGGCAGTTTTTGCAGTAATTACAATCTATTTTACTGAAGTGCTGCTTAGTTACACTGTTACTCAAAATGATACGAAAAGAAAGGGGAACAGGAGAGATGAACTTAAACTGCACAAATCTGATAAACCAAAATAACAAACACCACCTATTAGGTACTGTTCTAAGCACTTTACATATCAGCTGATTTACTTTATAAAAACAACCCTATGACATAGATGTATTAGTATTATCCTCATTTTACAGAGAAGAAAATCCAACTCAAACCTAGGTAATCTAGTGATTACATTTTAAAAATCCCTCCTCCTTAATTTTTTCCCCCTTTTGGCAGCCAGACATTAAAGACTAGGGCATTCAAAAATAATTGCATATATGCGGAAAATTATGACTATTCATGGCCATGTAAAGATACAGGCTAAAAAAGAAGCTGTGAAGACTGTAAGTTTATACCTCAGGCTGATCCTTGACATAGAGAAAGCCTATAACAATAAAAACAAAAAAAAATAGTAAACCTTCGGGAAGAGGAAGAATCACATTCCCAGAGTTACCGCATTATTACATTCAAATACCCAGTTTTCAGCAAAAAGTCACAACGCATGAAAATAAAAAGGAAAATATGGCCCATTCAAAGGAAAACAAATCAGAAACTGTCACTGAAAAAGACCCAATGACAGATCTACTCAAAGACTTTACGTATGCACAAAATGTAAGTATAAAGAGAAAACCTAAAATAAAAAAAAAAAAACCAAGAACAAATCCTAGAACTGAAAGTATAACTAAAATGAAAAATTCACTAGAGGAATTCACAGGCAGATTTAAGCAGGGAGAAGAAAGAATCACTGAACTTGAAGATAGGACAATGGATGTTACTGAGTTTGAGGAACAGAAAGAACAAAATAAAGAAAAGTGAACACAGCCTACCAGACCTACGGAACAGCATCAAATGACCCAATATACATTTTGTGGAACTATCAGAAGGAGAAGGGGGCAGAGAGAGTATTTGAAGAAATAATGAAAACTTCCCAAATTTGATGCAAGACATTATATAAACATCCAAGAAATTCAATGAAATCCAAGTGAGATGAACTTAAAGAGACCCACACTGACACATAATACAATCAAATTGTCAAAAGACAAAGATTGGCCAGGCATGGTGGCAAGTGCCTATAGTCCCAACTACTTGACAGGGCTGAGGCAGGAGAATTGCTTGAACCTGGGAGGTCAAGGCTGTAGCGAGTCAAGATCACTCCACTGTACTCCAGCCAGGATGACAGAGTGAGACCCTGTCTCAAAAAAAAAAAAAAAAAAAAAAAAAGAATCTTAAAAGCAGCAAGAGAGAAAAGAGAGAGAAGCAACTCATCACATACAAAGGATGGTCAATAAGATTATCCCCAGATTTCTCATCAGTAATTTTGGAGGACAGACAGCAGTGGGCCAATAAAGATGCTCCTCAACTTATGATGGCAGTACATCCTGATAAACCCAGCATAAGTTGAGAATATTATCAGTCAAAAATGCACTTAATACACCTAACTTACAGAACGTCATAATTTGCCTAGCCTACCTTAAACATGGTCAGAATATTTACATTACCCTACAGTTTGGCAAAATCATCTAACACAAAGACTATTTTATAAGCGTTGAATATCCCATGTAATTTATTGAATATTGTATTGAAAGTGAAAAACACAATGGTTGAACAGGTACTTGAAGTATGGTTTTTACGGAATGTGTATCACGTTCACACCATCATAAGGTAGAAAAATCTTAAGTCAAACCATTGTAAGTGGAGGACTATCTGCATATTCAAAATACTGAAAGAAAAATAACTGTCAATCAAGAATCCTACTGATTCTTGATTCTTTTGGCCAATCCTGGCAAAACTGTCCTTTAAAAGTGAGATGCAAATTAAGACATTTCTGGGTAAACAAAAGCTAAGGAAGTTTGTTACCACTAAACCTGCCATGCAAGAAATGTCCAAGGATGTTACATGGTGAAATGAAAGGATGCAGACAGTAACTCAAAGCCAAATAAAGAAACAAGTAACTCAATAAAGGTAAATACATAGGCAATTATAAAAGCTAGTATTATAGTAACATGGTTACTATCAAAATTAATCCAGCAGCATATCAACAGGATTATATACCATACCAAGTAGGAGGAATGCAAGATGGTACAATATATGAAAATCGATCAATGTAACACACCGTATTAACAGGATAAATGAAAAAAAAATACATGCTCATCTCAATTAATGCAGAAAAAGCATCCGACAACATGCAATACCCTATCATGATAAAAACTCAGCAAACTAGGAAGAGAAGGAAAGTCCCTCAACATAGTAAAGGCCATGTATGAAAAACCCACAGCAAACATCATACTTATGTTGAATGACATTTCTTCTAACATCAGGAATAAGGTAGGGATGCCCACTTTTGCCATTTCTATTCAACTATTCCTGTAAGTTCTAGCTATAGCTGTTAGATAAAATAAATAAAAGGTATTCAAATTAGAAAAGAAGTTAAATTATCTCTGTTGTCAGATGATACAATCGTCTATGTAGAAAACCAGAAAGATTCCACAAAAAACTGTTAAAACTAATAAATGAATTAAGCAAAGTGGCAGGATACACAGACAACACACAAAAATCAGTTGCATTTCTATACACTAACAACACTCTGAGAAGGAAATTACAAATCAAATTCCATTTACATTATCATCAAAAAGAATACTTAGAAATTAACCAAGGAAGTGAAAGACTTATACAATAAAAACTATAAAACACTGATGACTGGACACAGTGGCTCATGCTTGTAATCCCAGAACTTTGGGAGGCTGAAGCAGGTGGATCACTTGAGGTCAGGAGTTCAAGACCAGCCTGGCCAACATAGTGAAATCCTGTCTCTACTAAAAATACAAAAATTAGCCAGGCATGGTGGTGGTTGCCTTTAATTCCAGCTACTCAGGAGGCTGAGATGGGAGAATTGATCGAACTTGAGAGGTGGAGGTTGCAGTGAGCAAAGATCATACCACTGCACTTCAGCATTCCAGCCTAGGCAACAGAGCAAGACTCCGTCTAAAAAAAAAAAAAACTACAAAACATTGCTGAGATAAAGAAGACATAAGTAAATAAAAACACATCCCATGTTCCTGGATTAGAAGACTTAAGACAACAATACTATGCAAAATGATATACAGATTCAATGCAATCCCTACCAAAATCCCAACATTTTTTGTAGAAATAGAAAAACCCATCCAAAAATTCATGTGGAATCTTGAGACCCCAAATAATCAAAACACTCCCGAAAAAGAAGAAAAAACAGGAAGACGTCACACATACTCATTTCAAAACTTACTACAATGCTACAGTAATCAAAACAGTGTGGTACTGGCATACAGACAGACTTATAGACCAATAGATTATAATAAAAAACTCAGAAATAAAAATGCATAGACATGGTCAAATGATTTTTGACAAAGGTGCTAACACCATTCAGTAGGGAAAGGGCAGTCATTTCAACAAATGGTGCTGGTAAAATTGCATAACCGCATGTGAAAGAATGAAGTTGGACCCTTATCTAACATCATATATAAAAATTAACTCAAAAGGGATCAAAGACTTAAATGTAAGACCTAAAACTGGAACACTTTTAGAAGAAAACAGAGGGCCAAATCTTCACAACATTGGATTTGGCAGTGATTTCTTAGATATGACACCAAAGGCACGAGCAACACAAGAAAAAAAGAGGCAAATCGAATTTCATGAAAATTAAAGCATTTTATACATCAAAAGACACTCTCAACAGAGTAAAAAGGCAACTCATAAAACAGGCGAAAATATTTTTAAATTAGATATCTAATAAAGGATTGATACCCAGAATATACTGTATAGAAAACTCTCATAATTCAACAAGAACCCAATCCAAAACTGGGCAAAGAGTTCAAGTAAACATTTGTCAAAGAAGATATACAAATGGCCAATAAGCAAATGAAAAGGTGCTCAACATTACTAGTCATTAGGGAAATGCAACTCAAAACCGTAATGACATATGACCTCACACCCACTAGGATGGTTGCTATGAAAGAGAGAGAGAAAAAAAGGATAACAGGCACAGTGACTCATGCCTGTAATCTCAGTTCTTTGGGAGGCTGAGGAGGGAGGAATGCTTGAGGCCAGGAATTTGAGACCAGCCTGAGCAACACAGTGAGATCCTGTCTCTACAAAAAATAAAAAAATTAGCCAGTCATGGTACTGGAACTTGTAGTTCCAGCTGCTCGGGAGGCTGAGGTGGGAAGATTACTTGAGCCTAGGAGTTTGAGACTGCAGTGAGCTCTAAGTGTGCCACTGCGCTCCAGCCTAGGCAACAGAGCAAGACCCTGTCTCTTAAAAGAGAAAAAAGGAAAAAGAAAAATAACAAGTGCTGGCAAGGATGTGGAGAAGCTGAAATTCTTGTGCACTGCTGGTGGGAAGGTAAAATTAGTATGGCATAGCCACTGTTGGTGGGAAGGTAAAATAGTATAGCATAGCCACTATGGAAAACAGTATGGCCAGTTTCTATAAAGTTCAACCGTAGAATTACCCTATAATCCTGAAATTCCACCTCTGGGTAAATACCCAAAAGAACTGAAAGCAGAGTCTGGAAGAGCTATTTCTACACCTGTGTTCTCAGCAGCACTATTCACAATACCTGAAACATGGAAGCAACTCAAGAGTGCATCAACAGATAATGGGTAAGCAAACTGTGGCCCATCCATAGAAGGGAGTATTATTCTGATTTGAAAAGGGAGGAAATTCTGACATGCACAACAACATGAGTAAATCTTGAGGACATGACACTAAATGAAATAAGCCACTCACAGAAAGACAAATACTGTACAGTTCTACTTATATGAGGTATTTAGAATAGTCAGATTCATAGAGAAAGCACCATGGTAGTTGCCAGGGGCTGGGGGTTGGTGGTGAATGGAGCATTATTAAATGGGTAGTTTCAGTTTTACAAGGTGAAATAACTTCTGCAGATGGATGGTGGTAATAGCTGTAGAAATTTTTTTTTTTTTTTTTTTAAGGCAGGGTCTGTCTTCCAAGCTGGAGTGCATGGCGTGATCTTGGCTCACTGCAACCTCTGTCTCCTAGACTCAAGCGATCCTCCTGCCTTAGCCTCCCAGGCAGCTGGGACTACAGGCATGCACCGCCATGCCTGGCAATATTTTTTTTTTTTTTTTTTTTGGAGAGATGGGGTGTTGCCATGTTTTTTTTGTAGAGATGGAATTTGCCATGTTTAAGTTGCTGATCTCAAACTCCTGGGCTCAAAGGATCCGCCTTCCTTGGCCTCCCAAAGTGCTGGGATTATAGATGGGAGCCACCACACATGACCAGTTGTACAGTATTATGGATATATTTAACACTGAATGGTACACTTAAAAACGGTTGTCCCAGCCATTTGGCAGGCTGAGTAGGGTGGATCACCTGAGGTCAGGGGTTCGAGACCAGCCTGGCCAACATGATGAAACCCCATCTCTACTAAAAATACACAAGTTAGCAGGGCATGGTGGCAAGCCCCTGTAATCCCAGCTACTCAGGAGGCTGAGGCAGGAGAATTGCTTGAACCTGGGAGGCAGAGGTTGTAGTATGCCAAGATCGTGCCACTGCACTCCAGCCTGGGCAACAAGAGCGAGACTCCATCTCAAAACAACAACCAAAACAACAAAGAACTGTGAAGGTGGTAATTTGTATATAGTGCATACTTTTACATAATAAATAGAGTCTCCATGTCTATTCTATGCAAAAATAAAATATGGGTGGATTGTGCATGATACAACAAGCAGAAACTATAAAGGAAAAATAGCTAAATTTAACCTCATTGAAATGAAAAACTTATCTCCCTTAAAATGTGTCAAAAGACTTAAAAGACAAGTCACAAACTAGGAGAATATATATGTAACCCATATAATTGACAAAGGATCAGTCTCCAGAATATGTAAAATCCTATAGGTCAATATAAAAAATCAATTCATTAGAAAAATCGTCAAAAGATCTGTATAAGTAATTACAGAAGACCTACTCATCCAGCCAGTAATATATGAGCTCAGTCTCACTATAAATTAGTACAAATTAAAATAAGAAGATTCCATTGTGAGGAATGGAAAATGAGAATCTGGCAGTATCAAGAACTGGCAAGTACATAGGGAAACAAATTCTCAAGTACAGCTGGTAGGAGTATATACTGGTATAATCAGTTTCGTGGGCATGTAGCAATATGCAGTGTAACTAAAGATGCACATATCCTACCTCCTAGGAGTTCTGATTCTAGATATATACTCTGAAGAAATGATCATATGTGTTTACAGCGAGACATGTTCAAGGGTGTATACATCATCTTCTGTAAGAGCAAAAAAGTTATAGCAAATGTAGGAGAGATGAATAATGATACGTGTGTAATATATGTGTGTGTATATATATATAATGTATATAATAAAACACTGCATGATAGGTAAAATGAATGAGCCTGTCTATGTGTATAAGCAAGGACAAATCCCAGGAACAATGTTGGGGGAAAACAATATGTGTAACATGATCCCATTTAAATGTTAAACACAATACTGTATATTTTTATTACAATATATATGTTTACAGCATATAAAATATGGATGGAAATCACAGCTTCAGAAGAGCAGTGAAGGATACAAGGAAAGGAAATGGGATTAAAAAGAAAACTAACAAAGGGGACCTTAATTCTATATGGCAGATTTTCTTTTCTGAGATGGAGTCTTACTCTGCTCCCAGGCTGGAGTACAGTGGCTCCATCTAGGCTGACTGCCAGCTCCGCCTCCTGCGTTCAAGCAATTCTCCTGCCTCAGCCTCCCAAGTAGCTGGAACTACAGGTGCCTGCCACCACATCCAGGTCATGTTTGGATTTTTAATAGAGACGGGGTCTTGACATGTTAGCCAGGCTGGTCTCGAACTCCTGACCTCAAGTGATCTACCTGCCTTAGCCTCTCAAAAGCACTGGGATTACAGGTATGAGCCACCATGCCCGCCCTGGCAAGTTTTACTTCTTAAGAAAAACAGATATGAAGTAAATATGGCTGTTAATATTCATTACACCTGGAGAACAGATACAACATTTGTTATATCACTGGTGTTGTATTTTTCTTGGTACTTTGTGTTTAAAATATTCCATAAGAAAAATCATTTTTTAATGAAGTAAAGGGAAAAAATTAAAATTTGTATGATCTTTCATGCCTGTGGTTTTGAGGATTTCTGAGATGATTTTGCCTGATTACATTCTGAGAACTTAAATCTAGCTTCATTAAGGAGACAACTAACTGCTCATCTGAATGTTGTCTATAGCAAGCAGACCAGCACAGTCTCACCAAGAAAGTTGCCTTCATGCTTAATTTTATGGGTCAACTTGACTGGGCCATGGTCCCAGATATTTGGTCAAAAGTTATTCTGGATGTCTCTGGGAAGGATTTTTTGGACGAGATTTGTTTTATATTTTATTATTATTATTTTGAGACAGAGTAGCACTCTGTTGCCCAGGCCTGGAGTGCAATGGCACAATCTCAGCTCGCTATAACCTGTGCCTCCTGGGTTCAAGCAATTCTCCTGCCTCAGCCTCCCGAGTAGCTAGAATTACAAGTGTGCACCACCATGTCCAGCTAGTTTTTGTATTTTTAGTAGAGATTGGGTTTTGCCCCATTGGTCAGGCTGGTCTCAAACTCCTGACCTCAAGTGATCCGCCTGCCTCGGCCTTCCAAAGTGCTGTGATTATAGACATGAGCCACTGTGCCTGGTCTTGGATGAGATTTAAATGGGAGGACTTGGAGTAAAGCAGATTACCCTCCATAATGTGTGTGGGCTTCGTCCAGTCAGTTGAAGGCCTTCCTACGTCAAAGGCTGACCTCCCCCTGAGCAGGAAGGGATGCTGCCAGCAGGGGGCATTTGGATGGGAATAGCCATTCCTCCCCGCATCTCCAGCCTTCCCTCCTACCTTGTCAGATTTGGGACTTACCAAGCCTCTGTAATCACGTGAGTCAATTCCTTAAGAAGTCAGCCAAAGGAAGGTGTGCAGGAAGAGCAACTGCAAGAACCCTAAGGTAGGGACAAGTGTGGTGTGTCTGAGGGATGGAAGGGAGGCCTGGAGAGGTGACCGAGGCAGGTACAGTGGCTTGAGATGGGACTGGAGCAATAGACAGGGGCAGATCAAGTAGGCATTGTGGATCACAGGGAGGAGTTTGGAACTTTTTCATTGTAAATCTTAAATTTACAATTGTATAAATTTATGGGATACCAACTGATGTTATGATATATGAACCCAATGTGGAATAATTAAATCAAACTAATTAACACATCCATCACCTAAAATACTTAGCATTTTTTTTCTGGTGAGAACATTAGAAATTTACTCTTTTGGCACTTTTGAAACACACAATACTCTATTAACTACATTTATCATGCTGTGAAATAGAACACTCTGTTCTCTTCTCTGCTTCCCTAACCCTCCCCATCCCCTATGTTCCTTCTCTCCATTGATAGCCCAGCCACCTTCCTCCCAGCCACAAAAGCCAGAAATCCCAGTCTTCAATCACTTTGTCCTCTCCTACCCACTCACATCCTTACCTTGAGCTTAATTGAGAGAAAAAGATGAAAGCATAAAACTTTGTGGAGTGAAAAATTAGGCAACCAAAATAGCATCTTATGAAGGGTAACTCATGGTGGATGTGACAAAGAAAAGATGATAAACCTATAAAGGGCTACCATCCTAATATTTCAGAACAGGCTTCCCGGTGATAAGCGATTATATTTCAAAGAGATAAGATGTGATGCATATTCTCTTTATCATGAAAATGTGAAACTGTATCTTCTTGAAACTGAAAATAAAGATGTATACTGACTATATGGCTATGTAATGGTTATTAATTATACAGTTTTATTTTGCTTATGAGTCTGAAAAATATGTGTACAAGTGAAAATAAATTGATAAGAATGCAAGTTATTTTACGTAAAACTCAAGAGTCATATTTTTTAACCAAACCTCCAACTCGATTTTTAGTCTCTGTCTTCCTAGCTTTCAGCCTTTCAAACAGAACTGCCTGTTAAAGTACCAGGGCTTTTAATAACAACCATCATTTTCCATTTCTTACTCCCTGCTGTTAAAAAAACTACCCTTCTTATAATCAGAGATGACAGCATCTTCTGTCCAAAGATACAGAAACTACAAAGTGGCTGATTTCCTCGGTGCTTATTTTAAAAAGGAAAGCAAGGCATTATTAGACAGCTGAGACAGCCGCGGCTAATGCATAATTGGCCCATGTTCTTTCTGTTCATCTTTGACACCATCATCTCTCTCTCATTGTCTTCAAGCAGAAAGGAAGGAGGCTTGCAACCTCATCCTGGGAAGGAGAGGGGACTCCTCTGAGATGGATACTTAACAAAGTCTGAATCACCAAAGAACACATACTTCCAAGAGACGCCAGACAGTTCTTCTGTGACGTTCTGACCACACAAGCAGCGCTTTAGGAGAAAGCCTGTCACAAATAGCTATTCCTTTTAGAAGAGTTTCCCATGATATGTGTTTGGGAGTTTCCTTTTTGTGGGTATATTTCTGTGTGAGATGATACTACTTTGAGGAAAGATGCCTTAAACATAATGCAAACCAAGACATGCTTAGGACAAACATACTCTGGGAGGGGACTGTATTTTTGTTTTAAAGCACCTTTTGTTGTCCATATAGCCAATTAGTCCAATTCAACCACAGACCTTATGGAAGTCAACTAAGGCAAGAAGCCACTCACTTTTCTTGAGATCCAAGAAACAGAGGGGCCTGTGAAGTATCTGCTGGGTGGAAGAGGGGCTTGAATCAAGTTTCTTGGGTCAAATACAGAAAATGTTTACTAGCTGATATCTGCTCAGGATCCAACCACCTATGTTACACACTCAACTACATACTGGAAGCAAGGAATCAAAACTACAGAAGTTTTCACTTCCAAGACCACAAAGTTCAACTCCTTCATTTAACAGATGGGGAAAATGAGGCTTAAATTGATTTCCTACGGAAAAAGTAATGATTTGTTCAAGGTTGCTCAGCCAGTGTCCTGTCCAGCACATTCCCACACCCATGACTGTGTGTCCCTCGGTGAAAGGAAGACGTGGCCATTTGATGGAAGTCACAAACAAGCACCCTAGTGGTAAGTCACCAGGAATGCCTCTTTGCCCTCCCATCTGATGCATTTTATTTGTGGTGATAAGTCTGCCCCACAGTGCATACAGTGCCCATGAATGCTGACTGCTTTCTAAACAGTCATGAGAATGCAGCTTACTGAGGCGTCTTTGAAAAACTGCTTTGTGAAATAATCTGAAAGACTCTTTTTGGGCAGCACCAATAAATGGAAGCTTTTATTCTGGCTTCCTGGTAGATTAGCACAGCTTCATCCGCCCTAAGACGAAACACCATTGAGGAAATCTCTGCACTCACCATGGAACCAGGGGGCTATGGTGTCTGAGGTTTTCTGGTAGCCCGCTCGAAGTGGTAGCTGCTCCTCTTTAAACCACCGGATGATGTCCTCTTGGGCAGAGCTGGACAGTGTCCTCACCACTCCCTGATTTCTGTTATTTATAAAAGTTTTTCAAGTTAGATTTAACTAATTTGAAAATAATGCCCTCAAAAGTCATATATATATATATATATATACACACACACATACATATACATGCATATATATACATGCATGTCTGTAGACACCAGAGGTGCTTTATACATGCAAATATATATACATATATATATATATACACATGTGTGTGTGGGGGTGGGGGGAGAGAGAGAATGGGAGGGAGAGGGAATTATACACATTTCCAGATCTAATTCAATGACCTCAGCTAACAGGAGGCTGGAGCCCTGACACACTACCATTATACACCTCCTCAAGGGCAGAAGAGGAAGGAATATAAATCTGTCACTTGTGCTTCCAGTCTTAAAGGGCTAGTTATAGAAATGAGCCACTGCTGTGTTAACACACAGATTTAAGTTCATTTGTATAGGAATTATAAGCTCCATTAACTTCCAATTAACATCTGAGAAAATAAGCATTAAAAGGCAAAATACACTTTTACCCCAGCACATTTTCCTGGAAAGCAGGTATTTGCAAACAATAGAAATCAAATGCAATAAGATAGATTTCTTTCCTAATGTTTGCATTATTTGATTTTCTCTTCTCTTTCCACTAACCTCCCTGACTTGCTTTATCCTCTTCCACACTTTGATGACATTTAGTTCTGCTAAAAAAAAAAAAAAGTAAAGAAATACAAAGTAAAAGGAAGAAGAGTATTTGAAGTTTGAAAAGACAAAGATACAGGCAGCAGAATCATTTTGAAATAGATTCAGTAGCAGAACCTAAGTTCTAGGATGTAAGTCAATTTCTACTACAAAGAGTAACCTTGCAATGTAATAAACAGACTTCCAAGTCCTACTCAACAGCGTACTAATTTTGAGCAGAATTCAATTTAAACACAACAACACCACTGCAGTCAGTGAACTATCCTGTCTGTAGAGGCACCTGCTGGGAGACAAGCGTCTATCTGAGCCAATGAGATGTGCTCTCCAGCCACTCTCCAAAAACAGATGCTGATGGGGTCCAATATCAGCTCCATCCCCTCCCACCACTAAAGCCAAGGAAGTATCCATTCCCTGCAGGGATGCACTAGGAGACACACTTGTCTGGGTCATTAAAACAGTCTTCTGTACTGGAGTCCCTGACCAGCTTTCCCACACAGCCCCTGTACCCTCCTTGAGTTCTTCCTCAGGTCCATCAGGGAGGGAGAGCTGTGTAAATCATAGAGCCCTTGGGAGAGCTGCAGCAAGCCTGGACTTGGAGCGCCCTCTAGTGCTGAGATGGCTGCAGTGGTCACAGGCTCAGGAAACAATTTAAGAATTCTAAGTTGCTTTAGAATTTCTGGAAGGGCCTCTGAAAGACAGGCACAAATAAAGCCAGGCTGTGGAGAGTGGAATAAAAGCCTAATCCTTAAATGTGCAGATATTGTCACACATACACAAGCATCAAGAAGACTCAGGACAATATGACCTCACCAAGTGTACAAAATAAGATACCACAGGTCAAGCCTAAAGTCATAGAGATGTGTGATCTCTGAAACAATTCAAAATAGCTGTTTTAAGAAAGCTCAACAAACTTCAAGAAAGAACAGAGTCAATTCAAAAATTTATCAGGGAAATGTAGCAGAAAGACTGAAGTAATTTTAAAAAATCAAATCCTGGAGCCGAAAAATGCAATGAATAAAATGAAAAATGCAATAGAGGGTTTCAACAGTACACTTATTAGTGAGCCAGAAGACAGGCTATTTGAAAATACACAGAGATAAAAAAGAAAACAATGACATGAAGAAAGCTTATGGGGTCTGTGGGACAACATCAAAAGAGTAAATATTGGAGTTATTAAAGAGGGAATTCAGGAAGACAAAGGGGTTAAATGCTTATGCAAAGAAATAATAACAGAAAACTTTCCAAACCTGGAAAAAAATTAATAGCCAAGCATAGGATGATCGAAGGTCACCAGTCAGATTCAACCTACATAGGAATACCCCAAGACATATTATAATCAAACCCTCAGAGTGCAGAGACAAATAGAGGATCCTAAAAGCAGCTAAAGAAAAGCAGCAAATAACATGTAAGACAGATCCAATACACCCAGCAGCAGACTTCTCAGAAGAAACCGTATAGGCCAGAAAGAAGTGAGATGATACATGCTGAGACTGAAGGAAAAAAAAAATGCAACCCAGAATACTGCACACAGCAAAGTATTCCTTCAGAAAAGGAAAGAGAAAGATTTTTCCACACAAACAAAAGCTGAGGGAATTTACCACTACCAGACTTGGCCTATAAGAAATGCTAAAAAATAGTTCTTCAAACATAAACTGGATGCTAACATGATTTTTGTTATAATACTATCATCATGATGTGTAAACCACTTATATCTTTAATATAAAGATATGAAGACTAAAAACGAACTTAATATGAAGACTAAAAAATGAACTATCAAAAATAACTTTAATAACAAGATAGGTAATATAAAAATGTAAGTCATCACTCAAAAATACAAAATGCAAGGAGAGAATGGAGGTAAAGTGTACAGTTTTTTTGTTTCTTTCCTTCACAAAGTTTGTAAGTCTCTAAAATAACTTGTTATAACTATAGGATGTTTTTGTAAGTCTCATGGTAACCACAAAGCAAAAATCTATAACAGATACACCAAAGATAAAAAGGAACCAAAATGTACTACTAGAGAAAAGTGCCTAACCACAAAGACTATAAGAGAAGAAAGGATCTACAGAATAACTAGAAAATAAGAAGGAAAATTGCCATAGTAAGCCCTTACATATCAATAATTACCTTGCATATCAATGGATAAATTCTCCAATTAAAAGGCATAGAGTGGCTAAATAAAAATGAAACAATACCAAATTATACATTGCCTGCAAGGGGCTAACTTCACCTGTAAGGACATGCATAGTCTGGAAGGGAAAGAATGGGGAAAAAACATTGTATGCAAATGGAAACCAAAAGACAACAGGAGTAGCTATATTTATATCATATAAAGCAGACCTGAAGCTGAAAACTGTAAGAAGAGACAAAGAAGGCCAGTATACAATAATAAAGAGTTCAATACAGCAAGAACAGTTATAAATATATATGTACTCAATTAACATGGAAGCACCTAAATTTAGAAAGCAAATATTAATATACCTACATAGAAAGACTGCAATACAACAATAGTAGAGGACTTCAACACCCCACTTTCTACAATGAACAGATCATACCGACAGAAAATCAACAATTAAACCACACTCTAGAATGTACCTAACAGACAATTATAGACTATTCTAATCAACCAGCTGCAGAATACACAGTATCTCAACAGCAAATAGAATACTCTCTAGGAATATGTTAGGCCACAAAACAATTCTTAAATTGTTTTAAGTTAAAACTTATCAAGAAATCAGTAATAGGAGGAAAACTAGAAACAAATATGTGGAAATTAAACATGCACCTGAACAACCAATGGGTCAATAAATAAATTTCAGAAACCAAAAATGTTCTTGAGACGAATGAAAATGAAAACAACATACCAAATCCTATGGGATACAGCAAAAGCAGTTCTAAGAGTGATGTTTATTCCAATAAACACACATATCAAAAAAGTAGAAAGATATCAAATAAGTAATTTTATTGTTGTACCACAAGAACTAGAAAAACAAGAACTTGATGCAACATTAGTTGAAGGAAATATAACAAAGATCAGAGCATAAATAGATAAAATAGAGACTACAGAACTGTGCAAAATATGAATGAAATGAAGAGTGGTTTTAATAACAAAACTCACATAAGTTTAGCTACACAAAGAAAAAGAGATGACTCAAATAAATAAAATCAGAGATGAAAAAGGAGACATCACAACTGATACCACAGAAATAAAAAGATCACTAGAGACTATTATCAACAACTGTATGTCAACAAAATGGAAAACTTGGAAGTAAATCAATAAATTCCTGGACACATACAACCTACCAAAATTCACTCATGAAAAAACAGAAAACTTAACAGACCAATAATGACTAACGAGACTGAATCATTAATAAAGTGTCCTATCAAAAAAAGCCCAGGACCTGATGGATTCACTACCAAATCCTATCAATCATTTAAAGAAATACTAATACCAATTCTTCTCAAACTACTGCAAAAAACTGAAGTTGGAGGAATTCTTCCTAACTCATTCTATGAAGTCAGCATTACCTTGATATCAAAACCAGACAAAGACACAACAAAAAAAGAAATCTAGAGGCCAATATTCCTGATGATGATGAACATAGATACAAAAATCCACAACAAAATACTAGCAAACCAAATCCAACAGCACATCAAAAACATCCTTCACCATGTTCAAAGGAAATTCATCTCAGGGACGCAAGGATGGTTCAACATAAACGAATCAATGAACATGACACATCACATTAACAGAATAAAAGACAAAGACCACAAGATCATCTCAACAGACACAGGTAAAGCATTTACTAAAATTCAATATCCCTTCATGATAAAACCTTTAAACACATTAAGTACAGAAGGAATGTACCTCAACCCAATACAGGTCATATATGACAAAATCACAGTTTACATGCTGAAAGAGGAAAAATGGAAAGTTTTTCCTTTAAAACTTGGAACAAAACAAGAATGTCCACTTTCATCACTTTTATTCAACATAGTACTGAAAGTCCTAGGCACAGGAATGAGTCAAGAGAAAGCAATGAAGCACATCCAAATTGGAAAAGAGGAACTCAAATTGTCTGTTTGCAGATGACCTGATCTTACATACAGAAAACCCTAGAAGCTGCACCAAAAAACTCTTAGTCCTGATAAAATTCAGGGAAATTGTAGTATATGAAATAAACTTACAAAAATCAGTAGCATCTCTATGCATCAACAATGGACTAACAAAAAAAAAAAAAAGCAATTTTATTTACAATAGCAAAATAAAATAAAATAAAATAACTAGGAATAAATTTAACCAAGGAGGTGAAATGTCTTTACAAGAAAAACTATAAAACACTAATGAAAGGCAACAAAAAAATAGACATCCCATGTCCATGGATTAGAAAAATTAATAGTCAAAATGGCTGTACTACCCAAAAAGATCTGATTCAATGTAATTCCTATCAAAATACCAATGATATCTTTCACAGAAAAAGAAAAAACTTTCAAAATTTCTATGCAACCAGAAAAGACTACTACGAATTGCCAGAACAATTTGTAGCATAAGGAACAAAGCTGGGAGGCATCACACTAAATGACTTTAAAATATACTACAAATCTATAGTAATCAAAACAGCATGGTGCTGGCATAAAAACACACACATAAACAATGAAACAGAATAAAGAACCCAGAAATAAATCCACACATTTACAGTCAACTGATTTTCAATAAAAGCACCAAGAACACCTACTGGAGAAAGGATAGTCTCTTCAATATATGGTACTGAGAAAACTAGATAGTGACATGTATAAGAATGAAACTACCTACTCTTGCTATGTGCAAAAATCAGCTCAAAATGGATTAAAGACTTGAATATATGAGGCCATGAAGCTACCAAAAGAAAATACTGGGGAAACACTTGAGGACATCAGTCTGAGCAAGGATTTTTATTTTTAATTTGTTCATAGGGATGACTGTCTCCCTATGTTGCTCAGGCTTCTCTCAAACTCCTGGCCTCAAGCAATCCTCCCACCCCAGCCTCCCAAAGTGCTGGGATTATAGGTATGAGCCACCACGCCTAGCCCCAGATTTTTAAAAAGTAACACCTCAAAAGCACAGGCAACCGAAGAAAAATAGACAAATGGGATTATATCAAGCTAAAAAGGATTCTGCTGCAGCAAAGGAAACAATCAACAGAGTAAAGAGACAAGTTACAGAAAGGGAGAAAATATTCATAAACTATGTATCTGACAAAGCATCAATATAGGAACTCAAACTCAATAGCAAAAAAACAAATAATCCAAATAAGAAAAAACCTCAATAGGCATTTCTCAAAAGAAGACATACGAATGACCAACAGGTGTACGAAAAAAATGCCCAATACCACTAATCAGGGAAATGCACATCAAAACCACAATATCACCTTGCCCAGTTTTTTATTTTTGGTTATCAAAAAGACAAACCAAAAACAAATGCTGGTGAGAATCTAGAGAAAGGAGAACTCTCATAGCCTGCTAGTAAGAATATAAATTAGTATACCATTATAGACAACCATATGAAGTTTCTCAAAAAATTAAAAGTAGAACAAAAGCTCCAACAATCCCACTACTGGGTCTACGTCAAAAGGAAATGAAATCAGTATGTCAAAGAGATACTTGCACTCCCATGTTTATTGCAGCACTATTCACAATAGCCAAGATATGGAATCAACCTAGTTGTCCAACAATGAATCAATCAAGAAAATGTGGTGTATATACACAATAGAATATTATTCAGACATAAAAAGTATAATATCCTGTCATTTGCAATAAAAAAAATTGCTGGTGAGAATCTGGAGAAAGGAGAACTCTCATTGCCTGATGGTAGGAATATAAATTAGCATACCATCATAAACAACGGTATGAAGTTCCTCAAAAAAATTAAAGAGAACAAAAGATCCATAAAAAGAATAATGTCCTGTCATTTGCAACAAAATGGATGAACTAGAGGACATTGTTAAGTGAAATAAGCCAAACACAGAAGGACAAACACTGCATGACCTCACTCTTCTGTGGAATCAAAAAGGTTGATCTTTTTTGTTGTTGTTGAGACAGAGTCTCACTCTGTCATCCAGGCTGGAGTGCAGTGGTGTGATCTTGGCTCACAACAGCCTTCGCCTCCTGGGTTCAAGTGATTCTCCTGCCTCAGCCTCCAGTGTAGCTGGAATTACAGGTGCACGCCACACCAGGCTTATTTTTGTATTTTTAGTAAATACGGGGTTTCACCATGTTGGTCGGGCTGGTCTCGAACTCCTGACCTCATGATCCACCCACCTCGGCCTCTCAAAGTGCTGGGATTGCAGGCATAAGCCACCACACCCAGCCAGGTTGATCTTATAGAAGTATGGAACAGTGGTTAGCAGAGGCTGGGGAGAGTAGGGGGGATGGTAAATAGGGAGAGGTTGGTCAACTGGCGCAGTTACAGTGAGACAGCAGAAATAAGTTCTGCTGCTCTACTGCACAGCACGGTAACCACAGTCAACAGTAATGTACTACATACTTCAAAACAGCCAAAAGATAGGATTTTGAATGTTCTCACCACAAAGAAATGACAAGTGTTTGAGGTGATTCATATGTGAGTTATACTGATTTGATCACTACACAATATATATATATGTATCAAAACATCACACTGTATCCCATAAATACATACAATTATTGTGTCAATTAAAAACAAAATACAATTTATGAAACACAACCACCACAATCAAGTTTCGATGAACTACTAGTATTGTAATTGACCAACTTATGGTTCTTTACGCTTTTTATAACATGTGCTTCTGAGTTACGTGTGACATACTGTCAGATATATATATATATAGTTGTACATATGCATGTATGTGTATATATTATCCCTAATGATTTTCGGAGCATTTTCGAGAAAATATCCTATAATATTTACTTCCCTGGGAGGCAGACACTGCACACATACGAAGTTATATTATACATTCTCTTACTAGCTTCCAAATTAGGCTCTTTTTTGGGAAGTCCTTGGAGATCGAGCAAAACTCCACAGACACTGTAGGAGCCGGTCTGTCTTTTCCTGGGGTGGCTCTGAGGTGACCTCTGCCATCCCTGTGTCAAGTCCCAGCCCTAAAACCACCCAGTCTGACTCACAAAAAGCACTTCATGCAGTGTCTTCAGTTGGAAAAAATGAGCTAACTGAGCACAGCTGAAAATAGGAATTGCCCTTTTTTA
The DNA here is from genome assembly GCF_000001405.40 of Homo sapiens. Taxonomy (NCBI): domain Eukaryota; kingdom Metazoa; phylum Chordata; class Mammalia; order Primates; family Hominidae; genus Homo; species Homo sapiens. Next base: position 19,365,641 of record NC_000008.11, on the reverse strand, counting down.
AAGACCACCTTCATTGCTGTCAATCAAATATACTGTCCTTCAAAATGCTGTGGGACAGGGACATCTACAAGTCATTTCCATGCTACCTTTGGAAGAGACGGTGAACAGGAGTTAGCTGCAAAAACATCCCTGCTGAGGCTCTGTCGCCAACGTGCGGACAGACAAGCTCCAGCACTTAGAGCCGTGTGCACCTTTGTCAGCTGTTCTCACAATTAAGAGACTCCTATTTCCTGACTACATTTCTTGCTTTGTTGTCGGTAAGAGAAGAATCATTACCCAAACGATCACTTTGGAGATCATGGTCTTTACTGTAATTATTTCCACTTACTCCACTGAGTTCCACGTTGGTCCCCACTTCCCGAAACGGAACTTTCCAGTAGAGTAAGTAGAAATAATTACAGCAAAGAAAAACATCCGCCTTTGTGTTTCCCCTGAGGTCATCACTCCTGTTTAAAGACAACCTTGAAGATAACTACGACTCCAAGCAGGAGAAGAGTCTTATTTTTCATTTCTCCATAATCTTAGAGAAGTATTTCAAATTATTTTTAGTTTTTATTTCAGAATGCAAGGCTTTAGACAATTCTGTTTCTTTCAATCAACATTTGATTTTAATACTTCTTTCTAAATACTAGGATGTTAAAAATAAGATCAATAACCAGAAAAAAATTTAGAATCAGCAAACATAAGGGATGGGGGTTTAATAGCATCATTGCACTTTTCTACAGTTTTTCCAGAACAAATGGTTCTTCCTAATTCTTCCACAGCCTAGCAGACAATGGTATCTCCACCACCAAATAGACAATTCATCTAAAAAAGGAGGCTTTCCAAATTCTTAAAAGAGGAACTTGGCTATGTATCCGTGAATGAGAATTACCATCAAACCTTTAATCCTTGGCAGTGAAAATGTACTCCCACTGATCACACGAAAGTCAGCAAGCCTTTGGGTTCCTACTTTGATAATCTTTGACTAAGGGTGATCTTGGGCATCAGTGAAACCCCACTTGTTTCCTCTTCTCCCCTCACTGGCTCACCGGCTGCCTCTGGGGGGGAGGGGGGCGGGGGAGGGAAAGGGGAGAGTGGGGTAGGGACACGGGAAGTTCTCTCATTCCATGCACAGCTTTACTATTTCACTGGGTATACTAAGTATAACAGCTATGGACATTTGACAGCTAAAAAAGGGAGGAATGCCCGCCCAGATCACCCAGGAAGAAGGCTTAGACATGAACCTGAGCTACTTACACAGGCTGCCAGTTGGCCCTCCACACCCCATGGCAGCTCATACAATTCCCCTTTAATTTCAACGCTTATTCAAAGCCCATTGCAATGTTTATGCATAAACCCATCTGTGTGGCTTCTTACCTAAGAGGTTTTTGAGGATATGCCCCTGAGTTTAGGAACTGAGGCTTGGGTGGAAGGGGAGGTCTTTCTGGTTTCTGCGGAACACGCAAGGGGCTTTGCAGCCTCTCACCGCCTCTTCCTTTCTGGGCCCCGAGGGATAACCTCTTGTAGTCTTCTCGTGCTTGTTTAGCCAAGGAGCGTCTCTTCTCATCAGCTGCTTTGGATTTTCGCACTGGAAAAACAACGGGGTCGGAGAAAACCCTCATCAGCCCACAGAGCAGGTGAGAAGGCTCAGCATTCATTGCACAACGGGCAGCAGCGCAGGTTCTCAGCAGTTTGTTGTCTGCTTATAATAAGGAACAATCATTATCAACACCTATGATCCAGGCCATTAGGGCTTGCCCAGCGTTCGCTGCAGGATTCCTCTCTTCATACAGGACTGGGGGTTTTCTGAGAGGGAGAGAAAAGGAAGAGGAGGAAGAAGGGATGAGAGAGAAGTAGAGAAAGTGTGCAAGAATTTCCTGCAGTTGGCAAGACCAAGTGAGGATCCCCCGCCTGAGCATGGGTTCAAGCTGGCAGGGGTGCTGAGTAATAAGAGGCAATTGTCACGCCCTGCATGACTTATGTTCAGATGCAGTGTGCTTGACTCACTAGCAGAGATCAGGACTACTCAGTGGCATGGGGCTGTGCATAGGGTGAAGGAGCAGAGAGCAGGACAGAATGAGAAGCAACCTGACAGACAAAAAATTAAAGGGATGCTTAACCACAGGTAATTGTAGGACACATTAGTACACAAAAAAGTACCCCAAGTCTGCCTTTTAATATTACAGTCACTAGTGACTTAATGAGAGAAATAAATCCTGAGAAATGCATCATAAGGCAACTGTAACACAAGAGTATTTGTGTGTCTAAATACCCCCAACATAAGGCCGGGCACAGTGGCTCATACCTGTAATACCTGCACTTTGAGAGGCCAAGGTCGGTGGGTCACCTGAGGTCAGGAGCTTGAGACTAGCCTGGCCAACATGGTGAAACCCCAACTCTACTACAAATACAAAAAATTAGCTGAGCATGGTGGCAGGCGCCTGTAATCCTAGCTACTGGGGAGGCTGAGGCGGGAGAATCCCTTGAAACCAGGAGGCGGAGGTTGCAGTGAACTGAGATCACACCATCGCACTCCAGCCTGGGTGACAAGAGCGAAACTCCATCTCAAAAAAATAAAAATAATCAATACCCCCAACATAGCAAAGGTATAGTAAAAATATGGTATAGAGGACAAAAAAAAATGGTGCCTCTACATAAGGCACTTACCATGAATGGAGCTTGCAGGACTGGAAGTTGCTCTGGGATGAGTCAGTGAGTGAGTGCTCAGTGAATGTTAAGACCTAGGACATTACTACACACTGATGTTGACTTTGTAAACACTTTACACTTAGGCTACACTACATTTATAAAATTTATTTTAAAAATGTATGCAACCCATTATTTTGGGGTTTTATTATTATTTTTTGGTTTTCTGTATGTGTGTGTCTGTGTTTTTTTTGTTTTGTTTTGTTTTGTTTTTGAGACTCAGTCTTGCTACATTGCCCAGGCTGAAGTGCAGTGGTACGATCTCGGCTCACTGCAACCTCCGCCTCCCTGGTTCAAGCAATTCTCCTGCCTCAGCCTCCTGAGTAGCTGGGACTACAGGTGTACGCCACCACAACCAGCTAATTTTTGTATTTTTAGTAGAGATGGAGTTTCACCATGTTGGCCAGGCTGGTCTTGAACTCATGACCTGAAGTGATCCACCCACCTTGGCCTCCCAAAAGGCTGGGATTACAGGAGTGAGACACAGTGCCTGGCCTAAAAACTATATGCGACCCATCGTTGACCAAAACATCATACAGCGCATGACTACTTTGTAAAACAGAATTTTTTGTTATAGCAATGAGACTCAAATGCAGAATGTAAAAATGATTTTTATTGACTATATTTACACTTCAGGCAGTATTGGTCAAATCCTGTTATACTTGACTTCAAAGAGACACCCAAAATATTCCCTTATGCTAGGATTTCAGTGCATAGTACAAAGAGCCTACTGGATCTTGCAAATATTTTCATTTCACAGTAGTTGTCATTTAAATGGCATTGGTTGTAATGGGACTGCAGATCAATGTAGGATCTCAACATCCTGCAAATATAGCCATACCTGCTGTCTTCCTCAAGCCACCTCAGGTTGATCTAGCAGTTCAGATTTCTCTGAGTCAGATGGAAACACTAATTCTTTCACAAACCTAATTCTTCTAGCATTCTGGAGCATCCTCTCCTCTGCCTTCAGTTGCATGGGCTTATTCTTCTCCTATGAGTTTTCTCACCCATTCTGCTCACTCAAATAGGAGTCAAGGCTGGGTCACAGGCAGGAGCGGGATGCTAACACATCCAGCCTGGTATTCCTGTGTGCTTCTGATTACAAAGTTAAAATGTATTCACTATCAAAAATTTAGGGGAAAAAAAATCCAAAACACAATATTAAATTACAAGAAAAACATTCAAATAAATAATCTTGAATCTCACCTTTCCAAGAAAACTAATGTTTACATGTTATTATAACCTTCCAGTTCTTTTCCTTCAGATACTTAGACATTTCTAAATAGCGAAGCTTTTCATTCTATTTCATGGTGTTTTTTCTTCCCCAAGCTAATGAGATATAAACAGTCTAAGATCATTAAACACTCTCCAAAACCTATTTTCCATAGCTATATATCATGCTATTTGATAAATTACATCATAATTTTGGTGATACAGAAATAAATGGAGAACGAGTCTGCTGTTCAAAAGTAGCCTGTAAGCATTTGAGTAATAAGTTAGTAATAACATTTGAGTGGTAACTTACTGTGAACATATCTCTCAACAACCCACATTAAGCGCTTTCTAGATTGATCACATTATTAAGGGAGAGAATCAGCTGAGAGCCTGGAAGGTGCTATGGAGACCTCTGGGTACTCACGAGATGCCTGCCATTCCGAGTCTTCTTTCCAGCTCTTACAAATCTGCTTCGTTCTCTCTTCTTCTATTTGATTTATTTCTTCATCTTGTTTTTTCTTCATAGATTCTTTCTTCTGTTTAAAAACAAAACAAAAAAAAACAAAAACAAAACAAAACAAAAAAAGAACCTTGGTGAGCAAATCCAGCAGTTTCCTGAAGGACGGGGTACCCGGCACAGCTGACTTCTATCTAACTCTCTGGCCCACTAGGAAGGATCAAGTGTGGACTTTGGAGTCAGTAAGACCTGAAGTAAGACTGACCATTGCTAGCTAGTGTGTAACTCCAGGAGCAACAAATGAACCTCTCTTGGGCTGTTTCCCCATAAGAAAGATGAGAAAAAAATATTTCTTAGGGTTATATTGAGGATTAGATAACTTAAGAAGTCCCTGGCACAGTGTATAACATATAGTAAGAAAAAATATTCCTTTTCCTCAGACACAGTACTTAGCTGCTTCAAACTGACTCCCTGAAGGATGTAAACACACTATTACATAGAACTAGCATCAACCTACTTTACAGTAGCTGACAGACTCCACAGAAGAAATGCACATTCCCAGAGCAATCTCAGCTGAATCTCTCCCCCGAGTCATGTGTCCCAAAATGTGGTACTTACTACATGATTTTAAGTGTTTCAAAAGAAATATATATCATTATTATTTTTTTAAGATGGAGCCTCACTCCTTCGCCCAGGCTGGAGTACAGTGGTATAATCTCGGCTCACTGTAACCTCTGCCTCCCAGGTTCAAGCGATTCTCCTGCCTCAGCCTCCTGAGTAGCTGGGATTACAGGCAAGTGCCATCACACTTGGGTAATTTTTGTATTTTTTGAAGAGATGGAGTTTCACCATGTTGGCCAGGCTGGTCTCGAACTTCTGACCTCAAGTGATCCACTGCCTCAGCCTCCCAAAGTGCTGTGATTACAGGCATGAGCCACCACACCCTGCCAGAATATGTATTTTTTTGTTTCAAAAAAAAAAAAAAACAGAAAAATATTTTTCAAAAGCATCTTTTGAGAAGGGAGAAATACTTTCAAAATGTAAATATTCCTTTAAAAGGAGAATTAGGTTTTTAAAACTTAGGGTAAAATTCCACATAACAAAATTTACCACCTTAACCATTTTTTAGTGTACTGTTTTCTGGCATTAAGAGCATTCAACGGAAATCATTTTAAACGAAAGAGAAATGAACAAACCAAATCACTTAGACCTGAAAAGTACTTTGCTTATTTGGACACAACCTTCTGAGTGCTCACAAGACGACTGAATTTACAGTTTGGTGGACTAATAAAAGCCTTGGTTAGCTAAGCAATAAAACAAACTGAAATGGCCAGAAAGGGCTGCCTGTGCCCACCTCTCTATCACAAGTGACAAGCTTTTTAATTTTGTGCTTTCCCACAGAAATGTAAAGACTTCCTTGCTATTATGTCACCACAACGTAAAGTATAAACATTAATATTGTGAAACTTGTTTCTGATCGCTCTGGGCAGTCATAAATCACAGTTCAAGTAATCATCATTCATAAATTGTGCTTCACTGCAGATGTAACTAAACTTCTGTGCATTTACTGTTTTCATTTTTTTTTCCTTACACTGTTTTCCTGCCTAGAGCTAAGCTCCTTTTGTTTGCCAACATTTGAAAATCCAAAGGACAGCTTTGATGTTTGAAAGGACTGTTAAAATTTGCCATCCTTTGATTGAAGCTGTTTGCCAGCCCAAGATAGATACATGTGCTGCTAGCAATTTCTAAGCTTAAACAGAAAAAGCTTCAAAGTGGAGCTTTGTTCATCCTTCCACATGCATACGTGTTTATTTTTAAACGGTTAGGAAACATATAGTGAAAACATCAAGCTATGATCATCATGGATATTGTTGCTGAGGATAAGCAAGAAATTTGGAACATGACATGATTCTACCTAAGAAAAAATATTAATAATAACAGATGTAGTACTTGGTTGATGTTACTCAAATGTCTAACAGAGCTATATTTAATAAATCTACTCCTTTAATCTGCATGTAATTATGTACATGCACAGTGGAAAAGAAGAAAAATTAACGAGTTTCACAGAGTAATAGCAGATGAGATCTGCTATTACCCATCTATATACGGCCCTGACCACCGTATTTATTCAAGAAAGCTAGAAAACGTAAGGAACTTGTCCTGCGTCTCTGAGAGAATTTTACTTTTATCAAAATCTGTAATGGTTTACTTTCTCTATTCAGAAGACCATCATTTCCTTTTCAGCAGTGTTTTGCTGGAAGCATGTTGGACCAGGACTCAGGACTGTCAGCCAGGCATGGGGAAATCCAGGTGATGGCTTGGAGTGGAGGGGCGGAGGGGCCGAGGCTGGATGCTAATCCAGATGCCCAGGGTGGAAGGTGTGGAGACCCAGATGTGTGGTGTGAGCTGTGAAAATGTGTTCAGCTAACAGTACCAGAAAACAAGGGCACGCTGGGCCCATATAGAAAGCCGCTGGGCCCGTTCAGAAAGCCTCTTGTCCAGCCTGTTGATGGAAGCACTTAGAATGCCTCCCCACCAATTCCTTCATCAGAGCCTCACAAGTGTCCCCAAAGGAGGATGCCTCTGTTTTATCACCTTTGTTCTACAGAGAAGCTTAGCAAGCTGGCTCATTCATTCTCTCAAATGATCAGCCCTTTCCCCACCATGCCAAGTGAGGTAGTGCCTCTGTGTCTTTGACTTGCTGTTCCCTCTGCCTGGAACAGACATCCACATGGCTTAGACATCCACATTGCTCCTTCCCTCTTTCCTTCAGGTCTCTGCTCCAATACTGCCTTCCCAGAGTGGCCTTCTCTGACTACCTGTCCCATCCCAATTCCATCCTCCCAGGATTCTTCAGTTCCCTCATACTGCTTTATTTTCCTCTGCAGTGCTTAATAAGTGATTACCTGTCCTCATAGATATGTTTATCATCTCTCTCTCCCATGAAGAATATAAGCTCCCTGAAGGCAGGAATTTTGTCTGATTTTTTCATAAAATGTGTCTCTAACTCCCATAACAGTGCCTAGTGTGTAGTAGACACTCAATAAATGTTGCTTGGATGAATATACGATCCTTTGTCTTCCTCAGCTGTCCCCATTTAAAATGACATAGTGAGATCTAAGCAGAATTAATGAAAATGTCCTTTAGATCCCCTATTGCTGCTGTTTTAGAAAGAAGTATGTATTGTATCAGCAGTATGCACACAGGACTACAGTTCCACAACTTCATCCTGATTTCTTGAAGTCTTAAAAATGCAAGTTCATGCATGTCCCTTCAGAGGAATCATGGAATTCATGGCATGGTCCACAGGAACACAGGTCCCTGGCCTGACCTCCACCACAGCCCGATCTCAGGAACCTTCTCTTCACAGGCTCACATCTTACGCTGCTGTTTCAGACTCTCGGTAGGTCAAATCCTACTACAGCTTCCAAGTACCAGTCTATGCCTCATTTATTTTGAGCAATTTATGACATGATAGCAAGCTCACACGACGGAGGAAGCAGGGCTTGGCCTGGAGGGAGAATGTCACATCTAGATGGACGTGAGAGAGGGCTGAGTGCCAGAAGGGGTTCCAGGCATGGTGGATGTGGAGGACACAGCAGCTGCTCACCCTCAAGGGACAGGTTCAGAAACAAAGAGCACAGAAGTAACTCGATCTGAATTCACTCTTTCTGCCAAGTGTAATGCTCCATTTATCACTGTCTGAAATCAGTCTTCCCTCCATGTCTGCAGCAGCCTGGGATGCCGCCTCTATGTTAGATCTTCTGGGAGGAGTTTAGCTAATACAACTTGGCATCTGTTCTTTCCATGACATTCAACACTTCCCGAACTCCAGATAAACGGGTAAAGATGCAGAACTGTGTTTGCAGCTTTTAGGACAGATTTCCCATCCTGCTGCTTAATTTCATTTCTGCATGAGATTAATTAACTAATCTGTGAAACATTAGTGGAAATGCCTAGGTATGCAGCCCCCGGAGGACAGAAGGGAAGTCTTTTACCTGGTGAAATGCATATGCCTTCATACGATTGATTGAATCTGCCAACATTTGTTGAATATTTCTTGAAGAACTGGAGAGTGACTAAAAATTAAACGAAACACATTTATGGCATTTGGAGCTGCAGTGCAGTTTCATAAGATAATCTGTCAATGTTTCCCTGGTTTCCCTAATGCTGCCCCCGCCCCTACAGATGGATCCACCCAAGGCTCCCACTGGCACCTGAGTTCCTGGGCCGATCCTGACTACAGCAACGGGCATGTGAATCCTCAGTATCCCCACTCAGTAGGGCTTAGAAAGGAATTGTTGCCCAAGAGCGAGGAGCTGGTGGTTTGGTATATTTTGCTCCCATTTAGTTGGCCCTGGAGGGCCCTGGGGATAACTTCCAGCCATCAACATTACCCCCTATTTAAATTCTCTTCTTGCTTAATCTCTGCATACCCTGTTTTAGTGCAGGCCAAAGAAATGCCTTAGTCTCTGGATTTAACTATATGATGCCTTGCAGACATGCCTGGAGCACAAGTTTGGTGCGTGGGAGCCCTGCCCAGTTTCCCTGCCTGGCCCACAATTCTCCTCTTTTCCTGCCCTTGTCACCCAGTATCTATGTTTCTCCTGCTCTAGATGGATTTCCCATGAGGCAACCTCCCCACTGGGGTTCCCAGATTCATTGCCTAAAGTCCCTGGTGTCATTCCTGCCTGCCGCAGGCCAACCCTCTGGCATCACAAGTATGCCAGCAAATCACAATGGGTGCTTCTTAAGACACAGGCCCCCATCAGTCCCTGGCTGGAGTGCAGAGCCTAAGCTAAGTCCCAACATGGGTAGTCAAATGTCCTGAGTACCCAGATATACCTACCCACAACCCACATTACCGCAAAGTATATGCCTTGTGTCTGAGTTCTTAATTTTGGCATACATCGGAAATTGTCACTAAAATTTCAGCAAAAGGTTGGTGCCACCATTCAGAAGGAGTACAGAGGATCATTACTGCACCATGCAATAAACCAGTGGCTTTCTCAATCTTCCCCTTTTCTCAAAGTGGCTGGCATGTGGCTACCCCACTATACCGCATTTCCCAAATGCCTCAGCGGTTGTCTTAACATAATGCAGTTGACAACAGGCATTTGCCATTTCTCCCCAGGCCCACTTGAAACCTCCTTCACACACTCCTGCAGGCCACTTCCACCTTCCTTTGGGCTGGAATGGTGACAGCAGCAGTGCTACTACCAAAGATAGCAGATACTTAGACTACAAAAGCCTGAGTCCCTGAATGACTGTGTGGAGCAGAGCCCTCCTGAACTAGAACACCTATTCTGGACTGTCTGAAGACAAATAAATAACTTTTATTGTATTTTTGGCCATGGCATTTGGGGACTATTTCCTTCAAAAGTTTAGCCTATCAACTGATAAAACTGGTCACAACAGTTGCTGGAGGCATGTTTCAAGCTCTCTGCTGAGGTTTTATAATTAATCATAGGTGGTGAGATTAATGCTAATTCCGCTAATGAGCACTAATGCATACTGAAGACGTATTATGACCCGGCACCATGTTAGTGTCTTAGTATTATTTTTACTCCACACAACATCTGTGATGGATGGGCAACATAATGGGCAATTTTCAGATGAGGAAACCAAGTCTCAGGTGAGTTGTGGAGCTTGCTCAGCACCAGACAGCTGGTTTGTGCCAGAGTTTATGCTTTTTCCACTATGTTGACATTGTAGTGATAAGAAAATGAGATGCGGGTCAACAGATATCTAATGCTTATTCCTTGGCAAACTAATGAATCCTGTAGGTTTCACAATTGCTATTTACCATATTCTCATTGTTTTCTTATTTTAATATTATAAAAGTATACTTTGCTGCTCTGCGTCTAAACTTAGAACAGTAACCAGTTCCTCTATTTGGGAACAGAGTGAACTGTTCCCACAAGTTTCATGTAAGCGCGTCTGCTCAAAAGTCCAAGATGACTTTTAAAATCTCTGAGTGCATTTCCACCACCAGGAAGGAGAGCTTTAAAAACAGGCCCACTCTCTCTTTCTTTGATGATATAAGATCTTTGGGGCACCGTTTTGCAAAAAGGATGTTTCTTATATTTGAAAATTAGGAGGCAGGTAACCCTTCTTTCTTAATACTCCCGCAAGTATTGCAGAGAATGTTTCAAATATGCTATGTTTATTACTTGGCAAACTAATGAATCCTGTAGGTTTCACAATTGCTACTTATCATACTTTCATTTTTTTCTCATTTTAATATTATAAAAGGATACTTCGCTGCTCTACATCTAAAATAGAACAGACGCAGAGCAGCTGTTGCAGAATCAGACAGATCTGGACTTATGAAACTGGAGTTCTGGACCAAGGTTTTGTCCGCAGCACATTTGCTGTCCTTAGTCTTTGAGCTTTAAAACACACTCTTAGTTGCTTCCTGAATTAGCATTAAGCTAATAGGCATCTGATGGTTATCTTCTAATCCATGTATTCAAAAGTGTTGTCTATTTTGTCAGTTTCCCCTCAATATCCCGCCAATTACTGTCATCTGTATGGGTACAGTGCTTTGAACACAATGCGTGAGTTATCCTCCATCCCTCAGTTATTCCTTAAACTGAACAGTTCATCTCATGTACACATGAACCAGGTATTTTTACTACTTGCTTTCTTTAAATTATCTTACATTTTTTCCTATCATCATTGTATACCTTTTCTTACTAGTACTTTCAGCATGCTCACTGCCTTTGCATGTGTCAGATCTGACGCGGTTATGAATTATGTTAAAATAATATGAAGCACAGACACGTACTCCAGACAGTGTGCATGGAAGTGATGTCACTGGGCACTAAAGTGACAGTGGTTGCTGCCAACACCATCCACTCATGGTAGTTGGAGATGATTGATGATTTTCCTTTTCTTTGAAATTTTAGGTTTTGTCTTTAGTATACCAAAACTCACAAGCTTGTTCTTGAGTAGAATTTTAGCATAAAAACTCATTAGGCCCATGCGTGGTGGCTCATGCCTGTAATCCCAGCACTTTGAGAGGCCAAGTTGGGTGGATCACCTGAGGTCAGGAGTTCGAGACCCGTCTGGCCCACATGGTGAAACCCCATCTCTACTAAAAATACAAAAATTAGCTGGCATGGTGGTGCATGGTGGCACATGCCTGTTAATCCCAGTTATTCGGGAGGCTGAGACAGGAGAATCACTTGGACCTGGGAGGCAGAGGTTACAGTGAGCTAAGATTGTGCCACTGAACTCTAGCCTGGTGACCGTGAGACTCCGTGTCAAAAAAAAAAAAAAAAAAATTAGTTGAAAAACCACTCGAGAGATGAATCCTTCTATTTAAACACTTCTATTCAATGTGTCTAAAACATACTGTAAACTCTAAAGCTATTCACACATACTAAGAACCACATTTATAAAAATTCTACTTTTCAAGGTGAACCAAGATTTTGCCATTATTCTAAAGGGTTAAAATAACATGAAAAACTTAAAACTTGCAGAAAGCAGGCTCATTTAGATACACTTACACGTTCTACAAATCCATGATATGCACAAGTAATAGAGTGAAAATGTGGGATCCAAAAGTTATTTCCTTTATTAAAAAAAAAAAAAAAAAAAAACAGCTAGAGGCCAGGTGTGGTGGCTCACGCCTGTAATCCCAGCACTTTGGGAGTCTGAGGTGGGCAAATCACAAGCTCAAGAGATCCAGACCATCCTGGCCAACATGGTGAAACCCCATTTCTACTAAAAATACAAAAATTAGCCGGGCGTGATGATGCGCACCTGGAGTCCCAGCTACTCAGGAGGCTGAGGCAAGAGAATTGCTTGAACCCAGGAGGCAGAGGATGCAGTGTGTCAAGATGCTGCCACTGTACTCCAGCCTAGGTGACAGAGCAAGACTCCGTCTCAAAAAAAAAAAAAAAAAACTAGATGATTAATGGACTCAAAAGTAATGACTTATGATGGCAATATCAGAGGGTATACCTCAGTAATACCACTGCCTCTTTGAAGCACTCCTAGAGGCAGGATGAAGAGGCTTTTCAAAGAGGGTACCATGTCCTCTCTGAAGCTTCCATATGCTGCTATGACCCAGGAAATATACTCTTTAGTTATCTCTATACCAAAAAAGGGAAGAAAATGACCCTCCTACCTGTATAATTTTTGCTTATAAAGCACTTTGAAGTCTAATACATCATTGACCTTCATATTAGGTGTCAAAATAGGCCTTATCCCTTTACCAAAGAGGTAAGGTAACCTGTTTTATTGGTCATTGTGTTTTTGTTCTTGAGACAGAGTCTCGCTCTGTTCCCAGGCTGAAGTGCGGTGGCATGATCAGGGCTCACTGCAGCCTCAACTTCCTGGGCTCAAGTGATCCTCCCACCTCAGTCCCCCAAAGTAGCTGGGACTACAAGCATGCACTACCACACCTGGCTAAATTTTTTTTAATTTTAGTAGAGACAAGGTCTCACTATATTGCCCAGGCTGGTTTCAAACTCCTGAGCTCAAGTGACGCTCCCACCTCAGCCTCCCAAAGTGCTGAGATTATAGGTGTGAGCCGCCACACCTGGCCTAAGTTGACCTGTTAATAGGTAGGAGGACAGGGACCCAAATGCATGTCATCTCCACGTCTGAAGCCTGCTCCTTCCTCAGGGTCTCCCAGAGAGAACATATGTATGCTCTTACGCATAACAGCCACTACGGTCATCATCCATCTGCCACATTACAGAAATTCTTACAGCTGCTGGAGCTCTATGAGCAGAGTTAAAGCAATCTTATCTGCCTCATATCTGCTCTATTTAAACATAAAAACTGCCATGAATATTTATGCAAAAGCTTCCAAAAAAGAAAAACTGAAAGCTAATAACATCAGAAGCTAGTGGACTTCCTGCAGACATCAAGTCAGAATAACCCTCTGTAATCAGTGAAAATCCCAAATGGATCTGGGGGTGTACCCCATCTGATTGGCCAAAAGATAGTATGAAAAATAATAACTACCGTTAAACTTAGAAGTATGACAGTTCAAATCTACATAAGCAACTGGGTTACAAAAAGGTGCTGCTGACAACATCAGTATTACATGGTTACAAAATATGCTTCCCCCAGAGTCTGTCTGTCAAATGAGAAGAATTATGTTCACTTTTCAAACTGCTTTGAGAAACAGTTGATACTGGCTTCTAACTTAATATTCCCTTTGTTTATAAGTAGGGTTATAGGCTGGAGGCGGTGGCTCAGGCCTGTAATCCCAGCACTTTGGAAAGCTGAGGCAGGCGGATCACCTGAGATCAGGAGTTCAAGACCAGCCTGGCCAACATGGTGAAACCCCATCTCTACGAAAGTACAAAAATTAGCCAGGCATGATGGTGGGTGCCTGTAATCGCAGCTACTCAGGAGGCTGAGGCAGAAGAATCGCTTGAACCCGAGAGGCAGAGGTTGCAGTGAGCCAAGATCTCACCACTGCACTCCAGCCTGGGCGACAGAGCAAGACTCCATCTCAAAATAATAATAATAATGGTAGGGTTGTACAGTCAAACAAATGCCAAGTGTCTTTAATTCCAAATAAACCAGAAAGCTCCAACAAACAGAACATTGTCAGGACTCAATTTTTATGGTAAAGATGAAAATGAAGAATTAATAGCATAAAATCAAGAGTTTATTTTTGTTTTTGTTTTTGTTTTTTTTTGTTTTGTTTTTTGAGTCAGAGTCTCACTCTGTTGCCCAGGCTGGAATACAGTGGTGCGATCTCAGCTCACTGCAAGCTCCGCCTCCTGGGTTCACGCCATTCTCCTGCCTCAGCCTCCCGAGTAGCTGGGACTACAGGCGCCTGCCAGCACGCCTGGCTAATTTTTTGTATTTTTAATAGAGACGGGGTTTCACCGTGTTAGCCAGGATGGTCTCCATCTCCTGACCTTGTGATCCACCCGCCTCGGCCTCCCAAAGTGCTGGGATTACAGGCATGAGCCACTGTGCCCAGCAGAGATCTAGTTTCACTATTAATCAAGATAGAATGAATTCAAATACTCTGAGAATCAGTGGTCTATAGCTCACCCATTTTGCCAACCAGGTCATTGAAATAATCAGATCATCCTCTTCTCAGCAATTTTAAACAAAAAGGCAGTTTCCCAATGATGACTATAATATTAAGTTTCTGAGCATACTGGGATTTACCTTTTTGCTTCTAAAATAACAGGAGAGGCAGAATAATGGAACTCTGCTTCAATAAAGTTATAAAGAATAAGAGAGACAGGAGAGATTTTCCTAAGGCCAAGTAGACTAACAGACAAAAAGCGGGACAGTAAATTTTATTGCTAAAAATATGGTACAAACTCCTTGTAGAGTGATTTTACTGACACATGAATTAGGACAATGGAAACCCGAGAAAATCTTTTCCTTATTTTTCTAATATTGTTCCAAGCAAAATCCACGCACAGAGACTACTGAATACCCCGACTTGAAAGTACAGCAGACTCCAATATGATGTGAGATTTTATGGCACATGTTTCACTAAACATTGTCGGCTGCTGCGGTGGCTCAGACCTGTAATCCCAGCACTTTGGGAGGCCCAGTCAGAAGATTGTTTGCACCCAGGAGTTTGAGACCAGCCTGGGCAACATGGTGAAACCCTGTCTTTACAGAAAATACAAAAGTGGGCTGGGCGTGGTTGTGTGCGCCTGTAGTTCCAGCTACTCGGGAGGCGAGGGTGGGAGGATCACCTGAGCCTGGGGAGGTCAGGGCTACAGTGAGCCAGGATCTCACCACTGCATTCCAGCCTGGGAGACAGAGTAACGCTCTGTCTCAAAAACAAAACAAAACAATAAAGAGCAACAACAACTAAAAACATTGTCTTTGGTGTCCTAGTTTATTATGAGCACGTTAGAGCACAGAACGTCAGTCATATTCGATGAACAATAGCTGACTCCTATTGCACCATCCCCTAAAACACCACTAAGCAATGCACAAACAACAGAACTGGGCAGCAACATCTTTGAAAAATGCAGTGATGCAGAGCTGGTGCAGGTTGCTTGGGCAAAGCATTCACATGCGAGGGAGTTTCAAAGGCCACTCTTACATTCTCATCCAGGGAGACGCCTGAAATAGGATCCATGAAGGAGCAAAAGACAAGCAAGAGAAATAAAGGAATTGTGAAATATAAAGTGTAAGCATAAAATAATAAAGGATTGTTGAGAAAATATTCAGAATCTTAAAAACATGATTAAAAAAACATGATTGATACAGGAAGTCCTGATGAAATGGAACACAAAACTTAACTACAAATAATAATAGAAAAATAATAGGCTAGGCACAGTGGCTCACGCCTATAATGCCAGCACTTTGGGAGGCCAAGGTGGGCAGGTCACTTGAGGTCAGGAGTTTGAGACCAGCCTGGCCAACATGGTGAAGCCCCGTCTCTACTAAAAATACAAAAGTTAGCTGGGCGTGGTGATGGGCACCTGTAATCCCAGCTACTCAGGAGGCTGAGGCAGGAGAATCACTTGAACACTGGAGGTAGAGAGCGAGACTGTATCTCAAGAAATAATAATAACAACAATAGAAAACTATATTCATATCATATGTAATGCTTTACAAAACACTTTTATGTATATTATTTCATTTGATTCTCACATTAACCCAATGGCATGTAGCTACTTTAATGTCCATTTTATGGATTGGGAAACTTAGCCTCAGAGAGGTTGAACAACTGACCTTGAAGTGGTCAACAAATCTCCCGACTCAGGAATCTAGAATACTACTTTTAATGAGTTCAATAAGTGAATCAATGCTAATATCTCCCACAATGCAGCTGTACATTATGAAGTTGGTAACAAAATTGAGTAAACCCTTAAGACTAGAAATATGTTTTTCTCTTTTCTAATTTCTATCAATCTTTTTATTTTAGAAATTTTGATTATTTGTTTGCTTTTAAAAAGCACAACAGCTTAAGTGAATTTTAAGGTGCTAGCATTTTGTGATTCTATCTTATATAAGATTTTATTCTACAAATTACCTACCGTGAAATTCTATTACAGTTACACAGAAACTACTTGGGTAGTTGTGTAGCCCTCTGATTAGGGCTCCACTCTTGAATTAATAAGATATGCACAATTAATTACTTATCTGTTTTTACCTGGTATGTCCAATGCTTTATTTCTCACAAAAATTATATTGAAATGCTTCCTTCATGTATACTAGAATGGAATATACATCAAGGCAAATGACTCCTAGCTTGGAATAGGATTATTCCCCTTTTGTCTCTTTATCCGATTCAATCCTCGAAATTCTAGCTTGTGTTTCGGAAGCACATGATCTCTATTTACCATGGTAGTCCTTGTTCTAAGGTGTGAACCCCCTTGCCTCCCAGAGACTCACAATATGGCTGTCTGCAGTCAGAACCAGGCAATGCCACACTGGTTCTGCTAACCCCAGGAACGAGGTATCTACTCTGGGGTAGTATGCAGGCTTCTCAACCCCGCCTACTCACCAAGCTCGGTACTCACCTCCGCTTAAATCACCTTAAAGTGTTATTTTGCTAATACTGCTTTTCACTCTTAACCTGAAGCGCAAGTGACAGAAAACCAAAAACTTTTGTTGCTATTCAATAACACTTTGAGATGAATGAGAATCCTAGAAATAATTCAGCATATTCTTTTCTATTCTTTCAAAGACGTCTTCTGATCTCAGTAACTCTCTTCTGAATCTCTCCTTTTAAAAGGCAAACCACTGAAGTCCAGTTTTACAGAACTGATCGTTCCGGAGTGGACAGCGCTCTTAATTTTAGTTTGAAAGAAAGGTATAGAAGACGGAAAATTTAAGTGGAAGTTTCATATTATATCTTAAAATCATTTTACAGGTTGCTACTTAAATGCTCTCTACTCATGGAAACATAACACTATGAGTTACAATAACACTTAAAAATATAAGTGAACTGTAATCCCAGCACTTTGGGAGGCAGGGGCAAGAGGATCACTTGAGCCCAGAAGTTCAAGAGCAGCCTGGGCAACATGGTGAGACCCCTGTCTCTACAAGGAATAAAAAAATTAGCTGGGCATGGGAGCATGCATCTGTAATCCAAGCTTCTTGGGAGGCTGAGGAAGGAGGATCACCTGAGCCCAGGGGTTTCAGGCTGTAGTGACTCATTATTGCACCGTGGCACTCCAGCCTGGGTGACACAGCAAGATCCTGTTTCTAAAAATACACACACACACGCACACAAAAACTGAAAACCACCATAGTTTCAGTGTCAAGTTTACAACTAAAATGTACACTTTAGTGGCGTGTTTTTGTGATCATTAGTTGTTATAGAAAAATGACTGACTTAAAAACAGGTGTCAGAGCCTTGGGGCAGTGTGGAAAGCATGCACACGTGTGTTGTGTGTGCATGTATGCATGCAATGTGTGGCATGTGTTTGCCTGTGTGGTGGAGGTGGAGAGGTAAGAGGCCTCATCTGTAACTCCACCTGGTTAAAGAATATGTCACAGGGAAGACTTTTGCTCAAGGCTTTTTAATCTGCCAGCTACAAGGCTTTATTTTTTTGTGCGTGTAATACTTTGAATCCCAGATGTTTGGTTCTAATTTTTTTATCTCCTGTTTTGCAGTGTGGCCCACTCTGAAGGCCATTTCTGTAAAAATAATGAAGAATTCTCTGGAGATAAAATCTAAAAGTGAGCAGATATAGTTTTATTCAAGGTCCCTTTCAGGGGCAAGGACAGTCAGTACTGATTAATGAGTTCCAAGCCTGCAAATTACATATAAGCGGAGAAACACAGAGGAGCTTATTTTTCAGTTGGCAGAGTCTGCCATTCTCCCAACCACACGCAGAACAACTCTGAGTGGGGACGGGGGACATCACTGCATTCAGATGGCTATCCACATAGAGGGTCTCTAAGGGTCTCTTCAGCTGCAGGGGACTCGCAGTTCATACCCAAACTCCCCTAGGTAGGGTGAGTCGGTTCACACAGCATGCCACTGTCTTTTTCTCTGAGTCCCATTAACTCCCCATTACATTCATCCTTGCCTGGGAATGGCATCTGCTCTGAACGTGCGTGTCTCAAAACCTGGCAGGAGGACAGAGAAATCCAGCTATTCCCCAGCACCTCCAGTTCAGTGTAGGCACCCAGTAACTCTGCGTGTTCGCTGTGATCCATGGAGAACCACAACACTGACTCGGTATTAAGCAGAGCATCACTTCAGAGGTTCCTCGGCTGCATCACCACTGCCAAAAAGTAAGGACAAGCCAGCTATTTTACAGAGGGCAACAGCTTTGCAGAATAAAAACCATATACTCAGTTCTAACCTAGATGTTACTTCAGCCTCCTCCTGAGCTTGGAAAATCCAGCCAGACAGCCCTCTTTTGCCTCCAACTCTTCATATGAAGAATGCGAAGGACGAAGCCTGGCCTCCTGATAAGAACAATATCTTTTATTGCTCTACATACTTGCCAGAGGATGTGGGTTGGGGGTGAGAGAACGGCATCCTGTAATTGAAGGATTTCAGGAGGCAATTGTTGCTGCTTCCATCAGACAATACTGGGCAAGCTGCTTTCTCCTATTTATACATTTTATCGGCTTCCTTTGTAAAGAGTCAGTGTTGCTAAATTTAACATCTACAGAAGAAACGGATCCCTTACTGCCCCAGTTCCCTACCTTTTTGGCATCGGCGACTGATTTTGTGGAAGACAATTTTTCCATAGATAGGGGGCGCCAGAGGGATGGCTTCGGGATGATTCAAGTGCATTACATTTATTGTGCACTTTATTTCTATAATTATTACATACTCATCATAATTCATAATGCAGAATCAGTGGCTTGCTTTCCTTCAACTAGAGTGTCCCATCTGAGGGTAATGGGAGGCAGTGACAGATCGTCAGGCATTAGATTCTCATGAGGAGCATGCAACCTAGATCCCTCACATGAGCAGTTCACAAGAGGATTCATGCTCCTATGAGAATCTAATGCTGCTGATGATCTGACAGGAGGCGGGGCCCAGGGAGTAATGCTGGCTTGCTTGCCTGCTGCTCACCTCCTGCCATGTGGCCTGGTTCCTAACAGATCACAGACCAATGGTACCCCAGGGATAGGGGCTCCTGCCTTATAGGATACTGCCCCAAGTATCAGGGCTGCCTGTAAGGACTGAAACTTCCATTCCCTAACTAGAGGTTTTCTACTGTGTTGGGTGCTATGGTTTCCAGGTATCTGGTACTTGTTCAGGCAGTCTTACTTTTGGATATTTATTCGGTATAATAAAAATTTTAAACCAACAAAAATATATCCTTTGAAAATCTTCTGTAAAGATTGTCATGCGTGCATAGAAAGATACTCTGAGACTGGACCTTAAGGTTTCCAAAGCCTGTAGCAGCCATCAAACAATTCTCAGATTCCCAAGATTTGCTTCTCATGGCTATCAGGGTGAAGCAGAAATTCTTCACTCTTAGAACTGGGGCAAGTCTTCCATTCTTCTGTAAGGGATCTCCTTGAATGAAGCCATTTACTAATGAAGATATAACTTGGGTTACACTGGTATAAAATCACATCCAAATGCAAACCTACAGATTGCGTGGTTTGGCGTTCTGGTTAAAACCACAGAAACTGTTGCATGGCAGGAAGGTACAGCTCTCTACATTTTTATATGTGAGAAGATTAGCTATTACCCAGGTGGACCAAAAGATATGTTTTGAGTCTCCAAGGGGAGGGCTGTAGTGAAAACCAGCTCAGGATAGGAATGCCACTTGACCAAAGAATACATCATCTGTGCCTTATTTACAGAAATAAAATTGAGTTGACTTTGCCACATACCACTGTGTTTGCCTATCACACTCCTGCCTAACTGCTGCTCAAATACAAAAGTCTAGACCTCGTGGTATGGCTTATTCGCTGAAACGGTATGGCAACCCTTCTTGACAGCTAGTAGTGATAAGAAAAAACATTCTTTCTGTTGTACAGGCATCGAGTGTTGCTTTAAGATCTGCATGTGTAGAGCTAGAGTGAAACTACTGAGAAGTCACCTCAGCAAACAGAGTCCATCTGTACCGTGAACTCCTAGGACTCCATGTGGCTGCCTGCAGCCCTGTTGACAAGGATATGAGGTCCTGTCCTGGCTCATCAGGAGAGAGTGCTGCAATTGATTAGTCATGTCTGTCCCAGGGGCAGCATAGGAAGTACCTGCACCTGGGCTCTATGATCACTAAACAATTTAAAAGTCTCTCATTTTATAGATTAAGAAAACAAAAGACCTGCAGAGACAAAGTCAAAATGAAAATCCAGTTCTTCTGACCACTTGCTCTCATTATATTACCATAGCTCAAAAATGGACTGAAGGCCCACCATTCCTTATCAACAATTTTAAAATCCAAAAAGGTCTGAAAATATGTAACTCCTATCAGGGAGGATCCTAACTTGAACTAACGAGGCTATTTACAGTAACTACAGCATTTGTTTACAGAGTGTTGACCCAGACCTTGCTGGGAGGCATTATATATTACATAGTACATGCACAGTATTTCTTTTATAAAAATCTGGGAAAAAAAAGCTGAAATCTGAAACACTTCTGGGCCCAGATGTATTGGATAAGGGGTGGCAGGCCTATACTACTGACCCGACAGCCTACAGGGGTATGGTAGCTGTCATGGCCTTAAAAGATACCCACGCCCTAATCTGAAACTTGTAAATCTGTTATGTTATGCAGGAAAAGGAGCTCCTCAGACATTAATTACCAGCTATGGACCTTAAAATGAGATTATCCAGGATTAACTGTGGGCCCAATCTAATCACAGGCGCTCTTCGAAAGCAAAGAACTTTCTCCAGCTGGAGTCAAAGAGAGACAGCAGAAGAAGAAGTAAGAGAGAACTTCTAAGCAGGAGAAGGACTCAATCTGCCATTGCTTGAGGGGCCACTCGGAAAGCATAAGGAATGCAGGCGGCTCCAGGTACAAAGATTGGCCCCTGGTTGATGCCCAGCAAGGAATCAGGGCCTCCCACTGATTCATTTGGCCAACAATGTGAATATACCTGTAAGCGGATTCTTCTCCAGGGCCTCCAGATAAGAGCCCATCATGGCTGACATCTTGATTTCAGCCTCTTAAGACCCTAATCAGAGAACCTAGTCCTGCTATGTCAGACTTCCCACCTGAGGAGCTGGGAGATAACACATGGGTACTAGGGTAAGCCACAAAGAAAACTAATACATGGAACAAGCCTGACTCTTCTTCCATAAGGTGACCTGTTAGCATCTACTCAAACTTACCTTTCTTCGTCCCAGACAAAGCACTTTACCCCATCAGACTGTTCCCCTGCATTCTCCCTCCCCGACACATGAGGCTTTGCACTTTCTTACCACTGACATTTCGCCGGCCAGGACTGCAGAGTCCTTTCTCCCAGGCCTCTCTGCCTTTCTCTGTCACCCACTCCATCCCTGCCTTCCACAAACCAGTGAACAGGCCACTGGCCTCCTAGAACGTGATTAAATCCTGCCCTACAGAGCACTCACTGCTGCTCTTTTCAGAGGTTAAAACTCCTGAAAGATGAAAACCTCATCTTATGCCTTCCTCGTGGCGCTGTAATGCCTATCATTACACAGATTAAACCTTGACGGATATTTGCTCAGAGAATGACTGATGCAGCCCAACAAGCCCAACAGTGCTGGGCACTGAAGTGTGCAGCCCCTGGGTAGGAGACGGTCACACAGGGGAAGGACAATGTCTAGTGCTCTTAATTAAAATAACCCCTTACATTTGTACTGGGATTTCCAGTTTTCAAAGAATTTCCAAATATGTTATCTCATGTCATTTTTTACTACCTAATCTTTTTTTTTCCACCAAAAACCCATGAGATAAACAAGGCAAGTTTTTAAAAAATCCCAGTTTTTGTTTGTTGGAGACAGAGTCTTTCTCTGTCGCCAAGCCTAGAGTGCAATGGTGTGACCACAGCTCACTGAAACCTCAACCTCCCAGGCTCAAGCAATCCTCCCTCCTCGGCCACTGGAGTAGCTGGAACTACAGGTGTGCACCAGCATGTCCTGCTATTTTTTTCTTTTTTTTAATTTCTGTAGAGACAGTGTCTTGCTATGTTGCCAGGGCTGGTCTCGAAATCTTGGGCTCAAGTAATCCACCTGCCTCGGCCTCCCAAAGTGCTGGGATTGCAGGCATGAGCCACTACACCTGGTTTTAATTCCCACTTTTGATAGATGAGAAAACAGAGGTTGCAGAGGTTTATGAGATTTGCACAGCTAGCATAGGTAACCAGTCCAGCAGTACAAATACAACCCTCTCGCAGTGCAGGGCAGAGAGGCTGCTCTAAAAATCTAAGGCACACAGAGACGGAAGCAGCGTGCTAGAGCTGTGAGCTCTGCAAAAACACCACCGAGGTGAATGAGACTGGCTCAAGGTGTCCCGGAAAGTAGATTTAATCCTGTCTATTTCTCCACTGTTCCCTGACTCCCTCCTCTTTCCCTTTCTCCATGTTTTCTTATGGAAAAAGCTTTTCTGTTTAATTTAAAGCCCAGAATATCTGGTTTAAAGTATCACTGCTAGTGGAGGGGAAAAGCCCAAAAACTCTAATCCCAGCAGTGTGATCGTTAAGGTGCAGACGTGATTACCTTCCCGGGGGCAGATAATAAGAGGGACCTGAATAAGGTAGAAGACCCAGCTCCCCCTGTGAATCAAACCATTGCCCTCGGAACAGGATCCCCCCACTCGGAACAGGAATAAAAATACCTGTTTCACACCTCCTACAGTTGTGAGGATGAAGTAACATGTTGAATGTACATCTTTCCAAATGTGTAGAGGGCTATCTATAACCACTATCATCCCAATGACCAGCACTAAGGCAAATCTGCCCGTTTCACCAAATAGCATCCAAGCTCCCAGCTATCCTCTTACCATGTGTAGCTTTCTTCCCTTGAGGCTGGCCTCAGCATTCTATTAACCTGATTTTATCCTATTCAAAATTCTAGTGAGTAAAGAGGAAGGATAATGAAGAAGTAACTGTAGGATTTACCCCAAGTTCTACATAAGCTCAAAGAGGACTCTGACTACATGTTTGCTTCAATCCTTCCTTCCATGAGATAATCACAGCAGAGTTGAAAAAACACTACTGATACAAATGCAGAAATCCAGTGTATCCTGATGTGTATAAGACTGAATACTCTCATGCCCAAACCCAACCCTGATATTTTTCCATTATTTGGACTTCTTCTGGCAGCAACTGATAAATCAGTACAAATAAAAAGGGTAATTGTTAACTAGAAGCACTACTTCCTAGAAGAAACTGACTCCTCCACAAGAGATTCCACAATGCTGAATACACATCAATATTTGGGTTGAATTTAATTTTCACCCATTCTCCACAGCCCTCGGGAGATTTTAGATCAGACTGGTAAGAAGTGCATTCTGACTCAGGTCTGGAGTATTTTTTTAGAAAATGGGGCACAGTTTCTCGTGATGATCTTTTTTTTTTTTTTTTTGTTAAGACAAGGTTTTGCTCTGTCACCCGGGCTAGAGTTGGGTAGCGTGATCATAGCTCGCTGCAACTTCTGCCTCCTCAGCTAAAGTGATCTCCCACCCCAGCCTCCCAAGCAGCTGGGACTACAGGTGCATGCCACCATGCCTGACTAATTTTTGTGTTTTTTATAGAGACAGGGTTTCGCCATGTTGCCCAGACTGGTGTTGAACTCCTGGCTTCAAGTGATCCATCTGCCTCGGCCTCCCAAAGTGCAGGCATTACAGATGTGAGTCACAGCACCTGGACTCTAGTGATGACCTTTCATTGGAAATTTACTACAAATCTAACAAGACAGCTTTACTTTAATAAATTTATAGCTGATTTCCCTTGAATATTGTTTATAATCCTGGAAGACTGATTGTTCTTTAAATCTCCCCAGAGTTACTCAGATAAGGATTATGGTCACTAACTTCAATAAAAACTGCTTGAAGATTTTTTATAGCAAATGTTGGGCCTTGCATATACAATGCAATTTTGAAGACATGACAATATACTTTTAGATATTAGAGTTAAAATAAACTGTAGCGGAAATTCAGAAATCTTTAATCCTTACTGTGCAAATCTGAATTGCATTTTAGAAACAAGTGAGATGCATCCTAAACCTCCAGTCTAGCTTTCTCACCAGAAACCACAGTTCTCTTCTAAAGGAGAAGGCCTGGGGGCAGTGATGAATTCTGTTTTAAATATGTCATAGTTACGATGAGAGTGGGGATTAAAGTAGACATACAAAAATGAGGGCATTCTAACTGTAATTTTGGGGTTAATCACTTAATCTCTTTGAACATTTGTTTCTTCATCTGTACAAAAGAAATGGTATTGTATTGTTTGTTTCACAGGATTATTGTGAAAAGACTTAACTCCATGAGAAAAAGTGTTGTGAACTCCAAATCACATGTATAAGATCAGCCTGACTGGGTGCAGTGGCTCACACCTGTAATTCCAGCACTCTGGGAGGCTGAGACAGGAGGATCACTCGAGCCCAGGAGTTCAAGACCAGCCTGGGCAACACAGTGAAACCCTGTTTCTACCAAAAGTTTAAAAACTAGCCAGACATGTGCCTGTAGTCCTAGCTACTCAGGAGGCTGAGGCTGAAGGATAACCTGAGCCCAGGAGTTGGAGGTTACAGTAGCTTATGATTGTGCCACTGTATTCCAGCCTGGTTGATAGAGCAAGACCCTGTCTCAAAAAAAAAAAAAAAAAAAAAAGAAAGAAAGAAAGAAAAGAACAAAATCAGCGTGTATCCACCACTACCACTTCTGCAAGTAGCCTGGGAAATCCTGACACATCTCAACCAGAATCACCTTCTCCTTTAGCATCAGCTCTTTCTCCAGACACGCCTGTCCATCCTGATGACATCTCATTCTCCCAGGCATCCAAGCTTAGAAACCTGGGTCATGCTACCTTGTTCCTCCACCCTCTCTGATGCAAGAATGATCCCTCCTTTTCAAAATATAAACCTGATCAGCTCAACCCTTTGCTCGATAATCACTGACAATTTCCAATTGTTCCTGAAAAGAGTCAAAACACGTAAGTAGCCCCCAAGACCCTGTCTTGCCTGGCCCTGCCCCACCCCCCGACAATGCTTTCCCTGCTTCTGCACTCCAGTCACACTGGCCCCTTTGGTTCCTCCAAAGCCCACTTTCCCTCCAGCTATGGAGCCTTTGCCACACTGTTCCTCAGCTGGAACTGCCAGCCCTAGGGGCCATGTCCTCTGCAAAGCCATCCTTGGCTCCTCGGAGCTGCCCCAGTGCTAATGTAATTGGGGTGAACAGAAACCTATCCCTTAAGTCACAGCACTTGTTATTGTTTGAAATTATATGTTATGTGATGTCTCTCTCTCCCTCCCCAACCAAAATATCATGAGAGCAGTGATTCCGTTTTACTCCAGTATCATAACCTCAATACTTAGCACCTATTGGGTACTCAAAATATGTTATGAGTAAATCAATCAACCTTGGGATCCTCTCCTCACTGTCGATACATTTAAGCTAAGAAAAATGTATAGGGGCTGGGCACAGTGGCTTACACCTGTAATCCCAGAACTTTGGGTGGCTGAGGTGGGAGGATCACCTGAGGCCAGGAGTTTAAGACCAGCCTGGGCAATACAGCGAGATCCCATCACTATAAAAAATTGTTAAAATTGGCTGGGGGTGGTGGCCTGTGCCTGTAGTCCCAGCTACTAGAGAGGCTGGGACAGGAGTATTGCTTGAGCCCAGGAGTTCAAGGCAGCAGTGAGCTATGATTGCACCACTGCACTGCAGCCTCGGGGAGAGGGAGACCCTGCCTCAAAAAGAAAAAAAAAAAAAAAAAAGAAAGTTTATAGGGAAGAGGAAAGTGAGCTAACTAAATATCTGATATGTGTTTGGAGGTACTGAAATAAGTGCCCAGTATTGAATACCTGTGATGGTTAATATTGAGTGTCAACTTGATGGACTGAAGGATGCAAAATATTGTTCCTAGGTGTGTCTGTGAGGGTGTTGCCAAAGGAAATTAACATTTGAGTCAGTGGACTGGGAAAGGCAGATCCACCCTCAATCTGGGTGGGCACCATCTAATTAGCTGCCAGTGTGGCTAGAATAAAAGCTGGCAGAAGAACGTGGAAGGACTAGACCTTCTGAGTCTTCCACCCTCCATCTTTCTCCTGTGCTGGATGCTTCCTCACCTCGAACATCGAACTCCAAGTTCTTCAGCTTTTGGACTCTTGGATTTATGCCAGTGGTTTGCCAGGGGCTCTAAGGCCTTCGGCCACAGACTGAAGGCTGCACTGTCGGCTTCCCTGCTTTTGAGGTTTGGGGACTTGTACCGGCTTGCTGGCTCCTCAGCTTGCAGATGGCCTATTGTGGGACTTCACCTTGTGATCGTGTGAGTCAATACTCCTTAATAAACTCCCTTTCATATATACGTCTATCCTATTAGTCCTGTCCCTCTAAAGAACCCTGACCAATACAATACCTCACTTACTCATCAAAAAATCCTACCAGATTGTACTGGTTTTCCACTGCTGCTGTAACAAATTACAATAAACTCAGTGCTTATGAACAACACAAATTATGGTACATTTCGGTAGGTCAGAGACCCAACCTTGGGCCAACATCAAGGTGTCAACAGAGCTGCGTGACTTCCATAGACTTAAAGAGAATCCGATTCCTTGCCTCTTCCAACTTCTAGAAGCTGCCTCCATTCCTTGCTTCACGTATGGTCTCTTCCTCCATCATCAAAGCCAGGAACATCACATGTCTCTGATCATTATCCTATAGCCACATCTCCCTCTGACCTCAACCAGGAAAGAGTCTCTGCTTTAAGGACTCATGCGATTAAGCTGGGCCTGCCTGGATATTCAAGGATAATCTTCCATCTCAACGTCCTTAACCATGGTCCCAGAGGCAGAGTCCCCTGTTCCATGTAAAGTAACGTGTTCGTGGGTCTGAGAGATCTAAATGTGGATATATTTGCCATTATTCTGCCTAACAAATAGATTGTTTATCCCCTTTTGATAGAGGGAGAAACTCAAGAGCTAAAATCTACAGCACGAGGAGGTGAGGGATGCAGGATTCAAATTATTTCTGGTTTTCCAGAAAGTGGGTCTGTCTCTCTAAAATGGTTGCTTCTCCATTTTAATAACTATTTAATAATTAGGGTAGCATAATGAAACATTTCTGAGAAAGTCAATGAGAAGTAACTGCATTCACTACCCAGGGCTGCTGCAATGAATGGCCATAAACTTGGTGACTTAAAACAACAGATATTTACTCTCTCACAGTTCTGGAGACTAGAGTCAGAAATCAAGGCTGTGCAGGGCTATGCCCCCTCTTCCAGCTTCCGGTGGCTCCCATCTTGTGGCAGCATAACTCTGCTTTCTGCCTCTTTCTTCACTCGGCCTTCTTCTCAGTGTTTCTGTCTGATATGGTTTGGCTGTGTCCCCACCCAAATCTCATCTTGAATTGTAACTCCCACAATTCCCATGTGTTGTGGGAGGAACCTGGTGGGAGGCAGTTAAATCATGGGGGTGGGTCTTTCCCATGGTGTTCTTGTGATAGTGAGTGGGTCTCATGAGATCTGATGGTTTTATAAATGGGAATTTCCCTGCGCAAGCTCTCTTGTCTGCTGCCATGTTAGACGTGCCTTTCACCTTCCACAGTGATTGTGAGGCCTCCCCAGCTACATGGAACTGTAAGTCCATTAAACCTCTTTGTTTTGTAAACTGCCCAATCTTGGGTATGTCTTTATCAGCAGCATGAAAACAGACTAGTACACTCTCTCTCACATTTTCCTTGGCTCTCCTCTTATAAGGACACTTGTCTTGGGATTTAGGATCCACCCTAAATCCAGGGTGATCTCATCTTGAGATCCTTTACTTTAATTACATCTGCAAAGATCTATTTCCAAATAAGCTCACATTCTGAGGTTCTAGGTGGACATAAATTTCGGGGGATAAATATTCAGACCACTATAGTGACATATACACAACTTACAATAAAAATATAAATGTACCATCGAGTCAGTTGTCTGAGAGGTAGCAGACGACCTCTTTAAAGGCTCACACTAGCTGTGAAATCAGGCTCCTCGCTGTGTGGCCTGCTGTCAGAGTGAACTTCAGCAAATACCACAGGAGCCCCTGACAGCATCTTCTCTGACACAGGGAAAGATAAAAAGCAGGAATATAAAAACCTGTCACCCATCTATTTCCATATTCCTTCTATCTGAATATTTCTTTCTCCCCTGCCCCCATCTCTTTCCATATGTCAGTTTAGCAGGCACCTAAGGAAGGCAACAGTGCCACTCTCAATATAATATTTATGAGATGGTTAAAGAATAATAACTGTGGTATCTATTTTAATTTCCATTTTAATCTTTTGTCCTACTTTTGAAAAAAAAAGGTCTAAAAAAGTACTGTAATTCAAGCACAAATATAAGCATACATACTTAATACTTTTTTTTAAGACTTAGGGTCTCACTTGGTCCCCCAGGCTACAGTACAGTGGTGTAATCAGGACTCACTGCAGCCTCAAATTCCTGGGCTCAATCGATCCTCCTGCCTCAGCCTCCTGAGTTGCTAGGACTACAGGCATGCACCACCATGCTTGGCTGTTTTTTTTTAATTTTTTGTAGAGATGGGGGTCTCACTGTCTCTGCAGGATTATGCCCAGGCTTGTCTGGAACTCCTGGCCTCAAAAGGGATCCTCCTGCCTCGGCCTCCAAAAGCACTGAGATTACAAGTGTGAGCAAACACACTCAGCTGCATAATTAATACTCTGGAAGGAGCTTTCTTGTTATTACTGTTGTTCTTGGTTGGAGGGGTGTGGGAAGGGGAGCCGTGTTGGGGGAGTTTAGTGTTACACATGCTGAGTGCAAAGCACACCTGGGGAGGACGGGAGGCCTCAATGAGGATGTGGGGAGCATGTCCAGGGCTGACCTTGAGATGAAAAACCAAATTTAGAATTTTCTCTTCCTAAATATTTTGAGCCTCATATTTGTAGCCCTTCATAAAAAGCTTCTTCATAGCCCTCATATTAATGACACAACCAAACATGAGAGTTAAGAATTAAGGAGTTAGTAGTTAATATTTAAGGAATAGCCTGGGGGTCCTGCAGACCTGGGTTTGAATAAGACCTTGGGCAGGTTGCTTAACCACACCTAGCCTCAGTTTCCCCAGCTGTAAAATGGACAAATGTCTCTAGTTCATGTTATTGTGAGGATTACATGAGACACTCAGCAGTGTGCTTTGCTGTGGAATAACCCCTGACCATGTTAGTTATCAGAGTCTCACTAGGTCCTAGGAGGAGGCAGGAGATACCTGTATTCCCATATGATAGCCTCAAAGAAGTCAAAAGCACACACAGCCAGTGCTGCAGGGCTGGAGACATAAATGGAAATCAAACAACTGCAAATCCCTGTTAATTCTCAGTGTAATTAAATTCCTGGTAGAATAATAAGGTGTTTCATTGTTCTCCCAAACTATAATCCAACCAGCAAATTATGTTTGAGTTTTTTAAACCATCTGAACCATAAGAGAATTCATACCAATTCTGAGTATAAAATTTCTATTATGTTGGGGAGGTAACTGTCCCCAAGTCACAGGCAGAGCCAATGAAGCCCAACAGGCACTGATGTTTAGAATCCGCAACAAAAAGGCTAAGACTCAGTAGAATGTAATCTAAATCATGAACAGGCCAAATCTGCCCCTCAGCCTGTGCTTGAAAATAAAGTTTTATTGGAACACAGCCATGCTCATTCATTTGTGTATAGCTGTGACAAAGATGGCATGGCCCATAAAGCCTAAACCATTTACTATGTTGCACTTTACAGAAAATGTTTGCCAACCTCTGCTGTAACAGAAGACATATAATGGGGCAGCATTGAGGAGAACCTGAAAATATCTTAAAATGCCAAATTGCATTCCTAGCGTTCTTGTTACTTTCAGTCTCATGAAATAGGGGTGCTTTATTTTCCATGATGTAGCATGGAAGGTAAATCCCCCAAGTGACATGAGCAAGAGGATCTTTTTTTTTTTGAGATGGAGTCTCGCTCTGTCGCCCAGGCTGGAGTGCTGGAGTGCAGTGTCGCAATCTCGGCTCACTGCAAGCTCCACCTCCCAGGTTCACGCCGTTCTCCTGCCTCAGCCTCCCGAGTAGCTGGGACTGCAGGCGCCCGCCACCACGCCCAGCTAATTTTTTTTTTTGTATTTTTAGTAGACACGGGGTTTCACCGTGTTAGCCAGGATGGTCTCGATCTCCTGACCTCGTGATCCGCCCGCCTTGGCCTCCCAAAGTGCTGGGATTACAGGCATGAGCCACCGTGCCTGCCCTGGAGGATCTTAAAGTTAGGAGGCATTTCTCCCAAGAAAGCCACTGGAGGATCCTGACACTCAGCCACAGTAGTCTCTGTGGCCTCAATAGCTTTTTCTCCCCCATGATGAAATTCCGCACGTCTACAGACAGTAAGGACTCACTCGGATTTTCTCTTCTTCCAGGGTTGGTGCTGGCCTCGATCCTTGCTCCAGTTCCTCCTTTTCTGCCACTTTCTTCCAGATGTCTTTAGTCTGCTGGTTATCCGGAGCCTGCAGATCATGGTACTGTGATTTTGTTTTCAAGCTATTGGTGAATTCTTCAGAGTGAGTTTTTCTGAAGAGAGGCAAAAGTGAAATTCTCAAAAAACATTCTTCAACAGGAAGAGCCTTTCCAAAGCATATGTCGACATTCAAATTATGTGAAAAACAGTAACTGACACCACTTACTGAGTGCTTCTAACATGCTGGGCCCTTTGCTAGGTGTGTAAAGACGTTAACTTCATCCTCATCACAACCCTGTGAGGAAGGCATTGTCATCCTCACTTTGTTATAAGAGCTCCAAGAAATTTTGTAATTCATCCAAGACCACATAGTGGTACAGCCAAGATCTGAACCCTGGTCTGCTCAACTCCTGGTTTAGAAGTTAACCTATTAGAACCACACCGTCTGCTTCCAATCGATGATTAAATAATTCCTTTATCTTCATATGTCCATGGATAGTTTTAAAGTTACAGGCACTAGTGGGCAGCATCCCAGCCCTTGAAAGTCCAATGCACCATCCACTGTGCCACAGAGTCTGCTTTGCATCCCTAGCCCTTGGGAACTGAACGGTGGTCCTCATGTCTGTCCCAATTTCCACTTCACCACCTCAGGGTAAGGCTGTCAACATCACTGCCCAGAGCCAGAGGAGGACACCCAGAGCACCCCAGGTACCCAGCAGAGGAGCGCCATCACCTGCCTCAGTTTCCCTCCGAGTTACCTTCCTACATCTGCAGTTGATGTCACTTCCCTATTGAAAAACCTCACCGTCCAGAGAATAAGTTCCAAACTCCTAAATCTGGCCTCTGAAGCAGTTGTCCAAGTGTATTCCAAATGCTCAGAAGACCTCATCATTCCCCAAAGAACCATCCGTAGTCAAGTCTAGGGATCTTGGTTAAGCCCTCTGCCTGCACTTTCCTTCCTGGCCTTCTGTAGCTGGAAAACCACTCCTTTCAAGGTTTGGTTCAGATTTCACCTCGTCTGTGGATCAGAATGATAGGTTCCCACCTATGCTTGGTAAACTTTCTGTTTGTACCTTAATTATAGCACAAATCACAGCCTGCACTGGCCGCAGTGAGCTGTGCATATGTCTACTTCTCCTCCTAGACTGGAAGCTCCCTGTTTCTCTTTGAATTCCCAGTACCTTGCACTGGGTAGGCACCTAAAGAGCCTGATTATCCAGCCGCCTGTATCTAAGTGATCTCCTTGGAAGGCCTGAAGCTTGCACAGTCACTGCATTTCTCACATATGTTCCTGATACTCAGCTGCGTCGGCCTGCATTGCTCTAACATGACTCTAGTGCAGCCACGGGTGATCACTGGGGAACTCATACACTCATACAGATCAAAACTGGAATGACAAGCAGGGAGATGAAGCAGCTGATTTGACAGCACTAAAGATTTTCATGAGGTCTTTAGTGCTATCAAAGACTTTAGATCAAAAGTCTAAATCAACCTTCTAAAGAGATCCAAAAGGTCTTTAGACCAAAAGTCTAAATCAACCTTCCAAAGAGATCCAAAGTGACTTTTGTGACCCTCCAACCCAACCCTACTCTCCCACCTGATACTGTGAGCAAGAGGTGTGTTTGCAATGTTTTCTAAAGTCTGGAGAGTCTTTAAGTCTCTGGTTGGTTTGCAGATCTCATACCTGGGCTCTTCTGCCTCCTGTTCTGCTTTCAGCCGGGCCCTCTCAGCAATAATTTCATTACAGAGCACATCATAGGGTTTATCTAGATGGTGTTCGCCCATCACCCATACCCAGACTTCCTTATCAGCTCCAAGTTTCCAATGAACCGATTTGCCATTCTCTGCAAACAAACACACAAACAAAAAATTCAGATTGAACAAATATCTTTAGTCACAGATTACTGTTTCCATCACTAAAGTATTTTGGGTCTTTGAAAATATATATATATATATCAGATGAGACAAAGAACTTCCAACTGCTCAGGAACATCTGTAGGTAGCAATGGCAGTGGTGGCAGTGAGAGGCAGCTTCAGTGAAAATATTTGTTTTAAAAATATTAGGGGTATGTTTTTTGCCCGTGCTTTTTTTTTTTTTTTTTTTTTTGACAGTCTCACACTGTTGCCCAGGCTGGAGTGCAGTGGCATGATCTTGGCTCACTGCAACCTCCGCCTCTGGGTTCAAGCCGTTCCCCACCTCAGCCTCCCAAGTAGCTGGGATTACAGGCACCTGCCACCATGCCCAGCTAATTTTTGTATTTTTAGTAGAGACAGGGTTTCACCATTACAGGCATCTGCCACCACGACCAGCTAATTTTTGTATTTTTAGTAGAGACAGGATTTCACCATCTTGGCCAGGCTGGTCTTGAACTCCTGACCTCGTGATCCACCCACCTCAGCCTGCCAAAGTGCTGGGATTACAGGTGTGAGTCACTGCGCCTGGCTGCATGTGCCTATTTTATAAATGAAGAAACTGAAATGGGAAGCAAGCATTCATTGTTTGCATTATCCTTTAGGGTAACAGAGCTAGCACTTCACACCATAAATTCTTACATCTAACTATCTCCCTGTAACCCAGAATTCCACAGCTGCTCAAGGGTGTGGCATTTGTACTACATTCACAGGCTTCATAGGTGGGTAAAAAGCAGGTTTTATTATTTTATTTATATTGTATTTTATTTGTATTTATTATTTTATTTTAGAAATGGTGTCTTGCTCTGTCACTCAGGCTGGAGTGCAGTGGTGAGCTCATAGTAGTTAGGAATGCAGGCATGCATTACCATGCCCAGCTAATTTTTAAAATTTTTTGTAGAGACAGGGCTTTGCTTTGTTGCCCAGGCTGGTCTCAAACTTCTGGCTTCAAGCAATCCTCTTGCCTCAGATAAGGAGGTATTTTAGATTTAGACCACCTTGAGTTCAAATCCTAGCCCTGTCACTTACGAGCTATGTGACTTGGACAACTTTCTTAAACTCTTTAGACTCAATTTCCTCATCTGCAAAATGGGAATACCAATATTTACTACCTAGGGTTGCTGTGGGCAGGCAGGCTACCTGTGCCAAGTTCTTCCCCTAGTGCCTGCCACATAACAGGAGTTCAATAGAGGTTAACTGCTATCATTGCTAGCCTATTATTTACTTATATGGCTGCCTCAGAGATTCACACCAGCCTGTGAGAAGATAATATAACCAGGTAGTATGATACTTGGTGAAGCTACTTAAATAACCCTTGTTTACAATTGGCCTCCAGGTTAGATTATATCCTAGTGCTCCTGAAATGCGGCCACATCGGTCATGCTCCCTTAAACCGGGGGCAGGTGGAGCGTACCTAGGAGAGGCCAACAGAGACCATCCCTGAGTCTGTCAGGCCTACCCAGGGCAACTGTGGGCCAAAGGTGGACCTCTAGTCAAGACCCCAAACTAGCAGTGGTGCTGACTGCATGGAAGAGGGCACCTGGCTGGTGTGTGTGCTGGGCCCTGTTTGATGAGCAAAACATCCACACTGGGATTGTGTCTTGTCCTCTCACACTAAGTCAAAGGAGGTTTCCAATTAAGGTGTCTTCTGTCCAACGTATTCTTGACTTTTGTACTGTGGCCTTGGGATACATTACCAAAGCAGGCTGCTCAAAGCCAGGCTCGTGCTTTCTTTTGACCCTTTCTACCCTTCTTGGTACAGTGGACACTCCTGCAGTATGTTCTAAACAGAGACGCTGGGCAGAGGGAACAGACTCAGACTCTGCACTACCAAAGAATTCCCATTTACTGTTTTCACTGTGGAGAAACAGCAAATGTGGCCTCCAGGTAAGGAGGGGAAGGTCAATCCCACCATGCCCAAATGGGGCTGGGCACCAGTGCCAGCTCCTGGCAAGCTCTTTGTCTGTTTGACATAATGCCAGATGGTTTGTTAACTTTAGAAAGCTGTCATACCTCATAAAACTCCCTTTATTACACTCTCTCAGGCCAACTAATAATATTTTTTTTATGTCAGCCTCTCAGCCTTCACCTAAGTAGTTCTCTGTCGGTATTTTTTTTTTGACAGCAAGAGGAAGATGCCCAGAAAGATGGCAAGTGGCACTGTGCCAGGGGAAGAAAAAGGAAGAGCAGAGGGATTCCAGCACCTCAGCTAGGACAGCCCAGAACAGCTCCAGAACAGCCTCCAGGGGCTACGGGCAGGGCAGGAACTCTTAGGGAAAAGGGGCATTGCTGCAGGTGGGGAGAGAAATCCTAGGACTGCATGTGAGCAGTTGGGGCTTCAAAGCTAAACACAGAGAAGAGAGCAAAGGAGAGGAGCAGAGTCAAGAAAGCTTTAAAGGAGGTAACAGAGAGAACACAGTGACCATAAAGAAGCAGTGGCTCTTGGCAAGAAGAAAGAGAATGAGATGGGAAATGTCAGAGTTAGTGAGATGCTGAAAAACGGGCTCTTGACAGAGTGGCACTGACAATGGTCTCTCTGCTGACTTTTCACCTCTAAGAGCTCTTCAATGAGCTCAGAGAGTGGGGATACTGGAGGAGCTTCAAGTGGTTCCATGAACTCCCTGAAGCTGTAGGAGGAGGGGGAAGTTGTTCTAGTATAATGAGTGTTAGCTGGGATACCCTCGGCTTCACATCAGATGAGGGGATGACTCTCAAGGCCTTCGTAGTAGTTCATTCTACAAGGCAGAAAATGAGTTTTTGCTATTAGCAAGATGTAGAGCTAGATGCTGCAGGTGATACAGGAATGAAAGGGATGAAAGAGATGTGCCCATTCCCCTGCAAGTAACCTAGAGTCTACAAGAGAAGGAGCAAGACATTAGGTGATGCATTTAATGAATTTTCATCACATATCTAATACGTGTCAGGCACTGAGGTAGACACAGTGTATTAGTCCATTTTCAAGTTGCTGATAAAGACATACCCAAGACTGGGCAATTTGCAAAAGAAAGAGTTTAATTACTTAAAGTTTCATGACTAGGGAAGCTTCACAATCATGGCAGAAGGCAAGGAGGAGCTACTTGCACCTGTAACGTCTTACATGGATGGCAGCAGGCAAAGGGAGAGTAAGAAAGATGCAAAAGTGGAAACCCCTGATAAAACCTTCAGATCTCAGAAGACTTATTCACTACCATGAGAACAGTATGGGGGAAACTGCCCCCATGATTCAATTGCCTCCCACCAGGTCCCTCCCACAACATGTGGGAATTATGGGAGTACAATTCAAGATGAGATTTGGGTGGGGATACAGATCCAAACCATATCACACAAGTAAACACTTAGGACAAGATGGTCTAGTCCCTGTCCTCAGGAAACTAACATTCTAGTAGTCCCTGTCCTCAGGAGACTAACATTCTAGTAGTCCCTGTCCTCAGGAGACTAACATTCTAGTTGTGGAAAGCAGACATGGATACTTAATTAATTCTAAAATTATTAGAACTTCAAAAGCTGGTGGGGGTGGTGTTAAAGGATGCTATGGGAATGCTTAAAAAAAAGAACTAAGTCCCTGGAGGGCCAGGGCAGCATACATTATAACCACAGTGGATTTTCTACTAAGTCCAGTGAGGATTCAGGGGATGGAGAGATTGCTCTGTAAAGACAGAAGAGAAATACGACAAGTTCTTTGTACTGAGTATGGGAGGATGGATATGGAATTTAGACAGAGAGTGAGGGTGTGTTTGACGCTGGATGCAAAGAACAACATGACCAAAGAACAGAGAAGGGAATCAGCAGGCAGCCATGGGCAATAGGAAATGAGGGTCTCCACCAGGGCCGAGAGGGGCACCAGAAGTCACCTGCACGTGTGTGGCATAGGCTGACCATCACACAGGGGAGCAGAGAGCCATGTGGCACAGGGTCCCACACACCTGGCTAAGGGACTGAAATTTAGGACCTGTACTGCAGCTGAGCCAGAAAGCTAGAGCAAAATCCCAGTTTTACCCCTGACAAGTTATGAGACCATGCATACATCAATTTATGTCTCCAAGCCTGAGTTCCTTCTATAGTAAACAGAGGTAAGAAAGTCCTACCTCACAGGCCTGCTAGGTGACAAATGCTCACAGTGTATTATTTTCACATTCTTTATCTGAGTGGCCAATGAAGAATGCACGAATATTTCTGAGCAGATGGTGCAAGGATTGGATCAGAAAGTGATTGAGGAAGCTCTGCTCCGCATGTCAGTATATACAGGATGGACCAGGGTGGCATGTGGTGGGTATTCAGTCAGCATTTGGGGAGAGAATGGGGAGAGACTAGGGGTCAAAAGACCAGGAGTGAGGCAGTCAGGTCCTAAATAGGGCAGGCATAGGAAATGACAGTATTCAAGAATTTAGGAAGGTTCAGGCCACTGGATTTAAGGAAGGACTCAAAGATGATGCCAGAATCCTGAAACTCGCTAACTGGGAACACAGCAGCGGACAGGCAGAAGTAGTGACAAGAAAATTCATTTGCTTAAGGAGTAAAAAAAAAAACAAGCTGTTTTGGAAGCGTAGACTACGTTATTTTTACTTTTACTAGAAATCCATATGAGGACTTTCAATCGACATCTGGAATCCAGAATTGGAGTCCAGAAGTGAGGCCGAGATTAGCCATGTAGACTTGGGAATGACTCTATAGGTGGCGTTATTGAAGCCACTGGTACAGATGAGCTCATAGAGAGAATGAAGCCAAGAAGAGAACCTTGGAAAAGCAGGTGCTTTATTCAGAGGGCAGAAGAAAGGGGAGGGAAAAGAGAGTCCTGATTGACAATAAACAAACGAAAAACATGGAGGATTCTGATGCCCCAAATAACCAAACAGTGGAGGAGACCAGGGAGAATGTCCTGCCATGTTGCTGAGAGAGGAAAGGGACAGGGCAGTGTCAAGCCCTGCTGAGATGAAGCGGAGGATGATATAGACTGAGAAAGCTCTCAGGCAGCCTCGGACTTCAGAGAGACTCATTCTGGGGACGCCAGTGGGGCAGGCTACAAAGGCGGGATGGAAGGGATGGTGAGAACTGGTGTCGGCAGTCAGCGTGTGCTCTGGCGTTTATTGTGAAGAGGAAAAGGAGGATTCCCTGTTATTGGTTCAGCAAGTATTTACTGAGTGTCTGCTACATTCCCACCACTGCTCCATAGACCCAAGGGACAGAAAGAGTACTTCAAGAGCACAGTTGGCTGAACGATTTCTTTAAATGGGGGAAACACAGGCAGGGAGTATACCTGGGGTGTTGGAAGAGGCGGGAGTAAGGATGTCAAGGGTGACACCCAGGGAATGATGGATAGAAGGAGGTGCAGGTGAAGAACAAAGCATTGACAAGGAGTTGAGGAAAGCTCCAGTCTGGTAAGAGAAGTTGAAAATGGAGATACACAGAACCCCATTTCTGTAAGCAGTGTACTTCCTTAAGTGTGCTTTCTTAAGGTACATTTCAGGGAGCCTAATGGGGCATGCACGTGTCTTTTCCTAGTTGAATACCGCCCAGGCATTCTGCATTTTCTGTCTGCTTCACCTTAAAATTACACGCACTCTTTAATCAGAGGTGAGTGAAGGAGGGAGCTTTTTATAGCACTTCGTTTAATTACAGGGTTTCTCTTTCCAGTCCTTGAATCATGTTTATACACTGCAGGACTCTTCATGTTTGCTATCTTGGGGGTTTCTTGAAGTGTTTTTCTAAAACCAACTTTTCTAGAAAGGCGGGTCAGTCCTGCTCAGAACAACACTGCCAAGTAGAGATACATCCACACTTCATTCTGCAGAGAAATCTCTAAGATCTGAGAGACATTTCCCCCTAGGGCCTCCTCTAACTAGGCAGTATTGAAAAACATCAGATAAAAGTGGGGTGACACATGTCCCTGGCAAGGAGATGGCCGGGCTTGGTCCAGTCCTAGATTGCAGCATGATGCCACTCACAGCACTGTTGAGTTGGATTTATTCCCAGGTGATGGGCTCGACAGGGGCACCTGAGGGTGAGATGTGGGCATCAGTGTGGATTAGCTCCTCGGGGGCAGTGAATGCCAGCCTTAGATTCAGCTAAGGTGGAGATCAAGGGCTAAGACTCACCTTTGAGGAGTCAGCTCTTGGTCTCCACCCCCACTGGATTCAACCTGATGGGCAATCACAGTAAAAGACGTGTGTGCGAGAGGGGGGAGAGGCAGGCACACATGCTCTCACACACACTACACACACACACACTCACACATACACACACACGATGTGGGGGAAGAGAACAGAGAGAAAGGGAAGGAGAATCATGTACTTTATCCCCACAAAGAAAAGACCAAAGACTGAGCCAACAGCTGCAAAAGAGAGTCAACACCAGGGCCTCCTATGAGGTAGAGGGGACAGTGGTAGCAACGTTCCATATTAACTACAGTGGGGTCTCATCAGGGCTGATGGAAGCAAGGTGCCCACCAACACCAAGGTTGTTACCATGCTGGCAGACTCCCAGAAACCACTGCCATATTGTCCCAAGTGGATCTTCCTTCCCTCTGGCCTCTCCTTTGGGACACCCCGGTTCCCCTCAACTGACCCAGAAACCAGAAGACAAATGCCTGACTGGCAGGGCCCACATCCCTTCCAACTGGTTGATGCCCATGCCCTATCTGTCACTAAATATCAGCTCAGGTGATTACTCACCTATTTTGCAATGAGGAAGTTGAGGCTCAAGGAAGTTAAATAACTTGCCCAAGATCACAGAGCTAGTAAACACTGAGAACAGAATTCAAAACCGTTCTGCATGAGTGATGGCAAAACTTGTTTAGGCCAGCTTACCTCATACAGTCCAAACTGAAATGCTTTGGAGGGTGAAAATGGAGCAATTGAAAAGGGACGCTGGGGTGGCAACCACACACAGGACCCCACTGGGCAAGCAGGGATGTGAAGTTGCCATCATGTTCTTTCCCAGCTCCACAGAGCGGCAGGGTGATGAAAACGCTAGGTCTAGCCCCGTATTCATTTTAATGAAGGCCAAGGCCCATTTCTATCAGAACTTCCTGAAATGATTCAAACTGTTGCTTTCCCCATTATTTCCTATATTTGTTAGCATACGTAACAATCCTGAAGTTATTAATATCAAAGTGGATTTTTAAACATTTTAATAAATTTTTATGCTTATTTAGAGATGAGGAGAGAAAGAAAGTTGGGGAACCTGCATGGCACTACAGCCTAGGGAAGCAGAGGGCAGTATAGAAACGAGAGAACCTCCGCTGGAAAAGCAGATGGAAGAACTAGAAAATAGAGAGAGGACATCAGTGAAGCCCATGGCTCAAGGAAGTTGACAGTGTTACCCAAAAAAGATGTTCGCCACGCAGCTAGGAAGCCAATCCCAGTTTAATTATAAAGCCCAGAGTTGGGGGAACAGAAAAGTGGGGCTCAGGGCCAGTAGTTCAGGACAGACTTGGAGTTGAACTGTATCTGAGTTCAAATCCTAACTCTACCACTGACTCATGCAAATTATGTCTCTAAGTATGTTTCCTTATTTGTAACAATAAAGGGGGCAAGATTTACCTGACCGGATCCTTGTGAGGATTAAATGAAATCATATGAATACAAATCTTATGCTTGGCACATCCTAACAGAACAGTATCTTGGTAGTGGGAAATCTCTATGGAATGGGACTGATGAAGCAAAACCCAAGGCATCAGAGACTAGGTGGGTGAGTGAGGGTCAGGGAGGAAACAGCGTGGCTCCTGGAGTTCTGGTTTTGGTGACTGGGAACAGAGCAATACCACCCATCATCATAGAGAGTAAAAGGCAGGACCAGCAGACGCCGGAGGGAGTTGGAGTGATGCTGGTGAATTGGGTTTTGCATCAAGCTTGCAAGGCTTACAGGTCTTCTGAACGGAGGTGCTCACCAGGCAACCAACACTCGGGTGAGAGGTCTGGCTTGGCAATCTGGGTTTGAGTCACTGGCATGAAGGTGATGTTTCACGTTTAAAGGTTATAAGAGTTGCCCTAGGGAGATAATCAGAACTTTCACCTTACCCTAGGATCTGCGAACCCCTGAGAGTCTATGAATGAGCTTCAGGGAGTCTATGAACATTGTGAGATTATACACAGAATGGTGTCTCTGTGCATTTTCCTAGCTCTAAGCTTTCAGTAAATTTTCAAAGGAGTCTATGATCCCCCAGCCTCATCTCAAAACCACAAACCACCAGTGCAGTGTGAGGCACCCCCTGGGGAATACAGATATTCAAGATGAAGGCAGAGAAGAAAAAAGAAACAGGGAGAGAGCAAGACACTCGTGACTGGGCGGCAACTCCAAGAGAGAGACACCAAGAGGCATCTAGAGTCAGAGGCGGCTGAGGAATTGATCAAGATAAGGAAGGAATCCAGCAGGTGATGCCCCTGTGCTGATAGCCCTACTGCATGCAGTGAGTTCAAAAGGGAAAGACAGGGAGGCAAACACTGTCAATGGCATGAACCAATGGCCTTAACATTATTTCACAAAAATAGAGGGAAAGCTTTTCATAAAGGATCTGCCCCCTTGGGAACAATGAGAACGCAGCAAAAAAAGCTGTATGAATCCAAGTCTGTTTCAAGGGCACACAGAGGAGCCCCTTCCGCACCTTGCACAGCAACCAGATCTCAGCCCATTGCATTAGGTTTCCATCAACTTGACATAGACCCCATGAAACAAGTGCTGGGAAACACGCTGCTAAGCGAAGGCGTCTTCTGTTTGCGTTACCCAATAAAATCACCCAAGAAGAAGGCTCTGTGGCAGATTCCTGACGCGAGCACATGTTTTAGATGTGCGCAAGGCGCCTTCACATAAAAGTCACTGTCATTAAGGTCCAGTGAAGGTAGCTTCAGACAAAAGTCACTGTCATTAAGCTCCAGTTAAGCTCTACGTGTAGTTTATTTGTTTACAGTGCTGGCTTTGGGAGAATGAGACCCAGGATCTATTCCAGCTGTGTCACTTACTGTTTGCCCTGGCCAAGTTAATGAACGTCCCTGAGCTTGACTTTCCTCATCTGTGAAAAGTGAATAGCAACACACACTTCAGGCTTAGCTGTGATTATTTAGTGAGACAATATACTTAATCTCAATGCTCAGGGTCTGATACCCAGTTAAGCGTATTGAATGCTGGCTGGTGCTACCATTATAGCATGCAGAAATGTGTACCACATCCATAACTATCACTTTTCTAGTAGCCACATTAAAAAAATCAAAAGGAGGCCGGGTGCCCTGGCTCACACCTGTAATCCCAGCCCTTCGGAAGGCCGAGGCAGGTGGATCACCTAAGGTCAGGAATTTGAGACCAGCCTAGCCAACATGGTGAAACCCCATCTCTACTAATAATACAAAAATTAGCTGGGTGTGCTGGCGCACACCTGTAACTCCAACTACTTGGGAGGCTGAGAAAGGAGAATCGCTAGAATTTAGGAGGCAGAGGTTGCAGTGAGCTGAGATCATGCCTCTGTACTCCAACCTGGGAGACAGAGCAAGAGACTCTGTCTCAAAAAAAAAAAAAAATCAAAAGGAACAGGTGAAATTAAGTATTTTACTTTACCCAAGATATACAAAATATCATCAGTTCCATATATAAGGAATATACAATTATTAATGTGGCATTATCTTTTCCTTCTACCAAGTCTTTGAAATCCGGTAGTTTACATGTATAGCACACCTCAATCCAGACTAGCCTCATTTCCTGTGCTCAAGAGCCACATGTGGCTTGTGGTGACTGCACTGGACGGTGCGGCTGTAGACCTCTAGCTACCCCAGCAAGCAGAGTAGATCCATACGTCTCTCCCTAAGTATCACATTCTCCCACTACAGAAATCAGAAATGATCTTCTCATATAGTACTAAGTTAAATTCACATGCTGATAGTTTTTCAGCCCCTTCTACTTCAGCCTTCAGATTACTAACAAGTAGACAAGTCGGGCACGGTGGGTCATGCGTGTAATCCCAGCACTTTGGGAGGCGGAGGTGGGTGGATCACTTGAGGTCAGGAGTTCAAGACCAGGCTGGCCAACATGGTGAAACCCTGTCTCTACTGAAAATACAAAAATTAGCTGGGCATGGTAGCAGGTGCTTATAATCCCAGCTAGTCACTCAGGAGGCTGAGGCAGGAGAATCGCTTGAACCTGGGAGGCAGAGGTTGCAGTGAGTTGAAATGTCACACCACTGCACTGCAGCTAGGGAGACAGAGGTTGCAGTGAGTTGAAATCTCACACCACTGCACTGCAGCTTGGGAGACAGAGCAAGACTCTGTCTTTAAAAAAAAAAAAAAAAAAAAAGAATAATAGACAAGTTTCTGTGATGCACAATACACAACAATTTTAGTGATGATCCCCAAACACTAAGCACAGGGGTCTGTGTATTCGTAGTGAAAAATGACCAGATGACAATGAAGGAACTTCTAAGTGATAAGCTAGAGGGGGTCAAGGAATGGCAGGGGTGGCCTATGATGTTTTTAATGAAATGAACAACCTTCAAAACCACCGTGTGGCTAAGAACTGCTAAGAAAAAGCAGCACTTAGCTCAGTACTAACCAGAAAGGCGGGAGAAGGGGAGGCAGGGAGCACAAGCCTTCAGGGATCAGATGCACGAGTGACCTGTCAACCCACAAGGGTCATGGGCTTAGCAGGTCTGCAGCACAGATAAGCACCTCTGGCAGCACCAGCCATGACAGCATTGCTTTGGACGGTCTATGGCTTTATCTTCAAAGACAGCGCAAGATGAAAGAGAAGTGATGGGATTTTAGGGGAAGTGGGAGTAACTTTTTCCCTTTCTGTAGTCAGAAGAGGAACTAATTTAATGCAAAATATATTTTTCCAAGTTTTCAATTTAAGGGAGTAATACACTTTTGACGTGAGATATTGATAGAACTTTCCCCACTTATATTAACATACTTTTCTCATGATCATTTGACTAACAAAGTTAACACAGGGTTTCTGAGAGGTAGATTCAAAACCCTACAAGCGAGAAATGTAAGCAAAGAAACTGAAATTATTATTTTAAGTCATCACAAGGAGACCAATTCAGCAAACACGAGAAACCCAAAGTCTAACAGAGTCTGGGCCATTGACTCTAGTGGCAAGAACCCTTTGGCTGCTAGTCCCCAAGGTCACCCCATCACACTAATATATGTTATGTTCACAGTGAACATGGTGCCCAGAAGAGACCCAATTATATCTGAAAAACTCTGACTGGGGAATCCAAGAAGGTGCATAAACCAGTTTAGAAAGAAAAAGAGTTATGTTTCAGTTTGGCCATGTTATTTGTTGGAGGAAAAGTTGTATTTTGGATAGTGCAGAATAATGTAAAATCCAACAGAACTGGGCATCTATTGGTGGTATAACCTTGCATATATTACTCAACTTATCTAAGTTTCATGGCCAGCTTCAGTGGCTCAGGCCTGTAATCCCAGCACTTTGGGAGGCCCAGGTGGGCAGATCGTTTGAGGTCTGGGGTTCAAGACCAGCCTGGCCAACATGGAGAAACCCCACCTCTACTAAAAATTCAAAAATTAGCTGGGTGTGGTGGCACATGCCTGTAATCCCAGCTACTTGGGAGGCTGAGGCAGGAGAATTGCTTGAACCCGGGAGACGAAGGTTGCATTGAGCCAAGATTGTACCACTGCACTCCAACCAGGGCGACAGAGTGAGACTCCATCTCAAACAAACAAACAAGCAA
Organism: Homo sapiens; assembly: GCF_000001405.40. Classification (NCBI taxonomy): domain Eukaryota; kingdom Metazoa; phylum Chordata; class Mammalia; order Primates; family Hominidae; genus Homo; species Homo sapiens. The sequence goes on along the minus strand of NC_000008.11, from coordinate 19,321,213 downwards.
AAAAAAAAATGAACTTCTCTAAGTCTCATCATCTGTAAAACAGGACTGTCACTGCTGACTTTGCAGAAGTTTTGTGAAGGTTAGGCATTATATGCATAAATGTGCTTCACATAGTGTCTGAAACAGGAGGTGTTTCATAAATAGTTGTATTGATCATAACAAGAGGAAATGACATATTTCTGTTTATTTCCTTGTCATGATAAAGGCATCACTGGAAAAAAGTTTTAATAAAAGACAGTAAAAAGTAAAGGACGCTACACTGACCTCCTTTGTGAACCTGGGCATATACCAGGGATGCAAGAGAGATTCATTTTCTCAATCTTTGAAACCATATGTGATTTTACAAAATTTTATTTTCCTGGTTTAATGAAACATGAAAAGAGACGGTCTTAGATGCCTCTGCAAGTGACCTTGAAAAGTGTGCTGTGTTTTCACAACTTTGGTATTCACCCATGACAGACTTCGCATGTAAACAGCAAGGCGGGGGTGTGGGGGTTAGTGAGAACGGAGTGAGGAGGGTGGACAATGTGTATTTTTCTGTGTCTGTATGTGTATATGCTTTAAGTCTTTTTTTTTTTTTTTTTTTTTTTGACACACAGTCTCACTCTGTCACCCAGGGTGGAGTGCAGAGGTGTGATTTCAGTTCAGTGTGGCCTCGATCTCCTGAGCTCAAGCAATTACACCACCTCAGCCTCCCAAGTAGTTGGGACTATAGGCATGTACCACCATGCCCAGCTAATTTTTTATTTTTCCTAAAGAAAAGGTCTCACTATATTTCCAGGCTGGTCAGAACTCCTGGACTCAAGTGATCCTCCTACCTCGGCCACCCAAAGTGCTGCAATGACAGGCATGAGCCACTGCACCTTGTCTGCTTTAAGTCTTAATGTACAAAGATTTCCTCCCCCATGGTCTCAAAAGAACCCTCTCAAACTACCAGAGATTCCTTTGATAACGAGGAAAAGTTTACATCTGAGAAACTCATTCACACTAAAAAAAGATAGTATTATGATTTTTTTCCTTATAGCAATTCCTTACATTTTAACAGGAGGTGTTCCCTAAAAAGATACCTCAAAGAAAAATCTCTGAGGTCTAAGAAATGCAAACACAATTGCTATAAATATACTGACACAAGAACTTTGTGTTCTAGTAGTAGCATATTAGGAACCAGTAACAATAAAGGAGATAGAAACCTTTCTTAATACCCCTCAAATCAAACCTCATAGGTGACTTTTTAATACAGCTTCAGGTTAGTCTGGTTTCAAGTAAAAGATTTCCTCATAGCTATGCAACTCCATGGTGAATGCTGTGTGTGTGTGTGTAGACTTCAGGTGGACATACTGCACTATTAGATTCTCAATAACATTTAGGATTCATCTGCCAAACTGGAACTTGCACCTGCTTTGCTTGTGACTAGTGTGAAATTGTCAAAGCAAGCCAGGAGCTGTTCTACCAACACATCCACAGAAGAAACGTGGATAAGTTTACCTTTCTTTGGTCTGGGTTTCACTGGCAGGGACTCCTTTCTTTCCATAGCTGCTTCTCTTTCTTTCCATCGTCGGATCTGTTCCTCTCTCATCTTGAAGAACAGGATCTGTTTCTGTTCTTCGCTGAGCTCTGCCAGTAGATCAGGATCTATGTACATCTCCGACAGTATCTGTTTCAGCATCTTTGCACTTCTGAAGTCTTTTATACTTGTGGCAAAAGTTCCTGAAACTGGCCTCCAGGTGTCCCTCCACCTGTGCTGGCACTTGGGCGTTTCCACGAAACTTCCCAAACAGCTCACAATCCTGGCTGACTGGGACAATAATTCAGCAAACTGGCTACTCAGACCTGGCACCAAATGTCCTGTCCAAAATGCTGTTCACTGAACCTGCAGAGAGAAAGAGCCCACATTCAGGCAGCGTGTTAAAATGTGTGGACACTGGCTAGGACGGGTTTAAAAAAAAAAGCTAGGAGGAAACACAGTATCACTTTTCAGTTCAGAGAGAAAAGAGAAGAAGAAAATCTGAGGCACACTTTGTTAAGAGTTTGTATAACCTCTATCCTGTAATTTCTAAAGATACTCTGTCAAAAAAAAAAAGAAAACAAACCCTAACTTTATACAGGTCAATCTCAGGCAAACAAAAAAAGTTCACAGAGGTTTGTCCAGCTCCCAACTAAGCAAACACATTATTACCCCAGAGCCTAACAAACCACCAACTGTGTGGCTGAAAAAAGAAAGAAAAAAAAAAGTCACAGGAAGAAATTAAAAGGCTCTCTGCAAAGTACCTATTTCAAAAGAAAATACCACTTTTGATATGTCACAGAGTAACTCATCCCAAACCAAACCAAAATAGAGCCATGCTCAAGGAAGAAAAAGGAAGAAATAAAAACTAGACCACCATGCATTTTCTGCAATTTCCCTAAAAAGTAGCATTAAATAAACAAAATTATGTACTTTCCTCTTCACAAAAGGATAATGTAATTTCCAGATAACCTACTAGAGCCATGAAAATCAGGGCAGGTGCAAGAGAGAACATCCATCTACATTCTGGAAGGTCACCGAGTTTTAGGTGTGCTTTTTCCAGATAACCTAGTTTAATAAAATCTAAATGGACAGACCAGATAAACTAGGGGGATGAAGAGGTCATTAGGTTCATAACAAAGGATCCTTCATTTATATGACTTTACCGCATGGCTCCTTGAAAGAGAAACCATAAAGCGAGAGTGCACAGTGGCCTCCTAGAAGTTCTCCTGTGGTTGGAAATCCTACTGAGGTTTCATTCTACTTTCCACATTTCTATTTTAAAATATTGGCTTAAAAATATTACCACACTGTCATACTTTCTCTCTCTATTTTTAAACAATTTCTAAGTCCCATAAACCATCATACTTTTGTAATCAGCAGGAAACTATGTAAATATATCTATTCTGGAAAACAAAAGACTTTGGATTCGATGTAATAAGATATAAGAAAAAAAACTTACTACAACTTTTCAGAATCACATGTGTCCTAAGAAATTGACCAATAGGCCAGGCGGGGTGGCTCACGCCTGTAATCCCAGCACTTTGGGAGGCCAAAGAGGGGGGATCACGAGGTCAGGAGTTCGAGACCAGTCTGACCAGTATGACCAACATCTCTACTAAAAAAACAAAAAATACAGAAATTAGCTGGGCATGGTGGTGGGTGCCTGTAATCCCAGCTACTCAAGAGGCTGAGACAGGAGATCGCTTGAACCTAGGACGCAGAGGTTGCAGTGAGCCGAGATCGCGCCACTACACTCCAGCCTGGGCAACAGAGGGAGACTCTGTCTCAAAAATAAAAAAAGAAAAAAAAAAGAAATTGACCAATAATTTGTTATTTATAATAACACCTCAATAATCTTACCACCTTGCCATGTGCTCTCAAATACGTTGTTTCTCCATACTATGTTCAAACAGTCTTAAACTTCAGACAAGTCACTTAGCTATATTATGACCATCGTAGTGTTGTTGGTTTCTCTTCGTTCACCTTGTCATTGATACAGTTAGATTTGTAATGCCCCTCTCACCATCTGGGGGCCTCCTTCAGCTTCCCGTCTTCCTCCTCTTCCGTGCAAAGTAGTTCCTTGATTTACACCTGTCTTTTGAGACAAGCACGCTCAACAGCTAGGCTACCACAGAGTGGTGTGCATACTCAGCTCTTAGATTCGCTGACTGTTCATTGTGAAGCCAGGCCCTTGATGAAACTACACCTATCCCTACTGACTGCAACCTATCATCTCGGCAGCATTCAACTACCAGAATCCAAATGGAACCAAACATTAAGAGAAAAATTTTAAAGGACTAAAAGTAATATCACGCCCTTCCCAGATCCACTTGCCAACTTTGTATTTTGCATTGAGATACCCTTAAAGGCTTGAACAGCCAAAAAAAAAAAAAAAAAAAAAAATGGATGTCTTGTCAAGATTTCTTGACTTTTGACTTTTTGTTTCTAGCAGCTTCTCAAAGGGTGGAGCCAATGAAATCCACAAGCTCCAAGATAAAGTGGTAAGAAAGGAGACAGAATGACTCCTTGACATTCCAGTAAATGTCCTTAAGTTCAATGGTTGGTTTTCGCAGAAATCACACACGGCAGAAGATGAACAGTTCAGCTGGGGTTGAGACTTCTGCTGTGTTCCCCATTTTGAATGCAGCGAATCCTATTCAAGGCATGGGTAGATCCTAGAATCTAAAACCCTTAAAGTGTCAAAGTCATATTCCTCCAGTCTCCCCCGCCCTGCATATTCCTGATAACACAGCTAACACTTCTTGTACCAGGCACCATCTTAATTAAGCACTCTACATGTGTTAACTCACTTAATCTTCACAATAACCCTTGGAGTCCAGCCCATCACTATGCCCATCTCACAGATTAGGAAGATAGAGCACAGGTCAGCAGCTGGTAAGCGGCAGAGCCGGGCAGTCCAGCTCTAACTCAGCTTCACTGTAATACACAACACAGAGGCCTTTTTGTGAGTTTATTTGTGTGCCCAGAATCAGAACAGCAGGATGTGGTGCCATGTATGAAATTTCAGAATGGAAGCCAGCAAATTCCTGCAGCAACAGAAACGCTGAACTGATGGTGCTTGACACAGGGCAGAAGCCTCCTCCTGGTCAACTGTAGCTAAGCTTAGGGGAGGCCAGGTGCACACACCCCAGCCAGGAAGGACAGCAAGGAACCGACTGTCACACTGACCCAGGTGTGGACATTGCTTACCCACGTATTCACCAGACACTTAGTCCCATTTCCCCTTGCACTTAGTCATCCACTTCGTCTCTACAATTTCCCCTTCCAAACAAACACTAAGAACAGCACAAAAAGCACAGCCTCTCACATGTGCAAGGAGGTTCATGGCACCTCTGTGATGAAATTCTCACATTATTTCCATTTTTATGTTGTTTTGTTTTACTTTTTATAGCAAACGTGGATTTCTAACATTAAAATTAACTAGTTCATCTTGAAGGAAAGACACTGGCTTCCTTGTGCCTCCAAGAATACTTGGGGGACCCAGCCGACAACTATCTGTGGTCAGGCCGTTGACGATGTGGCCATTCTGCCACTGCTGAATGGTACTGGTGTAAATCACCTGTCCCCCTCACCCTCTAATTCCCAACCCCTAACCCCCGCTCCAAGGCTTTCTCAGACCCCAACTCAAGCTCAGCACAGTACACCCAAGACACCCAGAGGCACTCCAGCCTCAACTCCCAGCTCCGCCTCTAGTGAGCGGTGTGACTCTGTGCTGTCACCTCACCTCCTTGGGACTCAGTTTCCTCATCTGTGAAACGAGGACTGGTTCAGTCTGTGACTTCTAATGTGTGGGTATCTGACATAATCTACTGTGAAGCGAAGGAGCCTGGTGGAGCCAGGGTAGAAGAAATAGAAATCAGGAAATTAACTAACTAGGGCTTTCCTACTTTCACTCCCTGACAAGGAAGTAATCATTGCTGATACTGATTCAAACTCAGAGGACTTTCCCATACTATATCAAGGGCAGCAAATCTCCGGTTATTCAAGATCCAACAAAGGAATAGCTCAGCTAACACAGCCCCTTTCTTAAAAGAGAGAAATGATAAGCAACAAGCCCACACCTGCTATTTATTCTGAACACCAATTGCTAAAAGGTCAGAGAATCCGTTGTTTTCCATGATACCATAGATTTGGCCTGATTCTCACACCTTCACACTGTTCTACAATACAACTGTCTTTTGAATAACTCTGAGACCTAAACAAAATACAATTTTAAAAGGCCTTAGATACAGGCTAAATCATAAAAATAGTAGGCGGGCACAGTGGTTCTACATGTAATCCCAACACTTTGGGAGGTGGACATGGGTGGATTGCTGGAGCTCAGGAGTTCAAGACCTGCTTGGGCAACATGGCAAAACTCCGTCTCTACATAAAGTATAAAAATTAGCCAGGCGTGGTGGCCCGCACCTATAGTCCCACCTACTTGGGAGGTTGAGGTGGGGGGATCTCTTGAGTTGGAGAGTTTGAGGCTACAGTGAGCCGAGATCGCACCACTGCACCACAGCCTGGGTGACAGAAGGAGACCCTGTCTCAAAAATTAAAAACATTAGGTCGGTGCAAAAGTTATTGTGTTTTACATGGCCAAAAAAAAAGTAACTGCGGTTTTTTTTACGTAAAAACCGCAATTACTTTTGCACCGACCTAATAAAATAAAAAATAAATAAAAGTATTGTGGTATGGACAGTGTAACTATAACATTAACAATACAGTTTGAATTCTAATTCTTTTAAAACAGCCAGCTCTGTGGTCCAACTTTGTTTTCTTATTGAAACTTTATCTTATTCATCTACCAGCAAAAGGGCTGTTTTTGAGGATGAAACAAATTACCAGAGATGACAGCAGTTTGTAAATATATACTATTCTTCAGAAATTTGAGATTACTGTACACACAGATTTAGTATACATAGAGAATTCCACTCATATGCCAAATCTATGCCCCTGTATGCTTTCCACTTATTTATTCACTATTTTAAAATAATCGTACCCAAGTCGTTGTTTCTATTAAACCAGCAATCAAACGAAAGCCTTTGGAGCGATGAGGAGCATCTGTTTGAAAGGGGGAGGTGCCACGCTTGCTGCTTCTCTAAGCTCCCTGGGAAGGGAGAGACAACTCAGAAAACCTACAAACTGTAGCTCCTTCCGGTGCCCGCGTGACCCCCGAGTCCAGGAGCGGGCAGGGGCGCCGCTTGGCTGAGCGCACTGGGCACCCGGTCTGGGTCTGGGCCAGCCCCGCCGCTGCAGCCCGAGGGAGGCGGCGCTGCACTGGCCTCCGCGCGCTCCCAGACCCCACGTGGGGGCGCCCCTGGGTGCCGGTGCGCGGGGAACGTGCTGCGGGGGTGCTGCGCCAGCTGCCACCGTTTCCCGGGACTTCCCTCCTGGAAGATTTCCATGCGCAAGTCGAGGACGTGCTCCTGCTAGGAGTCTAGAAACTCTAGGCCAGCCCGGACCCTCCCGGGGCCTGCACTCCCCGCGGGTGGAAGCACGCGCCGCGTGTCCCTGCCGGATTCCAGAACTTCCCCGAAGGTCCTCAGCCCCGGCAGACCCTCTCCCTCGAAGTTCCCCCGCCACCCCCTGCAAGCCCCCAGGCCCCGGGGACCGCCGCTCACCTAGCCAGCGGCTCCAGACACCGGACACCGGACACCGGACACCGGACACCCGCCGCGGCCGCTCTCGCCGCCCAACCCCGCACCTGAGCCCGCCCCGGGCGCCGCGAAGGGGTGGAGGCGGGGGTGAGGCTTCCGCCCGCCCGCTCTGGCCCCTGCGCCTCCCATGCACCCATGCAACCTCCGAGGAAATTCCCTTCCCCCTACTCCCACCCCACGCACACTCTCCCCAAAGCCTCGCCCCACCCCCAGCACCTACCAGTGCTGGGCGCCCCTGGGCAGGGTGGCTCGATCACCCGCCACATCCACTTGGCCGCCAGAAGCCGTCGGGGAAGGGAGGGAGGGAAAGGCAGAGGCGTCCCAAGCGGCGCAGGCGGGCTGAGCAAATACTCCGGCCCGGACGCAAAACAGCTCTTGTAGCCGTCCCGCCCGCGCCGCCCCGCCGCGCCCACATGCCGGGGTGACTGGCGGGGCGCAATCGCGGCCCCACCCGGGCGCCTGGAGGCTCTCCAGGGCCACTCGTCGGCGAGGCTGCGTGGCCTGCGCATCTCGGGCCGCCTGGCCCGCGCGCTGTCCCCGAGCTGCGGTAGTCCGGGGTAGGCTTGTCCTCTCCTCTCTTAGTTCATGAGACAGGGATCTGCAGTCTGTGATCTCTTGGGGACTGCAGGACTTAGATTAAATCTGCAGATCTGGGCCTTTCCACGTTTCAGAGCTCGGGGTTCCTTGCTAGGTGTAGGGTAGGAGGGTGCGCAGGCCCCACTTGTTCACTCTGCTTGGGTGCTGCAGGCCAAGGCGACTCTGGAGCTTTTTTTTTTTTTCTTTTGTTGACATTAAGTAAATGATCAAACTCTTTGGCACTTGTCGGTACACGTGTGGCTTTGTAGGACAAGATGAAGGAAGGAAAAGGCTGGAAGGAAGGAGACCGCAGTCAACACAGACAGGTGGAGAAAATGAAAGAAAACTGGGGGAAAAGTTAAGATGCTGAAAGGAGTCTTGAGGATTGCAACAAGAACAGGTTGGCTTGGTGCCTGAAGACGTCAGGGAGGAGCTGGCAGTCCACAGTTAGAGGAAATCTTGGAGGAAAATTGAGCAGAAGCACAGTGGAAAGGCATTTCCACTGGAGGGCATTTTCCATCCTAGAGGAGCATGTGGAAGAAAACCGCCTGCTTTGGTGAACCCCAGATTTTGTGTATTGGGAGAGATGTAATAAACAGTAAACACCAGTAGTCCTCTCCACGGACTACCTGACCTCTTTAGGAGCCTGACCTGCTGGATTCAAACACAAAATGGCATTTCCCTGCCTCTCCAAACTGCAGAAGCTGTGCAGAGTTACATCAAGCCTCGGGGCAGGCGGCATTGTCAGGAAATAAGACCCAGCTATTTAGGAACAATTCCAGGAATCCCATCAGGGAGGAATTTCTGGTGTAAGGCTTAGTTCCTACTGCAGTTTAAATGATAGCATATGGGGTGCTTTAGGCTGGAGTGGGATTGGCCCCTGGAAAGCTGCTATGACGAGGTCAGAATGAATCCTAGCCCTGCATGGATGCATCAGTTGAACCATACAGGGTGGTTTATCAGTTAGGAAAAATCCCACAGGACACTGTGACAGCCTACCTTCCTCACACCCAGTCTCTCTCCAGGTCCTGGCAAGTCCTTCCTTATAACAGCTTTATCACTGTGCTACTAACCTCTGTACCTCACTTTCCTCCTCTAGATAAAGAGTGTCTGCCTCGGTAAGTTGTCAAGAGGGTTAAATGAGATGCTACATGCAAAGAGATTAGAAGAGCTCTTGGCATGTGGTGAGTGTTCAAACACATTCACTCAGATCAGTTCATATCACATTAAGGTACTGGAATTCCACATTCCTGCCATCTCACCCTAGGCTGTGGGTTCTGCCCACCATGCCACCTACCTTCCAAGTCATTCCCAGGGATCCTATCCTCCTGGTATTCACATCCTTGCATAGCTCCCTGCCACTTTGTAAAGGTTGGTATGCTTGACCAATAGAACCCGGCAGAAGTGATGATGGTCTGCCACTTCAGAGATTAGGTAAGGAAACACCTTGGTGCTTCTATCTTGAAATAATATTGACAGCCCAAAGGAACGCACGCTGTACACAAATAATGCAAACAACTCAGAACCCAGACTCTCTTCCCTTTTCTCTCATCTGCCCATTTCCATCCTTCTTGTCTCGTGGCTCTTTCCTATATTTGCCATGAACTCTTCTTCTTCTCTTATTTTTATAGTTTCTTCTCCATCCTCTTCACTTGGTCTCCCCTCTCCTCTATCACCTTCTCTTTTTGTTTCCTTTCTGCTGACTCCTGGAATTTCCTCTTTTAATTGGCATGGTCTGGAAGAGAAAAGGTAGATGTTTTTCCCTTAATTTCAAAAGTAGACAATTCGAATTTTTTTTTTTTTTTTTTTTTTTGAGATGGAGTTTCACTCTTTTTGCCCAGGCTTGGAGTGCAGTGATGCAATCTTGGTTCACTGCAACCTCGGCCTCCTGAGTTCAAGTGATTCTCCTGCCTCAGCCTCCCAAGTAGCTAGGATTATAGGCACCTGTCACCACAACTGGCTAACTTTGTATTTTGTTTTTGTTTTTTTTTTTTGTTTGTTTGTTTTTTAGTAGAGACTAAGTTTGACCATGTTGGCCAGGCTGGTCTCAAACTCCTTACCTCAGGTGATCTGCCTACCTTGGCCCCCCAAAGTGCTGGGTTACATGCGTGAGCCACTGCGCCTGGCCAAGAATGTTTTATAATGCTCTAAAAAAAAATCAGGTGGCCTATTACTTGTGGGGCCTTCAGTTACTTTTTCCCTCCCTTTGGGCCAGTACTCTCAGAGGAAAACATTTCCCCCCTCCATGATCTAGGATGTGTTATAGGGACGAATGTGGGGAAGACTGCTGACAGGGGCTGGCCACTGACGAGTCACAGACATGGAACATGGTAGCACCAACATGTGTTCAGGAATGCTCTGCTGCAGCGTTCACTGCCAGAACTTAAAGAGAAAGCTAAACATCTATTTATTGGTTACTAATATTTTTAATTTGTCATTTATTCGTGGTAATGAATACCATGAAACAAATAGCCTACATTTTAATGGATGTGTTCCTTGGCCTTCCTTTTGGACTGTTGCTTAGGAGCCCTGCTGCCCAGGGCTGTCAAGTAAAATGGCATAGCATGGCCCTTGTACAACTGTGGGTGGGCAGGGGACAAGCACAGAGATCACTATGTGTAAGGCGCCCCCTGGAGTTGTGCAACACTGCCAGCCCTATTGTTGCCAGAAAGACAGGATAAGCCACTTTGCACTTTTTCTGAGATAAAGATTAATCCTTATTTCAGTTCTACAGACAATGAAAATTGCCTTCATATGTTTTCTTTATAAAATAGAGTATTTTTCCTGTCATATTTTATGATCAGCATCAGAAACCTCAACCACTTTTTAACTGTTAGAGCAGGTATACACTTGTACCACAGTGAATGTAACGTACAAATGAAAGAAAAATACAAAAACATTTAAACTTTACTAAAAACTGATCAAATCTCAAAATAAATCTTAATCAGTTCATCAATCATTAAAAATATATTTAGGGTCTGCTGTGTTTTCAGCTCTCTGTGAGCAGTTAGATTTGATTTTGAACTATTTTCATTTGTGTATGGTTCTGTATGGGCCTTTATTTCTTCATCTTCATAAACACCAAGATAAATTATTGGTCTTTACATTCATCTTTGAATCAATTACATTACTGTAATATTTAATGTTTTTCCAAGAGTTACCTTTATGGAGTTCTTTCTCTAAAATCCACACTCTGAGTTGCTAATTAGACATTTCTGGTCTCTCATATGTGTGTGTGTATATATATATATACATATATATATGTGTGTGTGTGTGTGTGTATGTGTATGTGTATATATGTATGTGTGTGTATGTATGTATGTGTGTATATATATGTTTTAGATGGAGTCTCGCTCTGTCTCCAGGCTGGAGTGTGGTGGCACGATCTTGGCTCACTGCAACCTCCACCTACCGGGTTCAAGTGATTCTCCTGCCTTAGCCTCCAGAGTAGCTGAGACTACAGGTGTGTGCCACCACGCCTGGCTAATTTTTTGTATTTTTAGCAGAGGCAGGATTTCTCCATGTTGGTCAGGCTGGTCTCAATCTCCTGACCTCGTGATCTGCATGCCTCAGCCTCCCAAAGTGCTGGGATTACAGGTGTAAGCCACCATGCCCGGTGGTTTCTTATATTTCTGTAATACAGTGACAAGCAGCCCGTGTCTCAGAGAACTGCTCACCTCAAACTTATGGGTGGAATTGGACAGTCGCTATCCCAACGATATGGGACATCTGCAGTGGCCTATGGTAACCAGTGCTTTTTTATGGGTCAAAGCTCTGAGAAAGGAGCAGAAGCAAACTTTTTCTAATATTCTGGTGTTCCTTGGATCTTCCCAGGCAGTTTTGATAAGGTCTACTAGACTCATAAAATCAAATCTCATCTCTTTTTTGGACCAGATTCAGAAATGCGTTTCCATTTCCTAGCTTCTCTCTTACAGGCAATCTTTGCAAAAAGTGCACAAATCCCTTTTAGTTTTATAAGGAATTTTCTGCAAATGAGTACAGCAGTTCTCAAGTACATATTAAAATAACCCAGGGAGATTTTCTTTGTAACATTTGCCTCTTTGTCTACTCCTCCAAGGAGTTATTTGATTGGGATGAGATGGAGCGCAGATATCAGCATTTTTTCAAAGCATCCAAGGGGATACTAATGTGTGGCCAAGGTTGAGAGCCACTAAAATATATGGAAATAAAGTTAATTGGCTATGAGAAATGTTGAAAAAGCAGTAATGGCACTTCCTGGACTTTACTGAAACATATATAAGGCTAGATAATCATCTTCTTCATTCTGGTTTTTGAGTGAGTTCCTAAACTCAGTCTGAGATAGACTTTCCACCAAACCCAGACTGTCATTTAATAGGATGGGAATGAAATGAGATGCATAAGATGACAGTGTCTGGCTTATTATGGGATGCGCAACATACACAAGTTTTACTTCTTTCCTTCCTTCCACTTCTTCCTGGTTTTGAAACCCCCGACATTCCCTCTGGCCCTTTAGCTGAGGAAGGCATTTCCCTCTTTGGCACCAAAGGCTCGCCCACTCCCACACACACCCCATGCATGGCTCCAAGTGTCCTCCAGATTTCTCTAACTGGAAGTTGAAGTGCATTCTGCCCTTTGGTAAAGTAAGACACTTTGCCTCTTCCTCTAAGTGTATGTTTGAATCAGAGCCAGCTTATGGCCTCTTCGATAAGTGCCATTGTTTAAGTTTGAAACAGAGTTGGTTTTGACTGGTGTGTTGGTATTTTAAGGACAATTAAATGTATACAACACCTGGCATAGCTTCTAGTGAAAGGGCATGGCCCATAGATGACAGATCATTCTACACAAATAGAGAAATATGAAAGAGGGTAGCTCCCTGAACCCTTCACAGAGAGGGTTCTAGATTCATAGAAATTATATTGCCACATTCACCAATTTAAATATCACAGAACTAGTCAGTGGCATACAGAATTAAAACAAAGACTTTCTGATGCCTAATCTCTTTACATAGTTATTACACTACGTTAACTTAACTAGCTCATTTACCTTACTGAATTTGAGAGTGAAAGTGAAGCAAGTCACCATCGGGTCTCTCTTCTAACAGACAGCACCTATGTCTCTTGATGGAGAGCAGATGGGAGCTACCTCCAAAGCTGCACTGGTTCATGGCCGGCTGGATGTGTAGATGACTCGGCTCCAGTTTCTACTCAGTCCTGGGTTCAGAGTTGAAGACCTGCAAGTCACACACAAGCTTTTGAGCCTGAACAAAGCAACAACTCTTTTTTTTTTTTTTTTTTTTGACTGGGTTTTACTCTATCACCCAGGCTGGAGTGCAGTGGCTTGATAACTGCTCACTGCAGCCTCAACCTCCCAAGCTCAAACGCTCCTCCCAAGTAGCTAAGACCACAGGCATGTGCCACCAGGCCTGGCTAATTTTTTTTTTTTTTTTTTTTTGAGACGGAGTCTCGCTCTGTCGCCCAGGCCGGACTGCGGACTGCAGTGGCGCAATCTCGGCTCACTGCAAGCTCTGCCTCCCGGGTTCACGCCATTCTCCTGCCTCAGCCTCCCGAGTAGCTGGGACTACAGGCGCCCGCCACCGCGCCCGGCTAATTTTTTGTATTTTTAGTAGAGACGGGGTTTCACCTTGTTAGCCAGGATGGTCTCGATCTCCTGACCTCATGATCCACCCGCCTCGGCCTCCTAAAGTGCTGGGATTACAGGCGTGAACCACCGCGCCCGGCCTAATTTTTTATTTTTTGTAGAGATGGGGTTTTGCCATGTTGGCCAGCCTGGTCTTGAACTCCTGGCCTTAAGCCATCCTCCTACCTCAGCCTCCCAGAGCACTGGATTACAGGTGTGAGCCACCGCACCCAGTGTGTGACTCATCTTAAGTACAATAAGAAGGTATTGATGGAAAACCAAACAATTCCAAGTGATTCTTTTAGATCAAATTCTGACCCAGAGAGGAAATATAAAGAAAAAACAAGGAAGAAGAAAATGAGAAGAGACAGAGGAATCAATACCAGAAGGATAAAAAGAATGGAGGAGATTTTTTAAAAGAAATCTGTAATATAGTTGATTTTATAAGTGAGCTTCACTTTAGTACGTTCCTGTAGAGTCTCAAATCCACACTTCTTTTTAATAGAGAAATGGTTCACACAAGAGAGAAAGGAAGAATGCCTCTGGGCTTCAGAAATTATCTTGAGAGTCTTTAATGAAAGAAGAATTCCTGCCCAATACTGAACTTAAAAGTATGAATTTCATTGTTAGTTTTGGTATGTGGCAAGCAGAGTTTCCAAATTGTTTGAATAAACAGTCTCATTAAATGCCCAGGAACAAAAGACTCCAATCTTACTTTTTTTTTTTTAAGACAGTATTTCCTAGTTAGATTCCAAGGAAGAAACATGTCACTAAAGATTTACATGACACTTAATGCTCCAATACTGTTTCTAGTCCTCTGAGTGAACTACAAATGATAATGACACCATAAATCTGTGCAGATTAACTTTGCAAAGAACTTTCAGACTATTACTTCCTTCTGTCCTCATAATATGTTTGGTGAGGCAGGCCCTTGTGATCCTCAATTGACACACAAAGACGCTTGGGTACAGGGAGTATCAATGACTTGCCTAGGTTTACATAGTAACTTGGGCAGTTGGGGAACCAGGGCTGGGACTCAAGACCTCTAACGTGCAGTCTAAGGCTCTTTCTGCTACACCATGCTGTCCCCAGCACACCCTCATTTTCCCAGTTACATTGCATGTATCAGGAAGGCTGGAACTTAACCTCATTATATTTCTGTTCCCAGAGCCTAGCTCAGTGCATGGTATACAGTGAGTACTTAACATATGTTTGTTGAACAAATGAATGCATGTAAATTTGGGTTAGCCTAGAGAGAGCCAGAGCCTTCCTGATTAACCTGAGTAAGCTCACTTTTGGAAATTAAGCCTAAGTGGCTCTGTAACTTAATAGCTATTAATATGTTCTATAGAATACCTTAACCTCAGGCATGGTTCCTGTAGCCTGAGTGTTCTAAGATGAGATGCTATTCTGTATAAAAGGAGGAGGTGATCTGATGGAGATGATGTTATTATCCTGTCACAGAATCATATGCTTTTATTTTATTTATTTTTCTTTTTTTTGAGACTGAGTCTCGCTCTGTCGCCCAGGCTGATATTCAGTGGCACCATTTCGGTTCATTGCAACCTCTGCCTCCTGGGTTCAAGCAATCCTTGTGCCTCAGCCTCCCGAGTAGCTGGGACTACAGGTGTGTGCCACCTCACCCAGCTGAATTTTGTATTGTTGGTAGAGACAGGGTTTCACTATATTGGCCAGGCTTGTCTCGAACTCCTGACCCCAGGTGATCCGCCTGCCTCAGCCTCCCAAAGTGCTGGGATTACAGGCGTGAGCCACCGTGCCCGGCCTGAGACACCATGCCCGTCCTATTTTTATTTTCTCTTGAAGTTTTATTATTTTTCCAATTATTATTCATTACATGCAGTGATATATATATATTTTATCCCTAAAATGTGAGTGATACTGATTTGAGTAACCATTGTGTTGAAATACAGCATTTCTAGAACTCTGACACAGTGATTAGTATTTACATGATTCATCTTACAACTTTAGTAATATGCCGTCTTGAATTATTATTCAATCATTTCATTATTCTTGATTCCCCAACTAGATTGTAAATTACTTTAGACCATGACTTGTGTATTTATTTTATTTATTGTATATTCCCCTCATGCCTAATGAAGGACTGACTGCACAAAGATGAATTTCAGAGTGTCTAAATCAAAGGATGTAGAATTCTCTTGACACTTTAGAGTAGTTTGAAAATGTTTGTAAGATAATTTTCTTTTTAATTTATATTGATCCAACTAAACAAATACTATAGTTAGAATGAAATGTTTTATTAAATTCTTCATAGTCTTTCATAAAAGCCATATATATACATACACATATACATATACATATGTGTGTGTGTGTATGTGTGTGTGTGTGTGTGTGTGTGTGTGTGTATATGTGTATATATATATATATATATATATAGTTTTGTTTTGTTTTGTTTTGTTTCATTTGAGTCAGAGTCTCACTCCTGTTTCCCCACTGGAGTGCAGTGGCACAACCTAGGCTCACTTCAGTCTCAACTTTCCAAGATCAGATTATCCTCCCACCTCAGCCTCCCAAGTAGCTGGGACCACAGGCATGTACCAATATGCCCAGCTAATTTTTTGTACTTTTTGTAGAGATGGGGTTTCACCATGTTGCCCAAAGTGCTCTGGAGCTCACGGGCTCAATAGATCTGTACGCTTTGGCCTCCCAAAGTGCTGGGATTACAGGCATGAGCCACTGTGCCTGGCCAGTAGCTATATATTTTTATAATAAAACTTTTTTTTTTCCTAGGGCAAACGATAGAGACAGAATTGAGGGTGCTACTTCTAGAATGTTTGAGTCAAAAAGCCATACATGGCTCTCCTCTTCCTTCCCTTCCTGCATTTCTTCTCTTCTTGCTTTTCATCTCTTCGTACTCACATGATATGCTTGGAACACACAGGGGTGTAGTTTCCATTGATCACGTGAAAGGAAAATGAATGATTGCTTCTGCTTGTTCATCGAACATGTGGTAAGCCTCTGTTAGTGCTGGGGGAAAATGAAAGGAAACAGTCCCTGATGGTAGTGAGCATAATATCTAAAAGGGTAAAATGTCGTGAATGAAAATAATTATAATGCTTTAAATAAAGAAGTAGAAAGTATAAGTGCCAAAAAGGCCACAGAGATGAAGTTGTGGGCATTCAGGAGGAGAGACATTACATCAACATGGAAGGATCAGTAGGGTTTTCATGGAGGATGTGGTATTTCAGATGGGTCTTCAAGGAGGAATCTGACATAGACAAGCAGAAATGAGACACAAGGCATTCCAGGCAAAGAGATTCTAAGAACAAAGGCTTAGAGATAAGAAAGATGGCCTTATATAGAGAACTGTGATTCTAGGGTGATGAAGAGGAGTTAGGAATGATATGGCCAGTGGGATTCTTTAAGATTAGACTGAAAGGAGCCAGGAAAGCAGGACCAAAATTATATACTTTTCTCATTCACTATTGGTGAGCTTTTAGAGGGGAGTACTGTATTTTAGAAAGATTAATCTGGCAGTACCTGAACAAGGAGAGATTGAAGGCAAAGTGAACATGTTCAAAACAAGGGCTTAAATTACAGTGAGAGGAATAAAAAGGAGGAAGAAAATTGATATAATTTAGATAATACTGGAGGTGGAGGCTGGTTTGGATCATGGGAGCGGATCCCTCATGACTTGGTGCTATCTTCAAGATAGTGAGTCAGTTCTTGCGTTATCTGGTCATTTAAAAGTGCGTGGTACCTCCCCCATCACCCCACTCTCTCTCTCTTCATCCTGCTTTCACTGCCATGTAATGTGCCTGTGGTCCCACTTCACCTCCACCATGAGTAAAAGCCCCCTGAGGCCTCCCCAGAAGCTGAGCGATGTTGGCCCCATGCTTCCTGCAAAGCCTGCAGAACCCTGAGCCAATTAAACTTCTTTTTGTTATAAATTGCCCAGACTCAGGTATTTCTTTATAGCCAGACAAGAGCGGTCTGATACAAGGATACAAAATAGACTGATGAATAGAACTGCAATGCTTCCGTACTAGTGAGGAATGGGGAGGGAGGGCCAGTGCTAGGAAGACCACAGAACCAGTTTCAGCTCCCATGCTTTAAGTTAATATGGTAGAGACCTCTACTACAATACCAAACAGCCGCTGCATTATCTTGTCATTTGGGCTTATGGGAACTTTGAAGGCAAAACAGGTGAACTGGCCTATGACCAACACAATTATGTCTCCTTCTTTTGCTTGAATTTCTAATTTCCTTGTTGGCTGGTGAAACCATCTCCCTCCAGAACATTAGGGGCCTCTTACAAAGCTACATGATCCTGCATCAACACTACTGCTAAATTTTTTATGTAATCCTATGACTGTTGTTATCCAACTCAGCCATCTCACTTACCCAAGCCCAGAACAGCCTCAGGGGTCCTAGAAAATCCCACGGTCAATTGAGTCAAACATCAAGAAGGCTGGCATGGGGAGAGACTAAGGGAGAAAAATGGAGCCTCAATTAGAAGGCCATTTTATGTATCTGCTTGTGCTCACCTTCTTTGAGTCTATGACTAAAATCTCCACATCAACTCTCTAAACACAGAATGTTCTGGAAAGAAATCTAATCTGCACACCAAAAGTTGTCCTGACATTATATTTTATGGTCTCTTCATCTTATAAATGGTAAACTCCACTGGTTATCATAAAATTTATTTTAACTTCCCCTTCTTCACATACCTTCTTATGAGAATGGGAGAAATTCATGGGGCAGAGTCACAGAGTCACAGGGACAGTTGGGATTGTGCATGAGGCTGAACACATAAAATTTTAAGGCTCTAGGATTTGGGGAACATTCTCTTAATAAGAAGTTTTTAGTAGTCTGCCTGATCTTTCCAATTTGGATAAGTCATCGTTTGCTGCATTACAAACACTCAAAACCTAGTGGCTTTAAATGGTAATACTGCACTATTTCTCATGAGTCTGTGGGTCAGCTGAGTGCTGGTCTTGCCTGGTCTCAGTCCCATTCTAGCTCCCCTAGAAGCTGGAACAGGCTGGAATTATCAGGCCTCTCCCTGCACGTGGTCTTTCATTCTCAAGGAGTCCAGGCTGGCTCTTTTATATTTTCACATTGTAGTGGCAGCATTTCAGGAGGACAAGCCCCGAAGCAACACATGTACCAATGTCCTCTTGGCTGAGGCAAGCCATGTGGGCTAAGTCTAGAGTCAATTAGGAGAGGACCATACAATGACATGGATGCTGAAAAGTGTGATTTATTGAGGCCTGTTGGTGCAACAGTCTACCAGACAGTCTAATATAGAATTCTCAGCATATGAACAACATGCCCTGGGATGCTCAATTTTTTACAAGAATTTATTCTCTGGTGTCCTGGGATGATTTTTTTCTGCAGATGTAGAGTGTCTGGACAACTCATAAATTAGACAAACTACTCTGGGGCTTTCTGCAGGGATCTGCCTATTCTTCTCCTCCCTTCCCTCCCTCCCTCCCTCCCTCTTCCCTTCCCTTCCCTTCCTTCCTTCCTTTCATTCCTTCTTTCCTTCTTTTCCTTCCTCTGTTCTTTCCTTCGTTCCTTCCTCCCTCCCTTCCTCTCTTCCTTTCTACCTTCTACCCTCTCTCCCCCTTCCTTCTTTCCTTCCTCATTCCTTTCCTCTCATCCTTCCTTCCTTCCTTCCTTCCCTTCTTCCCTTCCTTTCCTTCCCCTCTTCTTTCCTTCCTCCCTCCCTTCCTCTCTTCCTTTCTACCTCCTACCCTCTCTCCCTTCCTTCCTTCCTTCTTTCCTTCCTCATTCACTTCTTCTCTTCCTTCCTCCCTCCCTCCCCTCCCCTCCCTTCCCTTTCCTTCCTTTCTTCCTTCCTTCCTTCCTTTCTTTTTTCCTTCCCTCTTTCCTTACTCCCTTTCTTCCTCTCTTCCTTTCTCCCTCCCACCTTTTCTTCCTTCCTTCCTGCTTTTCTTTCTGTTGTTTTTTTTTCATGGAATCATTTGAATATTTGAGCCCCGTTATTAGGATTAATCCCTCAAACCCTTTATTTGACAAATATAGAAAATGAGGACCAAGAAAGGCAATGACTTGCCAGGCTAATTTAGAGGACATTAAAAACTAGAATTCAGATCTTTCAAGCATCACTCTAGTGAACTTTGCACAAGTAAATTACCTCCCTCTTCATGTCCCGTGCATACCTGATCTCCAGTTGTCTTTTTTTATGTTAAATTATACATTTGAGGACTTCTTATCTAATGTTTCATTTAGTTTTCCATGTTTCTAATTATTTTATTTGGCATTTCCTCTACTTTTCAATACTGAGAATGTTCCTTTATTAGTTCATAATTTTGAAATAATTTCATTTTTATCACTTCTAACATTAAATTAACTATTGGAGACACTAAAGAGAAATGGCCCCAAACCTGATCTTATAGCACTGAACCAGATGTGTTCCCAAAACTATGTTCCCTCCTGTTTATTACTAACTTTTATTTACCTTGTTTTAACTGCTATTCTGACTGCAAGACTATGGTCTAATACTTGATAATTTTTTTTCCAGGAAAAAAAGTTACCACTTTCCATCAACCAACCCACAACTTGTAGCTATAAGTAAATTCAAAGTAGCATCTTTTATTGATTTTATTTTTCATCAAGCCTAAAGGTACAATTTAACAAACAATGAAATGCCATATAGGAGTTAGACTTTTAAGTTCTTCTTTCTGCTGTGTCTTTTCTGTGAGTCAGAATTTCCCAGAACATAAGCCATTATGTGGGAATAGGTTAGGCATCTCTGGAAACCACATCAACACCATTAGCTTGTGCTACCGGATTTAAAGCAGGAAGTAACTTGGGCATTAGGACAGCAGGTCCCTGAACAAGTCATATATTTATATACATATATATACATATACATATGGTTCATGTTGAAAACAAAACAAAACCAAACAAAACCCTACTTATTACCTACCTCCTGAGTTCTAATGCTAGTTCCATGAGGGGCCTGTCACCCACAGTTTGCTTTGAGTTTCATCATGATCAACACCATCACTGATATCGTTTGGATATTTGTCCCCTCCAATCTCACGTTGAAATTTACCCAGTGTTGGAGGTGGGGCCTGGTGGTAGGTGTTTGGGTCATGGAGGTGATCCCTCATGTCTTGGTGTTGTCCTCACGATCTTGAGTTCTAAAGAGATCTGGTTGTTTAAAAGTGTGTGGCACCTGCCACCGCCAACATCTGTCTCTTGCTACTGATCTCATCATGTGACATGCAAACTTCTGCTTCACCTTCCGCCATGAGTAAAAGCTCCCTGAGGCCTCCCCAGAAGCCAAGCAGAAGAAGCTTTTGCCATGCTTCCTGTCTGGCCTGCAGACAGAAATGTGAGCCAATTAAATCTCTTTTATTTATAAATTGCCCAGTCTCAGGTATTTCTTTATAGCAATGCAAGAATGGCCTAAGACAATCATCATAATCATTATTAGCCATAGAATTCTCCTTGTCATCAATAACAAAATTTTTGTTCAGGCCCAAGTATATTTGAAGGGAATGAAGAGAAGAAAGGGGGCTACACTCAGAGTGACGTCAGGGTGTTTTCTTGGCTCACCTGAGTCAATTTCAACTCATAAGAAATAAAGGTTAGCTATTTTACCATGTTCTCCTTACATCTGATAGTCTTTGGAAAATTGTGCTTGATTTTGAGTGCCACATTTTAAGATGACATTGATCATAACGACTTCTTATGAGACCTGGTTGGTTGAAAGTGTGTTGCAGCTCCCCCTACCAACATCTCTCTCGCTACTGTTCCCACCATGTGACGTGCAAGCTTCTGCTTCACCTTCTGCCATGAGTAAAAGCTCAAGAAAAAAACAATAAAGTGGCAATTTTTTTTCCAGAGAAGAATGAATGAGTGAAATGGCGGATAGTTAAAGGAACTGAGGGTGTCTAGCATGGACAAAATAAGTCTTGTGGGTATGTGGGGACATCTCCAAGTATCTTAAGGAGTCTCGTGTGGATGTGACTTAGTTCATTTTCGCTCTACAAATTCCTTGGACAAAGTTAGGACATTGGAGATTTGAGACCAGTTATTTCTCACCAAGCCTGTCTTCTCTCTTTGAGGCAGTCATTACCTAGCAAATGAAGGACAAATGAGGACCACACTGCCACCTTCACCCTCTCCTGGCCCTGTACTGAGTTTTACCATGCTTAGCTATGAGTGTGCCTTCTTTCTAGATCTTTTCACCCTCTATGAATCACTGCTGCTTCTAGTCTATTACTATTGAACTATTGTACTAAAGCTCATTCCATGATGCATTTGAGACCAGCAGGCTTTGTCATTTATCTCCTTCACCCACTGCCACCTACTCAGCTCCCAAGCACTCTCCCTCACTCATAAACTTTGGCATCTGATACTAAATCTTCTTCTCTCCAACTCCTACCATCATCCTAAGAAATTTCAGCATCAATGTTAATGGACAACTCATCCTATATCTTAGCTTAGAGGTTCCTGAGTTTATTTAATGCCAGAGACGTTCTTTACCCCCTTGAATCTCTTCAAGACCTGGATCTTCTCTACCTCTAAAATATAATATTTGAAGATTGCAACTTCTGGAGACAGTCTCTTATGCTCTCAGCTTTCTCATTAACTCACTCATACTATACTTGCTCTTTTAACTCAAATGAATTTTTAATCCCTTGATTCTTCCCATTTTATTGGCTTATCAGCTCACTTCTGGCCTTTCCTTTTTTTCTCCCCAGAATAGACCTCCTTGGTTGATTTCTTACTGCCATTTTCACTTCCCTTCCTCCCCTACCTAATTCTTCTAGGAAAAGAAAATCAAGCAATCCATGAAGATAAAGCCTACTGCAGATTCATGGGTCTAACTTCAACTTGACCTTAAATACCAGACCCTTGGGTTTCCCATTAATTCTTCAGTTATCTGTGGCTCAGATTCCTCTCCCAGTGATTTCATCAGTGACTCCAACCCATTATCATTCTCTTCATGCCCTTTCCCTCTCAATTTCAGCAGATGACCTTGCCTCCCTTCTTGAGAAAATTGATGACTTTACACATGGTTGCTGTATCAGTCAGCACTCTTCATAATAAACAACAGAACCCAGTCTGCTGGTTGAATGCCACAGTTGTTACAGGAATCTCCAGGAAAGCCAGAAAGCCAGCTTCGGAGCTATCCAGCCCCAACCATGCCAAGAGGGCTGTTGTGGTGAGCACCACTGCCGGAATCCAAACGTTCGCTAGAACCATGCATTGCTAATGCTTAGAACTGGAAACCGGAAGTTCTGTCCCTATTGTGTCTGAACAGAATATGGAGTCTCCATGCACCTACCTCCTGACATTGTTCCCTTCCAAGTCAGCATCTCATGCCGAAGCATCTGACTGATGGAAGTGACCTCACATGCCTGCACTTTAGTGGCAAATGATGCCAGGAGAATGAGTTCTAGTTTCTACCTTGGGGAATCAGGATTCATAATGTGGAAAACTCTTCAAGTATAGGAGTGTTCAAGAGATGCTTCAGAGCTGCAAACATGATAAACATCTCCCATAATCTTTTAGCTTCTCATTCTTTGACCAAAAACTTTATCTCCTGCGTACCCATTCCTACCTCCTTTCCTCTCATCACAATGCCTTCTACTTTGAAGTTCATCCTCTTAATTTCTATGCTTAACTTCATCCCTTTCTGCTTTTGTGTCCTCTATCCTCTCACTACTATATTCTGAATCTTTCCCCATTTTGACATTTCTTAGTTTACGAATATATTCAAGGTTCTCCTATCCTAGAAATCCCTCCCTGGACTTCCTCAGTACATTCTCATTTGCTTCTCAGGTGAACTTCTTAAAATAATAGATTCAACTAACACTGCCCATGTCTTCATCTACAATTCACCACCAACCCATTGTTATCAGATTCTGACCCATGATTCAGTGCCCCAAACCTGTTCTCCACTGAAACTGCTCTTACTGTGGCAAACAAATGACCATCAGCTTGTCACACCTAATGCACATGGATTAATTCCTCTAACTCACAGCTCCTATCTGCTTGTTTTGACCCTGGAGATGATGCCTGTTTCTTGAAACTTACTTCTCCTTCAGCTCCTGTGAGTGCCCACTCTCCTGGTCTTCTGAACTTTTCTAATCAGTCCTTAATGCTTCTTCCTGCAATGCTCATCTGCCTCTTTACCTTTAAATGCTGGAGTTCCTAAGAGTAGTACCCTCCCTTCTGACTCCTCTGATTATAATGACTCCACAAACCCTGCTTGGGTGACTTCATCTGCACACCCTTTTAAAATCCACATGTCAATGCCTCCTAAGTCTTTACCTTTAGTACAGATCTCTTCCCTGAAATTGTGACTTGGATAACAAATACCTGATGCATATGTCCACAAGAGCATTCCATATGAGTGTCAACTCAACACAGCACAAACAGAATTCATATTTTCTCTTTCACTCTAATCTCTTTTAGTTGGTTATACTAACCAGCCCCTCAAGCTATTCTTGGCTTCCCCTCCCCTTCACTATTTGTCATCTCATGTCAATTCTGATCAGGCGATGTGAATTCTAATGGCCAAATATTTCTTGAACTCTTCCCAGCCTCTACAGCTTTGCTGTCATTGGACCAAGGTCTCATCATCTATTTCCTAATTTCTAACTTGTATGGTCTCCCAACTGGTCTCCCTTCTTCTTATCTTATCTTCTCCAAATCCATCTTCTATGGAGCCACAGAAGAAATATGCTAAAAAAAATGTTAAGCCAACTGTGTTTATAGCACCTCAAAACCCATCACTGAAAGAGTAAAGTCAAAGCTCTATAGACCCAAGGCAAATTCCCGTCTTTCTCTCCAGCTTCATCCTTTAATCTGTCTCTCACTTTTGGCTTCAAAACAGTAAATAATGTATCCAGTTTCTTGTACTTGTACCTCCCATGCTCTTTTTGGCTTCTCTGTCTTTGTACATACTGTTTTGCCTTGAATCCTCTTTCCTTTTTCCTTCCTGCACTGGACAAACCCTCACTCCACAAACCAAAAACAAAACAGGAGCTAACTCCTTCTCATCCTTTAATACTCAGCTCAGTCATCAGATCCTCCACAAAGCCTTTCCTGACCTCTTTTCTCCTCCCCTGTAGAGATATGCCCCCTTGTGAGAGCTCCCATAATACCTATTACGTACTCTTCAAAGTACTTACTGAATATTTTATAATATCAAGTTGTAATAGGCCTTTATGCCCTGTTAGACTGTAAATGTCTTTTTTAATGGAGTGATTTTATTATGTTATTTTAAAAATTGACACATAATAGATTTACATATTTTCCAGGTATCTGTGATAATTCAATACATTCATATGTAATTTATAAAGATCAAATCAGCATAATTAGATTATTCATCACCTTAAGTATTTGTCTTTTCTTTATGTTAGAAACACTTGAATTAAGACTAAATTTCTTATGGGCAAATTTTGTCTCATTCCTTGTTGTAATCCCAGAACTTGGTAAAGTACTTGGCATCCAGTAGACACTTTATGCATGACTGACAAATCAATAAAATAATAGATTACTTTTACAAACCCTGAAGTCTAATTTTGGTACCTAGATGCGAATCCTCTCATGGTCCCTTGTATGAAAAATGGCTCTGTCATTTAATAACCTTGTGTATATCTAAGATTTTCAAGGCTACCAAAAGACATTTCTAATAGCACTTTAAAAGGTGTTTACACAGTTGTATCATCAGTATCAGAAGCCTAGCACAGTAAAGAGTACTCCTTGTTTAAAATTAAGAAGCAACCCTAACACTGACCCATGAGCCCCGCTGGATGGATGATTAGAGCATGTCCAATGTTGGAAGGCAAAATGAGAAGAAAGACTACACCAACAGAAAGTCAAATATCCAGTGCATTTGCAATCTTTGGGCTGAAATTAGAGCTAGTGAGAGTTTGAAAGATACTTATTAAACTACAAGACAAATGAATCATTAGGAAGGGGGATTGGAATAAATAGTACGGTGAAATAAATATATTTTCTTTAGACACCCAAAAAGGAAAGAAGCCCTTATTGCATGCATTGACAATGGCGCAACATTTAAAGGCTTGTAAGTTCCCTGAATTGACACGCTCAGTCCTTAAATGGTCTAACCCTTAGTTAAGGAACTATTTTGAAATCCACTTGTAGGCAATTGCTAAGCAGAACTGAAGGCCACTATGTAAGTTACCAGGATACCAAGTAGGATTCACAGGGACCGATGTGTTCCTTCCTTCTGTGAAGTGAAAATGGAACAGTGAAGACCACTTTATCTGCTGCTAAACAAAGTACTGTCAGACCCCCAAAACAGCCAGATAGCCAGAAATCTTGGGAAGTTAAATGTATATTTATTTTAACAAAGGAAAATTTTGAGTTGATGTTCATTAATTGTCTGTATTCATGTGAGTCCCCAGGGAAACTTTTCCCAAAGGTAGAATATGGGTTCTCAGAGTAAATGCCACCAGGTAAAAATATTTTTTCCTCTTTATTTAATAAACTGTCGCCTTCTACAGGCTGCAGGCTATAGACATTACAGTGTAATGAAGATGACAAAAATGTGTTACAGCGCAGTAGTATAAATTTTTGTAGGCACAAATGCTAGGTTTGAATTACAAGCATACAATTGACTTTTATTAAGATAGAAATAGTAGGTGGGCTATTTTTAATTTTGAGTTGTGTAGTTCATGATAAACTGGTCACTGTCAATGAGAGCCATGGCTACACCCATGAGCCCGTAACTGAGGGAATCCTGTGATCCTTCTAGGGCAGCCTATGGAATGGTTCCTGCTGTTCTGTTAACTTTATTGGAACCCCTGTCCTGGGAACTGCTGTCCTGGGTCTTGCCAGCTGTTGGCATGAGGCCACCAACCACTCCTCCCTGCACTGTCAGGATATGTAGCCCTGTACTCTTCCTGGCCAGGGATCCTCCCCTTCCCTATGTGGGTCTCAGTGTGACAACAGGCAGCATCAGGATTGGTTTCTGTTCCACATGTAGGGGATGGCTGTGTTTTTGGCAGGGAATTAAATTCATTAGAGAACAGAAGAAACTTTTTTGCAGCTCCATTTTTGGAAGTGGTGAATTAGTCATTAACTAAAACACTGATGGCTCTGGAAGTGATCCCCTCCAAGCTAAACTCAGTTCTCTTGTAGACATGGCCTGGAATTGAAAGACGGGTGGCTGTTTGGAACAGAACAAAGAATACTTGAGGAATGGGAAGAAGAGTGAGGATACCTGGAGGCTATCTTGGCTCTAACAGAGCAAACAAGGGGACCATGGCTCAGTCAATCCTCTCTCCGGCCCCAATGTCCTTATCTACACAATGAAAAACTTGCAGGGAAAGGAATCTAAAAGTCCAAAATTTGACCCTTCCATGAATCATGAGAATCAGACAACAAATTAGCCTGAGAATCTGAGTTAAGTGTGATTAAAAGCATATTCTATACGTTTCTAAATTTCAGCAAATATTTATGTTTATAATAAAGAACAAATGAGAAATGAAAAAGAGCAATAAATGAGAAAGATTTTAATAGTGCCAACAATCTGGTTTTTCCAGCTCCTGACAAGGTTTATCCAGTCATCAATCTATGCCTTTTCTTCTCTCACAAATTAGGCACCTAATGGTTTGAGGTTTAAGTGAGAAATGACTCAAGACTAAAAATTCTGGTTCGTCAGTTGGACTAGAGGCATTTTCCTATAATCGCTTAACTTTTTATTTTCATTCTTCAAGATTAATTTGAAATCCACAGGCAGGCCAGTTATATGTAGCATTGATGTGTCACAGTGATGGCAGTTTGCTGGAGCCTCAAAGGAACAAGGTTCTATCTAGCCTGGGCAATGTAGTGAGACCCCATCCCTACAAAAATTTTTCTTAATAACCAGGTGAGGTGGATCGTGCCTGTAGTCCCAGCTGCTTGGGAAACTGACGAGGGAGGATCACATGAGCCCAGGAGTTTAAGGCTGCAGTGAGTTATGATTGCACCACTGCACTCCAGCATGAGTGACAGAGCAAGACTCTGTCTCAGAAAACACACAAACACACACACATACACACACAAATCAAGGATCTGGAAGGATATAAATGCCCTCCTGTGTTTCTCGTGATGCAGCATCTAGATGAATTTCAAAACTGCTTTGCCGTCTACCGAAGGTCAAATGAGGTCTGATCCACTGCCCATCGGCTAGTGGTGATTAGTGAGAGCTGATGCAGAGGAGACTTTGGAGATTAGACACGGTGATGGGATTCCCACACCTGTGCAGCCTTCCCAAATCCTTCCTACATTCCCAGCTTGTTGTCCAGCACTCTCAAAATAAGTGTTACAAATGCATGGGCACCCATATGGAGCTGATATGTTTGAATTTTTTCAATGACAAGTTTCTAAGATCAAATTCAACAGTAAAAATAAAAAATACATGTCAAGTGCTAGTATGTTCTAAGCACAGTGGTTGGTAGGGGAATATGTGAAAAAGCAAGATAGAGAAGCTTCTGCCGTCAAGGTTTTAGTCCAGTGGGTAAGGGACTAAAAATCGATTGATCAAGCAAAGATTTTAATAGGTTTCTGCCAGGCTCCTATTTGCAGAAGACCAGGATTATTAGGGCAAAAACATCACTCAGACTTTAAGCGTCCTGCCCATCACCTTCTCTCCCCAATGTGGTTACCTGAAACCCCACACATGACAGGATGGATTTAAACACTCAAAACACGAATGAAGTATCCTCTTCTCTTATCTCCCTGGGAGTCTGCTCCCTCTTCTGTCTTTGCCTGGCTCTAATTTTGTCCTCTGACTACTGTATACTTTGAAATTAAGAAAATGGACAGAATGGGCCAGGTGCGGTGGCTCATAACTGTAATCTCCGCACTTTGGGAGGCCGAGGTGGGTGGATCATGAGGTCAGGAGATTGAGATCATTCTGGCTAACATGGTGAAACCCCGTCTCTACTAAAAATACAAAAAAAAAAAAAATGATCTGGACATGGTGGCGGGCACCTGTAGTCCCAGCTACTCGGGAGGCTGAGGCAGGAAAATGGCATGAACCCAGGAGGCAGAGCTTGCAGTGAGCTGAGATTGTGCCACTGCATTCCAACCCGGGCGACAAAGCGAGACTCCGTCTCAAAAAAAAAAAAAAAAAAAGAAAGAAAATGGACATAATGATCACAGGTTATTACTTCCATCCACAGTTTATTACCTCCATCTGCCTTGAGCTGTGTGTGTTTCTAGATCCCATGGCATAGATAGACAACACAATGTTGGCTTCCATGCAGGTGTAAGTGACATGTAACTTATGCGCAGCATATATCCATGTGGACTTTCTCATTCCTCACCCCTTTTATTCTCTCCAGCTGCTTCGTACAACTGGATATGGGATTGAGGAAAAGAGTTCAGAGACCACTGCTTTATGTGAATTGGTGTATCCTTTAAGAAACTATTCAAGGCCGGGTGCGGCGGCTCACACCTGTAATCCCAGCGCTTTGGGAGGCCGAGGAGGGCAGATTACCTGAGGTCAGGAATTTGAGACCAGCCTGGACAATATGATGAAACCCTGTCTCTACCAAAAGTATAAAAATTAGCCGGGCATGGTGGTGCACACCTGTAGTTCCAGCTACTCGGGAGGCGGAAGCAGGAGAATTGCTTGAGCCTAGGAGGCAGAGGTGGCAGTGAGCTGAGATCTCACCACTGCACTCCAGCCTGGGCAACAGAACGAGTCTCCACTTGGCACAGGCGGTGGGTGGGGGGTGGGGGGAGAAGAAACAATTCAAGTAGCCTTCCATGAAACAAGAAAAGCTTACACTAATTGAACATTTACTATGTGCTGGACACTGAGTATCTTACGTGTTTTAATTCATTTAACCGTCAAAGTAAACCTTTTGTTATATCTGTGTTACAGATGAGGAAAAGAAGGCAGAGAAGTTACTTGCCAAAGATTAAGAGTGGAAGCGCTTGGATATCAGTCCAGGTTGTTAGATTCGCATGTTTGTGTCCTTAACCTTTATGCATTATGCCTTCCTGGAATGAAAAATGGATTAGGAGTCTTCTTTGTCACATTTCACATTCCTCTTGAATTTGTGTCAGCAAAGTTGCAAACCTAAAGTATGCTCGGCATCCACAGCATCATCCACAGAATCTAATCTATCTGCAACGCTGGCCTCCCTGCCATGAAGCAACAGCATATCTCTGAGTCACTGTTGGCGTGAGCATCTGGCTAGCACTTACTGTTTCCAAGCCAGCATGCCTGTCTGAAAGTGAAGCTGTCTAACCAGCTTTTCAACTGACATCGCATGGGGAAATAATTTTTCAAGGCGACTCTTTACTTTTATAACTTCCTTGGATAGTCGTATTGTTTGAGTGGTTATGAAACACAGCTTGAAAAGTATTCTTTGATTTAAATACTTAGAGACGTAGTGAATGAAGCATAACAATTTTTAGTCATTGCAAAATGTTTTGCCTCCGTCAAGTATGCTTCATTATTTGGATTGTTGAATGGTCAATCAGTATAATGCTTTTGAAAGGGAAACCATTCTCTGAAAATCGTAAGCGTATTTATTAATAGTAATCATTTCCTGCTTCTTGACCTTCATGGATGTAAATCTATGCTGTCTTAGGTCGTTTGATTGTTTCACATGTGTAAATCTTGACTGTACATCCAGATTTTAAATTCCTTAAGGACATATCAAGACAGCTAAGCACACAATAAGTGTAAAACCTAATAAATACTGTTGCCAAAACAAATAGAAAATATACAGATACTAAATTATCATTAGGTACTAAAAATTAATTTTTTTTTTTTTGAGACAGGGTCTCACTCTGTCGCCCAGGCTTGAATGCAGTGACATGATCTCGGCTCACTGCAAACTCTGCCTCCTGGGCTCAAGATATTCTCCTGCCTCAGCCTCCAGAGTAGCTGGGACTACAGGCGTGTACCACCATGTCCGGATAATTTTTGTATTTTTAGTAGAGACAGGGTTTCACCATGTTGGCCAGGCTGGTCTCGAACTCCTGACCTCAGGTGATCCACCTGCCTCGGCCTTTCAAGGTGCTGGGATTACAGGTCTGAGCCACCGTGCCCGGCCTAAAAATTAAGTTTTAAATGATGAACAACATTTCAGAATTTATTTTGGAAAAAACTATTTAATCCCCAAGCGAGAAGCGAGTGCAGCCTCCTTTTTATTTATGTTGTAGTTAAAATTAAATGACACATCTTCATGAGTATAATGGAATAGTTATTTTTATAGGGCATTAAAAAAAGAATAACATGAGTTTCTGAAGGACATTCAATTCCATAAACAAATATACTTGTCTTTCCCACAGTAGAATTTAAAATAAAGTACTCAGCCTTTATGTTTGTATTTTTTACATTATTATTACAAAGAAGGCCATTTCTATCCCCATCCATGTTGCACCCTCGCTTCCCAACCTCGGCGGACCTAGAAGCCTTTGAGAGTGGCCTTCACAAGAGGGCTGTCTATACCCAATCCATGTCCTGTCCACAGCCGTACAAAGAGGCAGACCCACAAATAAAATCTAAATCTTTGAGCCAGAAGCATCAGCGATCACCTTCTATTGTTACTGAGTCCAAATCAAGGGTTTTAATTTTGGGGATTTTGGTGTGATGTCTGGCAATATTAATGCAGATGATGAACAGTTTTATCTTTTAGTATTAGTTGGTTTTTTTGTTGTTGTTGTTTGCTTTCAGAGACAGAGTCTTCCTCTGTCGCCCAGGCTGGAGTGCAATGGTGCTATCATGGCTCACTGCAACCTCTGCCTCTGGGGCTCAAGTGATCCTCCCACCTCAGCCTCCCAAATAGTTGGGACCACAGGCATGTGCCACCATGCCCGGCTAATTTTTGTATTTTTTTATGTTGTTGTTGTTGTTGTTGAGACAGAGTCTGGTTGTGTTGCCCAGGCTGGTCTTGAACTCCTGGGCTCAAGCAATCCACCCACCTCGGCCTCCCAAAGTGCTGTGATTCAGGCATAAGCCACTGTGTCCAGCCAGTATCATGTTCCTAAACAGTGCCTTTCACATAACTGGTCTTCAACTTGGAAGCTAGCATACACATGACCTTGAGGAATGACCCATGATAGACGGCTGTGGAAAGACAAGGGCAAAAAGGCCAAAAAGGCAATGAATGTTTTATACAATGACTCTCTCAAAACAGGTGAAGAGAGGCATGAGATGAAACATACAACGCTATTAGGGAATCCAGGCTCGGGGGTGAGAAGCACATTCTCACCAGTGTGCAAGCAGGGTGGTGAAGATACAGGCATAGAGAGAGACAAAGAAGAGGTGCATGACAAGCTAGCGGGAGAGAAAGGACAGATATTCCCAAGGAAACCTAAAGAAAGCTACTCTGGGCAAGTCATCTCCAGGCCTCAGTTTTCTTAGCTTCAAAATGAGAAGAGTGGATTATTTCTCAGTGTTATAGCAACTCACAGAAACTAACTCTAGCAGGCCATTGCAAAAGCAAGAATGTACTGGAAAGATGCTGGAACATGTAGAATCCAAAGAAGGGTGGAAAACTAGGCCACAGAAGCAACAGAGACCAGAAAGCTCCAGAAAGCTGAATTTGTGGTTTTCTTTCAAGCATCTTGCTGTGCACAGGATTCAGCTACAATCCCCTTCCCTGCCTCCAATCCCCTTCCCTCCCTCCAATCCCCTTCCCCGCTCCAATCCCCTTCCCTCCCTCCCATTCCCTTCTCTCCCTCCAATCCCCTTCCCTCCCTCCCATTCCCTTCTCTCCCTCCAATCCCCTTCCCTCCCTCCAATCCCCTTCTTTCCCTCTGCGTCTCTCAACTTGGAATTTTCAATTTCTAGAACAGGCAGTCTGCTCAGCCCAGGGTGGGTCAGCTGTTCACACCTGGATTCATCACTATGACCAGGAAGATTGGATCTTCAAGTACAGCCATAGCTATTGGCTCACCCTGTGTTTTGGGTAGGAATGAAGCTAGGTGACAATTTCCAGAGAAAGGCAAATAGATGAGATCTGGGTGCCCACTCCAATATGTTTTTAGTTCTACCTAAAGTTTAAGTAAAAATAATGTAGTTATGAAAATATTTACAAGTAGGTAAAATAAATGCCTTAACGTATGACTAAAGATGAATAAGGTTGATCAGGAAGAGGTTCTTGGAAGCAAGAAGGTTTATGAATGGAAACTTAAAGATTTGATGAGTCGCTGTCTATTCCAGGTAGAGGGAAGAAAATGCACAGAGACTCAGAGAGTCATTTTTTTGGGGAGAGCAACCACTTTGCTGGAGTAGCCCAAAACATTAAAGTCAGAGAATAAAGAGCTTTAAAGTTAATTAGATTAGAGGTAAGATAATTTGGCAAGGGCTTGTAGGTGGGAGGCTACCCAGGGGAGCAGCATGTTATAATGGAAAAAGCATTTTAATAGCGTCCAGGAAGCCTGGATTCTGCCATGAATTAGCAGTTTCTGTTTGGGTAATCAAGTTCCCTTGGCTTCAGTGTAGTCACCTGTAAAAGAAATCTATAATTCCACCACGGGCAATTGCATTTTATTTGTTTATTTAAAAAGTGTTCATTGACCAACTACTATGTGCCAGGCAGAACTCTAAGCGCTAAAAATTCAGCAATGAAACAAAACAAACTGCTTTCCCTTGTGCAGCTTTATTGATACCTAATCAGTAAAGTAGGAATCAGAACAATGATTAATTCAGATACATGACGATCATAAGTCTTGCCTTATTTTCTTTTTCCTGCATTTCCTGTATACACTTCCTTTCCAGAGCCTCCTCTTGGGGCTACATGATTCTTTAGACAGCTCTCTCCCTCTGCTCTATCAGATAGTAGTTTCATCATCAGAAAATATTTGCCAAAGTCTTAAATTGGAGTTCTTGAAGAGTCCCCCCAAAATAGTGCCACTCTTTTTCTTCCCCCTCAAGTTCTGAACTAATTAAAAAATAAGGGGAAAAC
Source organism: Homo sapiens (assembly GCF_000001405.40). NCBI lineage: Eukaryota > Metazoa > Chordata > Mammalia > Primates > Hominidae > Homo > Homo sapiens. Next base: position 19,287,932 of record NC_000008.11, on the reverse strand, counting down.
ATTTTGTTTCCAAGATGGCGGATTGGAGACACTGTTAGCCTGCCTCTCCCCTTGGAAAGACAAAATAGAGTGTAGGGATTTATGCTGTGAACTTTTTTCAAAGAAGCAACACAAGAACTTAACAAAACAACGGAAAGAAACTACAGACCCTTTGAAAGAAGCAGAAGGCGGCAGCCTACACCATGAATGAGCCAGGCAGAAAACTGTGAGTCCCTAGAGCATGAGGTGGAAGACGCTGCCTCCATGATATTCACTCCTACTGTGGGGCCTGGCAATCCAGGCCATGGGGTGAGGCCTTAACCCTGCCCAGTGCTGATTTTGTAAGCGGTAGGGAGTGTATGAGAAGGAGCAGCATTGGGATGTGCTTTTTGTGCATTCCCAGACTCCAGCAGGGACAGAAGGAAGCCATTCATGATCCTACCTAATAGGGGACCTTGCAGAAATCAGCCAGCTAACTCAGGTGGTGGTCACAGGTTGAGAGAAGCTCCCAACTGAGATTTGTGATATAATTTTGAGTGGTGATGAACCCCCTTGTCCAGAACTGAGGCACAAGCAGTGTGTGTGCTTTAGCCACACGTGCAGGAGCTGATTGTGCTGTTTCACAGGCAGACCAGGAGAAGTGTAGTTGGAAAACCTCAGTTTCTGTCTGGATAGGGAAGGTTTATAGCCTGGGGCAGTTCTGGGTTCAGAGTGCAGGCTAACTCCAACCCAGCTAGCTGCTGCTGGTGGAACACTGCATGTGTGAGACCTGCCTTGCCAAGCGCATGGGAGCTGGATAGGGCTTACTGCTGCCTGCTCCTCCCCACTCCTTGTGCAGATTCTTCTGTGCAGCAGAGGCAGCTTTGGTCCACCTGGATTATTACCCCAGTAGCCAGGGAACCGCCCTCCAATCTCCACTGGGGCCGCTGCTTGCACCTGTACATGGGAAAGTAGGATACAGCCTTGCCTGGCCCAGCGCCACCTGATTTTGTCCCTCTACCTACCCTGGTAGCTTAGTATAAAGGACAGGTAATTTTGAGAGCTCCATGGTGCCACCCATTGTCTGAGACACCAGAATACCTCCCCTGGATAACATAAGGCAAGCACAAATCCCACCAGTACCACTGCAACTGGCATTCTTTTGCAAGCACGCACCACCTCCTAGCTGGAGGCCAACCAATACATGCCATTACAACATTTGCAGGTACAGTAACACAGTGCCTAGGAACGAGTACACTTTTGCACAACCTTAGCTATTACCCAAGCCTGCATCACCCTGCCTAACCAGGAAGGCTTCACTCTGTCTACATGACCAGTACGTTACCAGTACACCTGGCATTTGAGAAGAACAACATACTAAGGTGATTTATAAGGAAGGAAATCTCACAGAGTCTACATCATTCCCATTCCAACACCATCAGAGTTGTTGCTGGTACCTGCTGCTGGAAGGCTAAAAGAGAGGTCACATCACTGGATCTTTTGTGGACATCCCCTAGCACCAGCCTGAAGTGTGGCAGTCCCACTGCACAGCTAGACCCAGAGAAGCAGCAGGATTCACAGTAGTCTAGCTCTCAGGGATTCCTACTTCTAAGGGAAGGGAGAATGCACCACATTAAGGGAGCATACTGTGGGATAACAGAATCCAGTCGGTAGGACTTGAGTCCTGGAACTTTCTGCTTACAAAATGTTTCAGCAGAGACACAAGTGGAATGCTGGGCTCAGTGGGGAAAGTCTGCAGCTCTACCCCAACATTCAGGCAGCCCCAAGGCTCATGAAGCATCTTGGAAAAGGAGACTTCTTCTTCCTCTCACCCACCACTGCAGACACAGCGGAGGCTTCGCCCATGGGAGCTCAGCATGGGTGCAGCTGTAGACAGCCTTTCTGTAACACTTCAGGGTGACTACATCCCCATAAGAGGAGTGCCATCCAGGTTTAAGTTTGCATGAGGGGTACAGTCACAAGACCCATCTATGTGGAACATCAGCATTCCTGCAGATAAAAAGAAGTGCTTGTTTGATTTGAATGGCTAGAACACTAGGTAAGAAGTGTGACTGACAGGTGGATCACCTTCCTGCTGGCCTAGTAGGAGAACTAAAGTGGCTCCCATCCTTTCCCCAAAAAGGTCTCAACACATGTCACTGAGAGCTTCCCCAGCTGCCTCTGGCAAGGCTGGGTCCTCTGCCCACCATTGGGTGTTATGTTTACCCACCTGCTTTAGCCACAGCTACTTTTTACCTGTGGAAACTTCCTACTGGCCTGAAGCCTAAACTATTCAACCCAGTGAGGAAATAAATGGGGAAAAATAAATAAATAAGTGCACACCACTGGGTAATGAGATAAGCTTCATGAGACCTCTGCCATTTCAGCCTCACAGGAGACAGTGAAGCCACTCACACACAGAGCACATTGTTACTACAACTAGCACCTGAGAATGTGATCACACAGAGACTCTCTATAGCCAAGGAACTCATACAGAATCTTCACCACTGAAAGCACCCAGAGCCAAATTAGGTTACAATAAACTATAAATATTAAAGCCACATCCTTAAGGGGGGAAAAAAACCTGAAATTTTTTTTAAAGCACAGTCAAATGAAAAAAAATTTCAAAATGATTAGAAGAAATAGTCTATCCAAATGAGAAGAAACTAGAAAAATAATTCTGGCAATATGAAAAAATACGGTTCTATAACTCTCCTCAAAAGATCAGCAATGAATCCAAACCAAGATGAAAGCTTTGAAATACTAGATAAAAAATTCAAAAGGTTGATTATTAAGTTATTAAAGGAGATGGAAAATAAAGGCAAAAACCAACGTAAAGAAATTAAAAGAATTCAGGGTATGAATGAAAAATGTTCTAAAGAGATAGATATTTTAAAGAAAAACCAATCAGAACTTCTGGAAATGAAAAATACAATTAGAAAATTACAAAATGCAGTTGAGTTTTAACAATAGACTAGACCAAGTAGAAGAAATAATTTTAAAGCTTGAAGACAAGGCTTTTGAATAAACCCTATCAGACAGCAGAAAGAAGAATTTAAAGAAGGAAACAAAGTCTTCAAGACATACAGGATTATGTGAAATGGCCAAACCTAAGAATCACTGGTGTTCCAGAAGGAGAAGGAAAAGCAAAAAGTTTGGAAAATGTATTTGAAGGAATAATTGAGGAAATCTTCCCTTGCCTTGCTAGAGATTTAGACATCTAAATATAAGAAGCTCAAAGAACTACTGAGAGAGTTATGAAGAAGGACATCACCAAGGCATATAGTCATCAGATTATCTAATGTTGACATGAAAGAAAAAATTCTGAGAGCAGTGAGACAAAAAAGCATCAGGTAACCTATAAAGGGAAATCTATCAGACGGACAGCAGACTTCTTAGCAGGAATTTTATAAGCTGTAAAGGATTGGGCTCCTATCTTTAGTCTCCTTAAAGAGAATAACTCTCAGCCAAGAATTTTGTATCCAGCAAAACTAAGTTTCATAAATGAAGGAGAAATAAAGTCTTTCTCAGATGAGCAAATACTGAGAGAATTTGTCACTGTCAGACTAGTCTTACAAAAAAAAGTGCTAAAAAGAGTTCTAAATCTTGAAGAAAAAAAAAAAGGTTCACATGCACTAGAGTATAAACTCTTGATAGCCTAAAATTTACAGGGCCTATAAAACAATAACAAATGAAGAAAACAAAGTAACTAGATAAAAAGCAACATGATTTTGGGAACCGTACCTCACATCTCAATATTAACAGCATTAAATGTAAGTAGTCTAAACGCTCCGCTTAAAAGATACAGATTGGCAGAATGGATTTTAAAAATCACAAACTTAATATGTGCTCTCTTCAAGAGACACACCTAATACATAAGAATTCTTACAGATTCAAGGTAAATGAGTAAAAAAACATTCTGTGCAAATGGAAATAAAAGTGAGCAGGAGTTGCTATTCTTACATCAAATAAAACAGACTTTAAAACAACAATGGTAAAAAAAGACAAAAATGGACATTACATACTGATAAAAGGATCAATTATACAAGAAGATATAATGATAAAAGGATCAATTAAACAATGCAATAACAGTGGGGGACTTCAACACTCTACTGATGGCACTAGACAGATCATCAAGGGGGAAAGTCAACATGGAGACACTGGACTTAACCTGCACTCTGGGACAAATAGACCAAACAGATATTTACAGAACATTCTACCCAAGAACTGCAGAATATACATTATTCTCATCAGCACGTGGAACACTCTCTAAGGTAGGCCAGATGATAGGCCACAAAACAAGGTCAGTAAATTTTAAAAAATCAAAATTATGTTAAGTATCTTCTCAGTCCACAGCAGACTAAAACTAGAAATCAGTTCTAAAGGAAACCCTCAAAACTATACAAACATATGGAAATTAAACAGTATGCTCCTAGGTGATTTTGGGGTATGAAATCAAGACGGAAATTTAAAAATCCTCCAAAATGAATCGTAACAGTGACACAAGTTATCAAAACCTCATAACCTGTAGTTATAAATGTCTACATCGAAAAGTCTGAAGGATCACAAATTAACAACCTAATGTCATACCTCAAGGAACTAGAGAAACAAAAACAATCCAAACCCAAAAGTAGCAGGAGGAAGGAAATAGCAAAGATCACAGAAGAACTAAATGAAACTGAAACAAAAAAATACAAAAGATCAATGAAATGAAACATTGGTTTTTTGAAAAAATAAACAAAATTGATAGATTATTAACTAGATTAACCCAGTAGAAAGAAGATGTAAATAAGCTCAATTAGAAACAAAAATGGAAACATTACAACTAAAACCATAGAAATGCAAAAGATCCTTTGAGACAAATATGAACATCTTTAGGCACACACTAGAAAATCTAGAAGAAATGAATACATTTCTGGAAACATACAATTCTCATAGCTTGAATAATCAAGGAAAAATAAAATCCTGAGTAGGTCAATAACAAGCAGTGAGACTGAATCAGTAATAAAAAATTTGCCAACAACAAAAAAAAGCCCAGGGCCAGATGGATTAACAGCCAAATTCTACCAAACATACAAAGAAGAATTGGCACCAATCCTACTGAAATGAATCCAAAAGATTGAGAAAGAGAGAATCCTCCTAATTCATTCTATGAAGCCAGTATCACACTGATACCAAAGCCAGGAAAGAACATAACAAAAACGGAAAACTACAGACCAATATCCCTGATGACCATGGATGCAAAAACCCTCAACAAAATACTAGCACAGTGAATCCAACAGCACATCAAAGAGATAATTCACCATGATCAAGTGGATTTCATCTTAGGAATGCAGGGATGGTTCAATATACACTATACAATAAATATGGTCCCACCACATAAACAGAATTAAAAACAAAACCCATCTGGTTATGTCAATAGGCACAGAAAAAGCATTCAATAAAATCCAGCATCACTTTATGATAAAAACCCTCAAAACACTAGGCATAGAAGGAACATGCCTCAAAATAACAAAAGCCATATTTGACAAACCCACAGCCAACATCATACTGAATGAAGAAGAGTTGAAAGCCTTCCTCTTAAGAAATGGAAGGAGACAAGGATGCCCACTTTAACCACTTCTGTTCAACATAGTACTGAAAGTCCTAGCCAGAGCAGTCAGGCAAAAGAAATAAACGGCATCCAAACTGGAAAACAGGAAGTCAAACTGTCTCTGTTTGGTGATGATATGATCATATACCTAGAAAACCCTAGACTCCTCCAAACGACTCCTAAATTTGATAAATGAATGCAGTAAAGTCTCAGGCTACAAAATCAATATATGCAAATCAGTAGCATTGCTATACACCAACAATGACAAAGCAGATAATCAAATTGAGAATTCAATCTTTTTCATATTAGATACAAACAAATAAACAAAAAATCTAGGAATATACTTAACTAAGGAGATGAAAGTTCTCTACAAGAAAAACTACAAAATACTGCTGAGTTAAATCACGGATGACACAAGCAAATGGAAATACATCCCATGCTCATGGATTGGAAGAATCAACACTGTGAAAATGACCATACTGCCCAAAGCAATCTACAGATTCAATGCAATTCCTATCAAAATAACAACAAGATTTTTCACAAAACTAGAAAAACAATACTAAAATTCATATGGAACCGAAAAGAGCCTGAATAGCCAAAGCAATCCTAAGTGAAAAGAACAAATCTGGAAGCATCACTTTACCCAACTTTAAATTATACTACAAGGCTATATAGTAACCAAAACAGCATGGTACTGATATAAGAGCAGCTACATAGACCAATGGAACAGAATAGGGAACTCAGAAATAAAGCCAAATACTTAAAACCAGCTGATCTTTGACAAAGCACACAAAAATAGAAATTGAGGAAAGTACACTCTATTCAACAAATGATTCTGGGAAAACTGGATAGCCATATGTAGAAGAATGAAACCTGATGCCTATCTCTCATCATATACAAAATCAACTCAAGATGGATAAAGACTTAAGTCTAAGACCTGAAACTATAAAAATTCTAGAAGAAAACCTAGGAAAAACTCTTCTAGACATTGGCCTATGCAAATAATTTAGGACTAAGACCCCAAAATCAAATGCAACAATAATCAAAATAAACAATTGGGGCTTAATTAAGCTAAAAACCTTCTGCACAGCAAAACAAATAGTCATCAGCGTAAATAGACAACCCACAACCTGGGAGAAAATATTTGCAAACTATGTATCTGACAAAGGACTAATATCCAGAATCTACAGTGAACTCAATCAAATCAGCAGGAAAAAAACAAATAATCCCATTAAAAGTGGGAAATGACATGAATAGACATTTCTAGAAGATATACAAATGGCTAACAAACATATAAAAAATGCTCAACGTCACTAATCTACAGAGAAATGCAAATTAAAACGACAATGGGATAGCACCTTACCCCAGCCAGAAAGGCCATTGCTAAAAAGTCAAAAATAATAGATGTTGGTGTGGATGTGGTGAAAATGAATACTTATACACTGCTGGTAGGAATGTAAATTAGTACAACCTCAGTGGAAAACAGCATGGAGATTTCCCAAAGAATTAAAAGTAGATCTACCATTCTATCCAGCTATCTCACTACTTGGATATCTACCCAAAGAAAAAGAAGTCAATCATTATATTAAAAAAGACACCCATACATGTATGTTTATCATAGCACAATTCACAATTGCAAAGGTATGGAACCAACCTAAGTGCACATTAACTGATGAGTGGATAAAGAAAATATATATATACACTATGGAATACTGTTCGGACATAAAAAAGAATGAAATAATGTCTTTTGCAGCAACTTGGATGGAGTTAATCATTACCTTAAGTAGAGTAACTCAGGAATGGAAAACCAAATACCATATGTTACCACATACAAGTGGGAGCTAAGCTATGGGTATGCAAAGCATACAGAATGGTATAATGGACTTTGGAGACTCAGAAGTGCAGAGGGTGGAGAGGTGAGGGATATAAAACTACATATTGGGTACAATGTACACTACTCTTGTGACACTAACACATCAGAATTCCCCATTATATAATTCATCCATGTAACCAAAAACTACTTGTACCCTTAAAGCTACTAAAGTAAAATTTTAAAAAATTAGACAAGAGGAAGGCAGATGGAACACCTAGATGACCCTTTTATTACTGATAAATGCTAGGGCAGTTTGTACCTGCTGACCAGAAGGAATTTGGGCACTGAGCCCCCGGATCAGACACACCTACACCTCAGGTCAATTCAGGCTCTCCACCTGGCAGCCTTCCCTATACTGTTTCCTGATGGAGAAGCAGAGCTGATTGCAGTTTTCCTTGGAGGAGCAGAGCTGATCGTAGGTTTCCTACAGACAGCTGGTTCCTAGGAGGAGGAGAAAGCCCGTCCTGTGCATGTCCAATTCCCCTTCCTAATTCACTATCAGCAAGTCACTATCCGCCAGGAACTTACATGCTACTGTGATATTGTTAGCTTGCTGCTGAATTCTTTGCTATCGGGATGAAGGGGGAAAGTTTTGTTCCACTTCTCCTACAGAAACAGGGAACCCATGAAATAGTTTCCTGTGTAACACTGTTCTCTTGTTTAACTAACGCTGTCATAAGTATTGTCATGCAGCCCATGCTGGCAAGTTGCTTAATCTCTCTAGATAATATTGTTGTAGTTCCTGGGGGCTATGGTGAGTTTTCCATCAATATCTTGGAAATTAGGAAGACTGCTCCCATAAATGATGAGACACAGATATGTCATTTGAAGGAAAAATAACTACCAGGTCAACAGTACTTGACTGATGACATGGCCAGACCTGCATCAGCTAGTATGGTGGCTCACGTGTAACTATTTAAACTAAAATTGAGTAAATTTAAACAAAGTTAAAAATTTAGTTCCCCAGTCTCACTGGTCACATTTTAAGTGCCCACCGATAATGTGGCTAGTGGGACAACATAGATCGAGGACATTTCCGTCAACACAGAAAGGTCTGTTGGACGGCACTGCTCAAGAAAAGCACTAGTTAATTCATAGACGAGTTGGTGAGTTGATTAATCTTTGAAGTACAGACAATGGAAAGCCTTCAAGTCAATCCCTGGCAGTGACATTGTATCAGTCTGGGTGCTGGTAGAAAACAGGTAGCACACTTAAAGATTAATTGAAGAGAGTTTCATAAGGAGGTTAACAAAGGTGTGGATAGACCTAAGAGAACCAACAAGAGATGGTGGAACCTCCAGGGCTTTTGCACAGTTGGGAGCTATCCCCTCCTCCGCCGCTGCCCCAGGCTTGGAAGGAGAAATGACATCACTGGACCTGGCTAGATAGAGCTCGGCTGTACATGAAAATAGCCACCGCCAAATTGATGAGCCTGCAGTGGGAAGTTTGGGGAAATATCCCGATTCCTTCTCTTCCTGTTCATCAACTGTCCTGCTGGTGACTCCCACTGGTGTCTGACCAGAAGTCAAAAGAAATAAACCCAGCAGGCAAGCTGTAAAGGCTGGGGTCTTGGGGCACAGAGCAGGAAAGAGAAGCATGGAGAATGAAAACAGGAGCAAAGGAGATGAATCAGCTCTCTCACCAAGCTCTGCCCAAAGCAGAGGGAGCTTTGACTTGGGCTGAGCTTTGTGGGGGAAAGTCCTAACGTAGAGATAAATGCTGGAGGCTTGCAGTGGTGCTGTTGTTCGGTTGGCTTCCCATGTGGGTCTGACTTCATAGAAAGGAATATACTCAGCACGTGGTGTTCACGCCTGTTCATTGGGCAGTTTTCTCTCTCACTGTTAATGAAAACGTTGGCAATTTGAAAAAGTGTTTCTGATCCAGCGAGGCCAAAGTCCATACACCTTGGTCCAGAGTAAATTTACCAAAGTGAGGAACACTGCCCTGTGAAACCTTATGGGAAACATCCAACAGACCTTGCCCTGATGAGGACTCTAAAACATTGCTGTGGGCCCGAGGGGACACATTGTAATTCCTCCAAATAACATCTGCCTCATGGAATTGCCAAGAGTGTTCAAATACACGTCTTACATAAAGCACTTCGCACAGTGCAAGAGAAGCAAGAGGCAATTAGTTCATTCATGTGAGAAATATTCAGGAATATCCACCACGTGTTGGTCACTGCTCCGGGCTGTGGAGATGTAGCAGTAACAAAGCAGACAAAATGGCTGGGCGCCGTGGCTCATGCCTCTAATACCAGCACTTTGGGAGGCCGAGGCGGGGAGATCACGAGGTCAGGAGATCGAGACCATCCTGGCTAACACGGTGAAACCCCGTCTCTACTAAAAGTACAAAAAATTAGCCGGGCATGGTGGTGGGTGCATGTAGTCCCAGCTACTCGGGATGCTGAGGCAGGAGAATGGTGTGAACCCGGGAGGCAGAGCTTGCAGTGAGCTGAGATCACGCCACTGCACTCCAGCCTGGGCGACAGAGCAAGAAAAAAAAAAAAGCAGACAAAATTTCCTGCCTTCTTGAAGCTTATAGCTTATATTTAAGAGAGGGACCAGGATAAAAAGCAATATGGCCAAGTAAATCATGCATTATGTTAGACAGTAGTAGGTGCTGACAAAAATAATGCAGAGAGTGGGTCTTGGAAGGGGAGTTGCAAGTGTAGATAGGGTGGTCAGGGAAGGCTTTTCTCAGTGTGAATTGTGCATAGAAGCCTACAGGAAGTGAGGGAGAAGACATGTAGACATCTGGGGAAGAGCTATCAGACAAAGGAGAGAGCCTGGACAGAGGCCCTTGGATGTGAGCCTGCCTGACATGCTCCAGGAAAAGGGAGGTGGCCAGAGTGCCTGGAGCATAGGGAGGAGAAGGCAGAACTGGAGGAGATTAAGGCAGAGCTGAGGGTGGGGGCTGGATGGCAGATCAGGTAGGGCTTGCAATCAATATATTTTAATGACTTTCCTACTCTCCAGCCTGAAATTATTCACATTGCCTCCTCATGCCATTATTGAACTCTTTTTCGTACGTAAATGTTCTGTTTGATCTCTGTGAGGTGCTCCTTCTCAGCAACCTGGAAGCAGGGCTCATGTCATCTGTATATATCTCTTTAACTTGCCTTATTTAGCATAACGCCTCACATCAAGTTGATTCCCAATGGATGCTGATTGAGGCAGAAATTCCCATTTGGTCTTCAATTTGCTGCAGAAAAATTCAGTGATGTCCCTGTCCCAGCATCGTGTGAGCTGTTCAAAAAGAAAGCACAGCTTTTTAATTTGACAGCAGAGTGAAATAACCTTAGCTCATCTGCATAGTAATAAAAACCCAGGCCATACCCTTCAGGAATAATAGCTCAGTTCATCATTCAAGCAAAGAAAAACAGAATAATTTCAGTGTCTGTTTAAACTTTCACATAATCTTTTGACCAGGACCTAAGCCATGTTCAGCAGCCTCTAACAATAGAGGCTGAATGTGCCAGCCAAGGGCCAAGATTGATAAGCTTAGTAGCTTCCAGGGCAGCCGCAAAGCCCAGCGTGCAGAAGACCCTGCGGTGGTTGCACCCATACATCACCTGTCTTTTTCAAAGGAATGACAGCCTGAGTACTGTGCTGTGCTAAGATACTTGATTGAAATTTCTCAGATAAATCAAAATGAACAAGATGTGTTTGCACTTGAATCCAAATGAGGTTCCCCAGTACCTCAACCAGAAAGCAGAAATATGAAGCCAAACCAAAACTCAATTTATTTCATAGTGGTGCTATTATGTTCTTACGTGTTCTGTGGTCCACAAGGCAGTCTGTCTTCCTTGGGATGTCTTTTTTATTTTGGTATCTCTCCCAGACCTACAGTTCCCTGATCCTTCTCTTTTCTTATAATTTTTTTCCCCTTCATCTCTTTTTTTTTTTTTTGAGATGGAGTTTCACTTTTGTCACCCAGGCTAGAGTGCAGTGATGTGATCTCTGCTCACTGCAACCTCCGCCTCCCGGGTTCAAGTGATTCTCCTGCCTCAGCCTCCCAAGTAGCTGGGATTACATGCACCCACCACCACGCTTTGATAATTTTTGTATTTTTAGTAGAGATAGGGTTTTGCCAGGTTGGCCAGGCTGATCTGGAACTCCTGACTTCAGGTGATCCACCTGCCTTGGCCTCCCAAAGTTCTGGGATTACAGGCATGAGCCACTGTGCCTGGACCCCTTCATCTCTTAATTTACCTTCATATCTCATGGCCCCATTTCCCCCCATATATCCCCGACTAGATGCTTGGCTCTTGTGCGGGAGGCACCATGTCTGAGAATTCTAACTGCTCGCCCCTCATCCCATATGCCTTCAATAGTGCTGCATGTAGAGTTGATTCTCATGTTGTTTTAATCTGACTGTTTTATTTATGTAGATAATCATCTTGTTCCAATATAAATTTGAGATGGCTTACAGAAATACACATAGTTCAGCAGGAGATTAAACCAGTGTCTGAATGGAGAAATTGTAGTGAAAGGGTGATATGATTTGGCTGTTTCCCCCCAAATCTCATCTTGAATTGTAGCTCTTATAATTTCCACCTGTCGTGGCAGTGTCCCAGTGGGAGGTAACTGAATCATGGGGGAGGGTTTTTCCTGTGCTGTTCTGGTGATAGTGAGTAAGTCTCATGAGCACTGATGGTTTTATAAAGGAGAGCTCCCCTGCACATGCCCTCGCTTGCCTGCCGCCATGTAAGATGTGACTTTGCTCCTCCTTTGCCTTCAGCCTCAATTGTGAGACCTCTCCAGCCATGTGGAGCTGTGAGTCCAGTAAACCTCTTTCCTTTTTAAATTACCCAGTCTTGAGTGAGTATATTTTTATTAGCAGCATGAGAACAGGTTAAAACAGGGGGATTAAAAACAATGGCCTTCATCTCATTTACGGTTCTTTCTTGGGTTCTTCCTATAACTTGTCCTCTTGAGATATAACAAACACATTACATGGGCCAGATCTCTTTATAGACACTGCCCTCCCCTGAGCCTGCTCCAGAGCCAGTGCAGCCCTGCAGGTTGACTCACTGCGGTAAACTGTGTACCCAGGCCTGCTCTATGCAGGGGCTGCTTTGAGATAAAATACTTCTTGTGTAATTGTTTTAGTTTATAAGATTAATATTTTTCTTCTCAGGGACTGTGTCCACAATTAAGGAAAAAGGCTACCAGGTGAGTAGTGATATTTGGCAGGCCAAATATGGGATGTGGTTAGTTGCGTCATAAAAAATAAAGTACACTTTACTAACTCAATTTTGGTCTACATTTTACTTTTCTCTTATTATAACAGGAAAATTACAGAATATTTAGAAAGGAAAGAAGTTACCTACCATCCAAATCAAAAAGGCAACTTTTAAAAACATTTGCTTCTAAGCTTTTTGCCAGTTATAACAATAGAGACTTATGTTGTACTTTTTTCCTTAACATTATTTGCTGTGCAATAATTTTAATATCTGCATAATATCCCTTTTATGTTTTTCCATAACCATTCTCCATTAGTAAGCATTTAAATTCCTTCCAGTTTTTCATTATTATAAATACTGTACTGAGCATCTATGAACACATAGGTTTTTTTTTATTTTGGATTATTTCTTTAGGGCAGATTCCCAGAGGTAAATTATGGCCAATGGGCTTTGATATTTTTTAATTCTTTACACATATTTCCAACTTGCTTTCGAAGTGTTGTGCTGATTTATGAAGTCACCCCTGACGTAGCAGATAGTCTGCTTCATAGAGCCTTTTCCAGCTCTGGGATTGTGTTAAATCCGTAAATTAACTTGGAAGGAAAAAAGTATGTTACTCTATTCGGTCTTGCAATTAAATATATCTATTGTTCTATTTGTTACTGCTGCAGTTATTATTTTGATATATATGTATATGAATTATAGGTATTATACATACATACATATATATGTTAGATGCAGGCAATAAGAGGATTCCTCAGGCCTTTCTCTTCTCTTTGCTTTTAATGTTCTTCCTTACCTGCTTTTCTGTCTTCTCCCAGCCCAGCACACTCTCCAGGCCTCATCTGCCTGCACACCCACATAATATCTTAAAAATTCACAAAGGTAATAATAAAACACAAAAACTGAGTGGCAGAGATAGCAAGTGCACTGAGGCTTGAATAAAACTCTGTGCTAGAGACCAAGTCACTGGATTCACATGGGTGTCAATGAGATCAGACCCACCCTGGAAGTAGATTAATGGGGCTGCTGACCCCCTGTCCACTGGCTGATGGTGAGAATTTTGAAGCGTCCTTAATAAGGCTCTCATATAGAACCTGAAGAGTCTCGGTCCTTTGACTTTGTGTGTACGGTGTGCGTACATGCTCTTGGCGTGTGTGAGTGTGAGCTGATGAGAAGGGCGTTCCCAGCAAGATTCCTTGGCACCATTCTCTAGTTTTAGGGGCGAGTGCAGTGCAGTGTGTATTGTTTGCTGTTTGCACAGCGGCACTTCACTGCTCCAGGGCCAAATGATGACAGAGGTAAAGTCTGGGATGCTTCGACACCACTCCCACATCCCTGTGCTGTGTCCCGGCTCTCCTCTCTTGCTCCCAGCCAACGGTAAGAGGCTAAATGCCTGGGTCTGAACTGGTCCCAAGATCTGAACTGTAGAATCTCAGAGCTAGAAGACATCTCAAAAGTCACCTGGCTCAACTCTGTCTTTTTCTATACATGAGGAAAGTGAGGCCAAGATAAATAAAGTGGCTCAAGTCAGTTTAGTTTGTGGTAAAACTAGCATTAGAACCAAGGTGTCCCGGGCAAAAGGTTAACAGACAGGGCCACTGGCCCTTGATCTACCTTGCGGGAAGTGCATGGCTGTGGGTAAGTCAGTCACACAAGCTTTCTCATTTACATACTTTTTAAACCACATCGGCCTATCCAAAGGGCCACTACAAGGATTAAATTGAATAATGGATGTGAAAGAGGGCTTTTGAGACTGTGTTCCGCTCATGTTATATGTTTAATATTCACAGTCAGTAATGGACTAACGGTGGGACAGTGGATACCACCAGCTTCCCATGCAAACAATAAGAGGCCGCATTATCTGTTGAAAACGTAAAAACAATTATAAAACTGACTAAAAATTAGGTTGCTTTTGTTATTGTTGTGTTTGGCAGTTTTAAATCATGTCAGTGATAAAATAGTCTTTCCTGAAAAATTATTTTGTAGGTCGCCATTGCAAATAATTGTCATGGTTACTATTGAATTTTAATGATATGTGTGAAAGCTTCAACTTAGCACATTTTTGTTTCTTAACCTCTAATAAGCCTTGTATTCCACATGAAAGTTAATTCCAAGGTCTCTCAGCTAGAGATGCTAGATTTAACAATAAAGATAAGAGATGCCCAGTTAAATTCGAATTCCAGGTAAACTGCAAATGATTTTTAGTATAAATATGCCTCATGTTTATTTCAGACATACTTATACCAAAATAAACATTGTTGTTTGCTTGAAATTTAAATTTAACAGATGTCTTGTATTTCATCTGGCAAGTCTACTAATTATACATGGGAACACAAATACATGCTTTCATTCAGAGAACAAGTTTATCACAGCTGTGAGTGATTTGAACTCACCTGAGGCACAGTTTTTGTCTACAACCCTGGTAGTAATACACTTATTTGAATTTAAACAGTAGATTTAAAATAAAGCTAACACAGGAATTATAAGGACAAAGAAACTGAAAGTGTCCTTCAATTTTGTCCTTCTTCAAGTGGCCACCTGGAGCTTTTATATGGTTTTTTAAAAATTTAAGAGTGAAATAGAATATGAACTTCAAGGTATCATATTTTTGCTTGGTAAGAGCATGTTTTAGTTCACATGACACGTGACATATTTTACTGAATGTTATGGGTTGAATTGTGGTTCCGCAAAAAGATATATTGAAGTCCTAATCCCCAGTACCGCACAATGGGACTTCATTTGGAAAGAGGATAATTGCAAATGTAATTACCTACATTAAGATGAGCTGACACTGGAGGAGAGTGACTCCTTAATCCAATATGGCTCGTGTCCTTAAAGGAGGAGGAGAGAGACCCACAGGTAGATGAATGCCAGGTGAAGACACAGGCACACAGAGGCAAGGCCATGTGACAGCAGAGACAGAGATTGGAGCGAGGCAGCTGCAAGCCAAGGAGCACCAAGGATTACTGACCCCTACGGGAAGCTAGGGAGAGGCAAGGAAAGAGTCTCTCCTCCAGGTTTCAGAAGGTTTCTCCCAGGTAGGTTTCCCCCGCTGACACTTTGATTTGGGACGTCTAATCTCCAGAACTGTCAGAAAAACAATTGCTATTGTTTTCACCCACCCAGTTTTTGGCACTGTGCCCAGGTCCACCACCTACTAATTGCATGACTTAGCTCATGTTTCCTAATCTCCCTGAAGCACAGTTTCCTTATGTATAAAAATGGGGCTGGCCATGCCCACCTCAAACTGTTGGAATATAGTGAGATCATGCACATAAAGGGCTCAGCGCTGTGCCTGGCATAAGATAATGATATTAATGTGCAAATGATATTCACTTCTCTTCTTATGCTGCTGCTATTGTAATGGCACCTTCAGGAGTGATTTCTCTAGGAGTAGTGCCATGTAATAATGCTCCCTGGAAGACCATGTTCTCCAGATGCAGAAGGAATGACTCTCTGGGGGTTGAATTTTAGGCATGACAGAAAATTTCTACACGTGGAAGCCCCTTTGCAGAAGATGTATTTAAATCCCGGCCCCTGCAATCCCAGCACTTTGGGAGGCCGAGGCAGGTGGATCACGAGGTCAGGAGATCGACACCATCCTGGCTAACATGGTGAAACCCCGTCTGTACTAAAAATACAAAAATTAGCCAGGCGTGGTGGCGGGCGACTGTAGTCCCAGCTACTCGGGAGGCTGAGGCAGGAGAATGGCATGAACCCGGGAGGCGGAGCTTGCAGTGAGCCGAGATTGTGTCACTGCACTCCAGCCTGGGCGACAGAGGGAGACTGTCTCAAAAAAAATAAAATAAAATAAAATCCCAGGCTCTTATCAGCCACCCATGACTGGACACATAGTAGCTTCACTTCAATTTCAGCCCTCAAACTCCCAGGCTGTCCAAGAGACATTCCACACATGGATGAACAGGAATGAGCAACCTTGAATAAACATGATGTTGCAAGAGAAGGGTCACTACCTGAAGAGGGCGTCCTCTAACCACAGGATTCTCTTTTTATGATTGATTGATTGATTTTGAGATGGAGTTTCGCTCTTGTTCCCCAGGCTGGAGTGCAATGGCCTGACCTCAGCTCACTGGAACCTCCACATCCTGGGTTCAAGCGATTCTGCTGCCTCAGCCTCCCAAGTAGCTGGGATTACAGGCACCTGCCAACACGCCAAGCTAATTTTTGTATTTTTTGTAGAGATGGGGTTTTACCATGTTGGCCAGGCTGGTTATGAACTCCTGACCTCAGGTGATCTGCCCGCCTTGGCCTCCCCAAGTGCTGGGATTACAGGCATGAGCCACCCCACTCGGCCATATGCTTCGTACTGGGAATCCCACAAAACCACTCATTGGCAATGGAGGAAGCTCAGAACAGTGACAGATGCCACTGCCCTTAACAAGATTGATTACTATGCTTGAGAGTGGCCTGAAATTGGTGACCCGGGGGCCAGAAGCCAGGTTCTAGAATAACATAACAATCAGCATGTAGCCAGAATAATAATTCTAGTAATAACACTATGATAGTGAAGATGGCAATTTAAACAGCTGGCATTAAGTTTTTACTGTGTGCTAGGTACTGTAAGATGTGCCTTTTATATCTTACATTTTAATCCTATAAACAGCTATGTGAAATTGTTATCCCCATTTTGCAGATTAGCAAACTGAGCCTCAGGGGGGTCATTAATCTGCCTGGGATCCCAGGGCTAGTAAGTGGTTGGGCCAGGGCACAGACAGGGCACAGAAGCTACTGCCACCATGAGTGGCCAGGCACAAAGGAAGCAACAGAGTTGCCCAGGGCCTGGCTCTCTCTGCTCATCCACATGCCTGGGGCCAGAGGATCCACTCAGTAAATATTCATGCAATGCCTACCATGTCCCACGCATCGTGCGAGGTGCCAGAAATGACATTGAGGAAGCAGGTGGTACAGTGCAGGCTACGAGGTCCCATCCTTCATCATCATGCTGAGCCTTTCAAACATTTTCCTTTTGGAGCCTCGGTCTTTCCCTCCACCTTCTAGTGGCTGGGCGGGTTAATCCATGCAGGGCAGAGGCCAGGTTTTAGGACATTTAGGTCATTTCCACCCTAGAAGGTGGGAGAAGAGCACTGCCAAGTTCTTCCCTCTTCCCACATGAACATCTCATCTTCAGCACCATGATCATGCTCATTCTCTGGGTTCCTCCGAGGAGGCTGGCACCAGGCTAAGGGGATCACACACTTTCTCCTTTCCTTTCTACAACCTGTTAGGAAGAGCTTATGAGATAGGCCCATTGTATTCCCATTTTATACATGAAGCAACCAATGTTCAGAAAGGTTAAGTAAGGGCCAGGTGCGGTGGCTCATGCCTGTAATCCCAGCACTTTGGGAGGCCAAAGTGGCTGGATCGTGAGGTCAGGAGATCGAGACCATCCTGGCTAACACGGTGAAACCCCATCTGTACTAAAAATACAAAAATTAGCCAGGCATGGTGGTACCTGCTTGCAGTTCTAGCTACTCAGGAGGCTGAGGCCCGAGAATCCCTTGAACCTGGGAGGCAGAGGTTGCCGAGCTGAGATTGTGCCACTGCACTCCAGCCTGAGAGACAGACTGAGACCCAGTCTCAAAAAAAAAAAAAAAAAAAAGAAAGGTTAAGTTAAGTCTGCCTGTGCTGCTCAACTGACACACGGAAGAGCTGGGATTGGAACTCAGGTCTCCCTGACTTCAAAGCTCATGTTCTGTATATTACCTCATACCGACTTTTAGAACCAATTAGGCTGAGAGTGGCAGAGGAAGGAAATAAATACCATTAAACACGCAGTCAACCTTTAAAGTTGTTTTCAGCCATCTGCCCTGGCCTTTTCTTTCAAGGCTGGAATTGCTCTCGCAACACGACTAAATGTCCTAAGTTGTTGCATGATGCTGAAAAACCCAAGAGAGATTCCAGATCCTTCTAAACAAATCAGATGGTTTAGTCTGTGAGGCAGGGGACATTACAGAGACAACAGGAACTTAGTGAAATCTCAGTCTCTGACCCTTTTTCTAAATAACAATTCATCTGAGGAGACTTTATTTTATTTGTTTATTTATTTATTTATTTATTTATTTATTTATTTATTTATTTCGAGACTGAGTCTTGCTCTGTCACCCAGGCTGGAGTGTAGTGGCACAATTTTGGCTCACTGCAATCTCTGCCTCCCGGGTTCAAGTGATTCTTGTGCCTCAGCCTCCCAAGTAACTCAGATTACAGGCATGTGCCACCATGGCTGGCTAATTTTTGTATTTTTAGTAGAGAAGAGGTTTCGCCATGTTGGCCAGGCTGGTCTTGAACTCCTGGCCTCATGTGATCTGCCCACCTCGGCTTCCCAAAGTGCTGGGATTACAGGTGTGAGCCACTGTGTCCAGCCCCCACCTGAGGAAACTTTAAAGGACAATTGAAGGACTTTAGACTTTCCTGGTGTGTCACTGAGAGCCAAAAGTCCTTTGTTTTGAAAACTTCTGCTACAATTTTCCCTTCCCTAAGCCACTCCATTCTCAATGGCATGATCAGTCTTACCTGCAGCAATTTTGTTATTGTTGTTGTACTTAGAAAATCTCTGCTATTGAGAAGAATAAACAGAATGAGTGACTTTATGAGATGTAGGATGAGAGAGTCACACGTTTTCAGTTTTTAAAACTAGGGTTGTATGTTCCTATATCTATACCTATACAAAGAATCATCATTGTCAAAAAATTACTGCTGTGGGTGGCAATGGCGGTGACAAAGGGGCCTAGTGACCCCAAGCCTCACACGGGGACTGATACCAACTTTTACTTATGTTCACAGAACCGAAAAACTGCAGATTAAAATACCCAGGATCTTCATTTGTATGTTATTTATGGTTTCTGATTTACCCCAAGATTAAAATTTTCCTAGGTATAAAGTAGCTGTGTTACCAGGCCACCCTCCTGAAATAGTGTCTTTCTATCTTCCTTGTCAAAACTTGCCAGAGCCCTTCATTTTTGCTTCTAGCTGGAGTAGTTCCTAGGGTCCTATAACTTCCTTGTAGTTATTTTATGGAAGACTTATTGAGTTGAGAGCTGTTTTGATTGGCTTAGAGCCGATGTTGGCATACAATATAATATTTATTCAATGTGGATCAGGTCCATGGGTTCTAATATCTTGCTTTTGTTGTTTTAGGGCATATGTTTTCCATATGATATTGATATTGTTATTTCTATGCATCCCATAAAGCTGCCCAGCTGTGCATTGGCTGAGAGATAGAGTATGTAGGGCACCTAACCAGGTGACTGCCTAGCCAAAGAGCAGCAACTGATTTTTCCTTTCTTCCTGCTTCCCTCTCTCCAGCCCTCTCCTCCCTCTCTCCTTTTTGCAGAATCTCCCTTTAGGGTGGGCCTCTATTTGCTGACATTAAGAGAATATGAATTGGGTGGCTTACAGCCTTTGCCTTTTTATGGGAATTTCCAAGTTTCCCGGGTTCACCGCATTCAACCTCGTAAAGTTGCATGAAATAAAATGTTCTTCCAGCAGGCGGCACTGGAGGCTTCTGGAGGCTCTGGAAGCCACCGGCTCCGGGAATACACAGAAGTCCTCTGAGGGCTACAGTCGGAAAGGAGACCCGCTTTCTCAGTTCGTTCAAGGACAGAGATGCATGCCCGGGTTTTTATCCTGGAATCCAACAGCGGCGTCATATGATCCTTTTACAGACAAGACTCAATTGAGGCCATGCAGGAAATTGGTGAATACAACCTTCTTAAGTACTGCAATCCTGAATAAATAAGAATGAGTTTGCCAAATGCATGCATTGAGAATAAGCCTGGCAAAACTCCAAATGTTAGTGGTTTCAGATATGCTGTGTTAACAGAAACTGGGCTGACTAAAGGGGGGAAAACAAATCAATGAACCAAGCAAACCAAACGATTTAAGTATAAATAGAGCATTTGATGATACAGTGATTCTTTTTTTAAAAAAAAAAAACTTATTTTAAGTTCAGGGCTTCATGGGCAGGATGTGCAGGTTTGTTACCTAGGTAAACATGTGTCATGCGTGTTGGTTTGTTGTATAGATTATTTAATCACCCAGGTATTAAGCCTAGTATCCGTTAGTTCTTTTTTCTGATCCTATCCCTCCTCCCACTCTTCTCCCTTTGATAGGTCCCAGTGTGTATTGCTCCCTTCTGTGTGTTGATGTGCTCTCATCATTCAGCTCCCCCTTATAAGTGAGAACATTGTGGTATTTGGTTTCCTGTTCCTGCATTAGTGTGCTAAGGATAACGGCCTCTGGCTCCATCCATGTTTCTGCAAAGGACATGATCTCATTCTTTCTTATGGCTGCATAGTATTCCATGGTGTATATGTATCATATTTTCTTTAGTCTATCATTGGTGGACATTTAAGTTGATTCCATGTCTTTGGTATTGTGAGTAGTGCCACAATAAACATACACATGTGTGTGTCTTTATAATAGAATGATTTATATTCCGTTGGGTATGTACCCAATAATGGGATTGTTGGATTGAATAGTATTTCTATCTTTAGGTCTTTGAGGAATCGCCACACTGTCTTCCACAATGGTTGAACTAATTTACAATCCTACCAACAATGTAAAGCACTCCTTTTTCTCCACAAGCTTGCCAACATCTGTTATTGCTTGACTTTTTAATAATGGCCACTCTGACTGGTGTGAGATGGTGTCTCAAAGTGGTTTTGATTTGCATTTCTCTAATGATCAGTGATGTTGAGCTTTTTTTTCACATAACTGTTAACCATGTGTATGTCTTCTTCTGAGAAGTGTCTGCTCATGTCCTTTGCCCACTTTTTGATGGGGTTTTGGTTTTTTTCTTGTAAATTTAAATTCCTTATAGATACTGGATATTAGACCTTTGTCAGATGCATAGTCTGCAAAAATTTTATCCCATTCTGTAGGTTGTCTGTTTACTCAATAGAGTGGTTCTTAATCAGAGATACTCATTAGAATCACCCTAGCTTAAAACAGGAAAACATTCCTCGATCCCACTTCTGAATGTTTGTGTTGGTTAAGTCTGAATAGGATCTGGGAGTCTGTATTTTCTGAAGTTGCATAGAATGCATTCTCTTAGCATCTAGTACAGAGCTGCAAAGACCCTTTGTATTACTCTACCGTCCACTGTGTGTGATGTAATGGGAAAACACGTCATATTTACGTGAGCTTTCATGTTTCTGAGTCAGTTTGCTCTTCTGTAAAATGGGCCAAGTTGCAGAAATGGACTAGTTTTCCTAACCCAGTGTCCAAACATTGGCTATGACCAGGTGCCCAGTCTCCCCACATCCATGCATTCTCTCCCTAGCCCTCCAAAAAAGTGCATTGTGATTATGCCGATTGGAGAGACATCACTATTCTTCAGATCTTTGCCTTTCCTCAGTAATCACTTATAATATAGTGAGGTCCTTGCCAGAATTAACTTGGTCCTTTCCCTAAGGTTTGTAAGTGTTAGGAAATTGAGCCTCTCTCATTTCGTAGTCTAAGAAGTAGCAAATAAGTCTCAAAACAGTGCTCAATCAGGTCACTAATTATTTAATGATTTGGGAATCAGAGACTTCTCAAAGGAATAATTAAATCTGTTCACAGTAGGAGAAAAGTAACATACGGATATAAGTGTTTTTGTTTACTTTTATTAAGAAAAGAGACTACTAGAAGAAAGACTCCCTGAAAAGACATCGAACCTCTGAACACTCAGGGTAGACAGTCTCTTGGGGAACACCCAACTGACATCTTCTCAAACGTGACAGCCCATCCTTCTGCTAAAACTGGCCACCTCTGTTAAGCTCCAATCGTTCCCTGCCTCCCCTTAACTCTCTTTACCTGACACCTTCCTCCACGCCCTTCAAGAGGAAATCAAAGGTCGGCTTCTGTGTGGTGTCTCCACCTCTTCTCCACATTTTGATCCTGCCTCTCAGGCTCACTTATACTGTAAATATCTGTCTTTCCCTTAAAGTGTGAGCTCCCTGGAGAGGGGACTCTGGCTCACTCAAAGTAGCTTGAATATCTGAATGAACTAGTTAGTGACACAAGATTAATATACAAATAGAATTTTCCTTATCTGCAGGGAATACGGGTGGTCACTTAAGGAGTATGTGTTGCAACACATCAGAGCTCCCCCACATCCCATATATCAGCCAAGCAGATATTTAATTTTGCCAATAATTTATTTCATCGGCTTAAATATTGTCCATGCCTAAGGGCCTCTTTGAAAATATGAACCTCCCTAGGCAGGGTGGACCACTCCCCTTAAAATAAATGTGATAGCAAAATATTTTCTTCCTAGGCAAGAAGGTTTCAGAATTGATTTGGAAATCAGAGATTTCTCAAAGGAATAATTAAATCTGTTCACAGTAGGAGAAAAGTAACATATGGATATTAGTGATTTCGTTTACTTTTATTAAGAAAAGAGACTATTAGAACCATGCCCTGGGAACTCAGGGTGTAAAAGACAGTGTCACCTCACAATTCTGCAGAGGACGACCCCTAGGCAAAAATGTTCTACTAAATAGGACAGGTTTGAGTACAAGGGAGCACTGGATGATGAACTAGTAGAATGTCCAAGTTGGAAGAAAATCCAACCCTTCCTTTTGTAGAAGCAGCAGCAGAGGCCAGGGGCGGGAAAGGTTCTTGGCCAAGGTCAGTGTGGGGACTTCACAATCCAAGTGCAAAATGGCTTCAGTAGTGACATAAACAATGCCCTTGTGCAGTCCCCTGTGCAGTTGTCAAGGCCACACTCCCCAAAGCCAGAGCTTTGCTCAGCACTCAGCTGGCTGCATGTCAAAGTCCTCAAGGGCTCTTTTTTTCAAAACAAGTGGACTGTATTTTGAACACAAACCTGCATATTTATCAAGTGTTTGAAGGTGATTCTGAAGCATAGGCAGGTTTGGGAAGTACCTGTGTAGGTTATCAGGGTTGTTCGTGTAGATAAGCATAGAGGGCTTTTAGTGCTAAATAAAATAAGACCTTAGATATAGTCTGAATCCTCATATTTTCTTCTTTTTTAATTCCAGGAAAGTTGTACGTTACTAACCACAATCTACTTTCTGAAATAAGTACAGAAGCCAAAAAAAAAAAGAGAGAATAAAAACAAAAACAAAAAAACAGACTATATAAGAAAAAATAAGCTTACTAATACTAATACATCTTATTATTCATGACCCTTGAGGGAGAAAACTAGACCTACAGAAGTCAGTGAATTTTCTCAAAGTCACATAGGTCTTTTGCGGCAGAGCTGGGACTGGATCTGGTCTTTCTATTACCACTCCCTGAAACACACAGGTCTGCAAAATATGAAGGAAAAGGCTGTTGGGAAAAAGACCACACTGTTCCCACTGGTTAGCACTGGAGACTGGGATGACTGCCCTGGGCAGGAGTAGACTTTTCTTTTATGCCCATCTGTGTAGTTGGAATTTCTTCCAGTTATACGCAACACAGAAGACAGGATTACCTGAAAATCCTGCCACTTCAAGACCTTTACAGTGCTGTTTAGTATATTACAAACATCCCTTTCAAGACTGAGCTGAGCTTGCAGGAATAAAAGGGGAAAGTAATCAGGTGCTAAGAATTAAAGGGGTACTGAAAACCAGAGCGGTTTTGCCTGTTGCCACAGCTGCCTTGGGGGCAGAGGCTGGAGGAATAAGTGAGCTCTCTCACACAAGCCAGGCTTGGGGAGGGCCGAATTCACCCAGGAGGAGATCAAGGACATGCATGGTTTCTGCTGAGGCTCTGGAGAGGAAAAAAAAAAAAAATCTCCCTAGAGAACTTGCAACTTGTAATTTATTAAAGTAGAAATTGTAGTTTACTCAGTAAAATTAGAAATTAGTCACAAAGGTATAACTTTTTTAAAAAAATCCCCTATGTTGGATATCCTATGTTCTCACTGATAAGTGGGAGCTAAGCTACGAGGATGCAAAGGCCTAAGAAGGACACAATGGACTTTGGGGACTCAAGGGAGAGGGTGGGAAGGGGGTGAGGGATAAAAGACTACAAATTGGGTTCAGTGTGTACTGTCCGGGGTATGGGTGCACCAAAATCTCACAAATCACCACTAAACAACTTACTCTTGTAACCAAACACCACCTGTTCCCCAAAAACCTACAGAAATAAAAAATTTAAAAAATCCTCTATGTGTGAAGATGAACAACTTATTAAGTAAGTCTTGGTTTTAAGGGGAAATCAAGTAAATTAATAGATGCTTATAGTTAAAGGATAATGATAACATTTATGTCAAAATATGTGGAACCGTATAAAAAGTAATATTACATAAAATTATAACTTTAAATATATTTAACAGAAAGTTTTTAAATGTTAGAAATTACAAGTTTAACTCAAGGGATTGGAAAAAGAGCAATAGAACAAGCCAGACAGGAAGAATGGGCAGTGCAAAGGCCCTGGGGAAGGAAGGCCAGCATGGCTGCAGCAGAGTAGAAGATGCAGAATGAAGGAGGAGTAGATGAAGTCAAGGACGTAAGAGGGCTCTGTCCACCGAGGACCAGATTATTCAGGAGTACATAGGCCATGAAAAGGAAACGGCTTTTAGTCCAAGTGATGTGTAGCCATTGAAGGGTTTTGACTCATATCTTGCATGAATCACTCTGTCTGCTGTGTTGAGATTCGCCTCTAAGAGGGCAAATATGGAAGTGAAGAGTCAGCGTGACTCTAAGGCTTTGGGTCACAGCAACCAGAAGGATGAACTGCCATTTACTAAGATGGGAAAGAGGCTGGGTACGATGGCTCATGCCTGTAATTCCGGCACTTTGGGAGGCCGAGGTAGGCAGATCACGAGGTCAGGAGATCGAGACCATCCTGGCCAACATGGTGAAACACCGTCTCTACTAAAATACAAAAAATTATCTGGGTTTGGTGGTGAGAGCCTGTACTCCCAGCTACTCCGGAGGCTGAGGCAGGGGAATTGCTTGAACCCGGCAGGCAGAGATTACAGTGAGCTGAGATTGTGCCACTGCACTCCAGTCTGGGTCTCAAAAACAAACAAATAAACAAACAAACAAAATAAACGGGAAAGACTGTGTGAAGAGCAGGTTTGGAAGGAGGAAAAGATCAGGGGTCCGGTGTGTGAGATGTGTCAATATTAGGCATCCAAGCAGTGGTTTCCATGGGCAGGAGGACATCATCACAGCTTGGAGCTCAAGGATTAGGTCTAGGCTGGAGATGTAAATGTGGCAGGAAAGGGAAAACAGGTGGTACGTAAAGCTGTGAGACTACTGTGAGTACTGTATCAAGTAAATACACAGAGAGAGAAGAAGCAAGGTCAAGGGCTGAACCCAAATGACCTCCAATGTTAAGAATACCAGGGAGAAATGAAGGAACCAGTAAAGATGATTAAGAAAGGCAGGCCAGTGGGGGCCGGGCCAGGTGGCTCACGCCTGTAACCCCAACACTTTGGGAGGCCGAGGTGGGTGGGCCACTTGAGGTTAGGAGGTGGAGACCAGCCTGGCCAACATGGTGAAACCGCTTCTCTATTAAAAATACAAAAATTAGCCAGGTGTAGTGGCGCATGCCTGTAATTCCAGCTACTCGGGAGGCTGAGGCAGGAGAATCGCTTGAACTCGCCAGGCAGAGGTTGCAGTGAGCCAAGATCACACCACTGCACTCCAGCCTGGGCGACAGAGTGAGACTCTGTCTCAAAAACAAAACAAAACAAAAAACAGAAAGGCAGACCAGCGGACTCAGAGCAAAGTACACCACTTCCTGGAAGTCAAGTGAAGAAAACATTTCTTAATTTTCATTTTAATTTTAATGGCTTTAATATGTTACCTTTCTATAGGATGTTTGCTCTTCTTTTTTGTTAATCTGTATCACTTTTATATATTTTTCTTTTGTTCCTACTTTACTTAGAGTTTTTATTTGAAATTACCACTGGATTTTATCAAAACCGTTTTTAGACCATGTCAATATTATTTCTGTTGATGTAATTTGTTGATGTAATACATTTTTTGCCAATAATTTCCTAATATTAACACCCTGGAATAAACTTTTTCTCATCGTAGTGTTTTATTATTTTAATGTACTATAGGGTTTGCTTGTCTAATATTTTATTTATAATCTTTACATGTATATCCTTGAGTAAATTTAAGTTATGTTAGGTTTTTTTTTCTCTGTCAGGTTTTGATATTAGAATTGTTGGCTTTTAAAATGAATTGAGAGCTTCCTTACTTTTTTCTTTTCTTTTCTTTTTTTGAGACAGAGTCTCACTCTGTCATTCAGGCTGAAGTGCAATGGTATGATCATAGCTCACTGCAGCCACAAACTCCCAGGCTCAAAGCCAACCGTCTGCCTCAGCCTCCCGAGTAACTGAAATTACTAGTCATAAACCACCATGCCCAGTAAATTTTCAAATTTTTTATAGAGGCAAGATCTCCCTGTGATGGCCAGGCTGGTCTTGAACTCCTAGATTCAAGGGATCCTCCTGCCTCAGCCTCCCAAAATGTTGGGATTACAGGTATGAGCCATCATGGCAGCCCATAGAGCTTTCTTTTTTATGAGCTGAAAGAAAGAGTTCAAACAATGTAGAAATTATTATTGCAAAACTAACCGAATTAGGTGCCTTCATTTTTCTTCAGTTATTTGTTCAACTTTTCTGTGTCCTTTTGAGAAAATTTTATTAATTTGTTTATTCTTACAAAATGTTCCATTTCTTATTGGTTTCTATTTATATTTCTGGAGAGTTGTATGTAATAGTTTCTCACAGTTTTTCTTTTCTTTTTGAGATGGAGTCTCACTCTGTTGCCCTGGCTGGAGTACAGTGGCACGATCTTGGCTCACTGCAGCCTCCGCCTCGCAGGTTCAAGGGATTCTCCTGCCTCAGCTTCCCGAGTAGCTGGGATTACAGGCATGCGCCCCCACGCCTGGCTAATTTTTGTGTTTTTAGTGGAGATGGGGTTTCACCATGTTGGTCAGGCTGGTCTCGAACTCCTTACCTCAAGTTATCCACCCACCTCGGCCTCCCAAAGTACTGCGATTACAGGTGTGAGCCACCACACCTGGCTGATAGTTTCTCATAATGTTTCTAATCTTATTTGAATTTGTGGGCATATCTTTTCTCTTTCTCAATAGTGATATGTTTGTATTTGCTTTTTCACATTTTTCATTAATGAGATGTAATGGGAATTATCTATTTATGCAGACAAAAGAGATTTTGGTTCTATTACCCCTTTTACTATTTTTGTTTTCTTTATTTTTAATCAGTTCTGCCCTTTATCTTTTTAATTTCCTATACGTACTATCTTAATGTTTATTTTCAGTGTATTTTTCCAACTGTCTCAAGGGGCATACTTAATGTATTTTTAGTCTTCCTTTTTAAATAAAGCAGCAGATATAAATCTGAATCCACAACTCAGGCATGTAAGAAATATAATGATTTTAAAAATAAGTCAACTGAATTTCCATACCAAGCCTCCTTTCTACCAGGGAGCAGAATCTTAATCTTTGTTAATTTGGAGTCTTTCTCTTCCCAGGGTTGTCTAAGTTTTATAACTCTTTTCTTTTGTTTTTGAGACAGAGTCTCGCTCTGTCACCCAGGCTGGAGTGCAGTGGCGCGATCTCGGCTCACTGCAACCTCCGCCTTCCGGGTTCACGCCATTCTCCTGCCTCAGCCTCCCGAGTAGCTGGGACGACAGGCGCCCGCCACCACATCTGGCTAATTTTTTGTATTTTTAGTAGAGATGGGGTTTCACCATGTTAGCCAGGATGGTCTCCATCTCCTGACCTCGCGATCCACCCACCTTGGCCTCCCAAAGTACTAGAATTACAAGCGTGAGCCACCGTGCCCGGCCTAGAACTCTTACATCATTAAAGTTGACAATCGTATGGTTCTCAGTGGAATCTCACCCTGCAGTCATCAATGGATGTAGAATTTCAGGCTTACTCTTATTTCATTTCAGCATATTGGAGACCATGAATTCAGGTCTCAAACCGTGGAAGGCTGGCTTGCAGTTGTGAATTACCAGGAAGATTTTGTTTGTTTGTTTGCTTCCAATGAGAATCAAGATCAAGAGAGGCAAGCTCCTTCCTCTTGCGTACTGCATAATAGGTTTATTCTTCAGCATTACACGGAGAATGTAGCCTTTTAAGGTCCCTGGCCCCTGCTTTATACAGGAATCTCCTTTAGGACTTCTGATCTCAGGGAGGCTCTGGGGTTATTGGCCTGCAGGAGCCCTCAGATGGCTCTTTAAGCTCTCCAGCGTTCAGCCCCACTGCCTAAGGCTGTTGTTTTCCTCTTGTTTTAGGCCTCTGTGGAATTCTTATTTTCAAATTGTGAGATTCATATAAAAACAAGTTTGTTGTTATTTTCATCAGGAGGGTTTTTCCAGGAATCCAGTCCATCATAAATTTCAGAAATAGAAATCTCACCCATCCCTTTAGTTTTTTCTGACTCTTGCAAACAATATATAACTAGATTTTGTTTCTGTTCCTTCCTAATGTGACACTTCATGTTTTAATAGAGAATTTACCCCATTCACGCTTTTTGGTGAAACAAGTTCAGTTTGATTATATTTAATGTTTATTACCTAAAGTTTAGAGTTGTTTCCTCTTGCCTGTTTTCCTTATTTTTGCTAGTTTGATATTTTTTCTTTTCACTCCCTTCTGCCTTCCTCCAGTTATAATTTCTATCACACCTCATCAACCATAGTGGTTATGTTATCATCTTGAATCTATGTGTAAACCTCAAACTTACTACTAGCATAAAAACTAATAATAAATATTAACTGTGCTCTTTTGCCAACATGTTTTACTCATCTGCAGTGCCATTTCCCCTACATCAATACAAGACCTTTGGATGTTCGTATTCTCAACTTGTAGCTCTCTCTGCTGCACCCAGCTGATATGGTTGGCTGTGTCCCCATCCACCCAAATCTCATCTTGAACTGTAGCTCCCATAATTCCCATGTGTCATGGGAGGGACCCAGTGGGAGGTAATTGAATCATGGGGGTGGGTCTTTCCCATGCTGTTCTCATGATAGTGAATAAGTCTCACGAGATCTGATGGTTGTATAAAGGCGAATTCCCCTACATAAGCTCTCTCTGCCTACTGCCATGTAAGATGTGACTTTGCCCTTCATTTGCCTTCCGCCATGATTGTGAGGCCTCCCCAGCCATGTGGAACTGTGAGTCAATTAAACCTAAATTACCCAGTCTTGGGTATGTCTTTATTAGCAGTGTGAGAACAGACTGAGGCACCACACTACCCCTATCTACCCACCCCCATTCTGGGATTTTTTCAGAGTCTTTTTTTTTTGTTTTTAATGGAGTCTCACTCTGTCACCCAACTGGCCCAATCTTGGCTCACTGCAACCTCTGTCTCCTGGGTTCAAGCAATTCTCCTGCCTCAGCTTCCCGAGAAGCTGGGATTACAGGCATGTGCCACCATGACCAGCTAATTTTTGCATTTTTAGTAGAGATGGGGTTTCACCATGTTGGCCAGGCTGGTCTCAAACCCCTGACCTCAAATGATCTGCCTACCTTGGCCTCCCAAAGTGCTAGGATTACAGGCGTGAGCTCCCACACCCAGCCAAGAGTTTTATTAGATAAAAGATAGTTTTGTTTGCTTGTTTGTTTGTTTCTTTAGTCTGTGTTTTTCTTATTACCCAAAGTTCATTGTTTACTTTAAAGTTTATTCTTGGTGTTGTATATTTTACGGGTTTTGACAAATGTGTAATGACATGTATTGACCACTAAAGTATCATACAGAATATTTTCATTGCTCTAAAAATCCATGCTCTGCCTGTTCATCCCTCCATCCCCCTGACAACTCCTGGAAACCACTGATCTTTTTACTATTTCCATAGTTTTGCCTTTTCCAGAGGACCATATACTTGCAATTATACAGTATGTAGCCTTTTCAGATTGGCTTGTTTCACTTAGTAATTCACATGTATTTAAGATCCCTCTTTATCTTTTCATGGCTTGGGACTCATTTTTTAAAATAGATTTTATTTTTTAGAGTGATTTGTAGATCCACAGCAAAATTGAGCAGAAGCTACGGAGATTTCCTATGGAAACCCTGCCCTCAGGGATGCATAGCCTGCCTGACTATCAAAATCCAGCACAAGAGTGGTCGTTATGTTACAATCAATGAGCCTACATGGACACATCACTCTCACCCAAAGTTTGTAGTTTACAGTAGTGTTCACTCTTGGTATTGTATTAAAGACATTGTATGGGTTGTGACAAATTAACAATGGCGTGCATCCGCCATTATAACATCATACAGAGGGGTTTCACTTCCTAAAAATCCCTCCTATTCTGCTTATTTATCCCTCTTTTTTTTTTTTTTTTTTTTTTTTTTGAGACAGAATCTCGCTCTGTCGCCCAGGCTGGAGTGCAGTGGCGCAATCTCGGCTCCCTGCAACCTCTGCCTTCCAGGTTCACTCCATTCTCCTGCCTCAGCCTCCTGAGTAGCTGGGACTACAGGCGCCTGCCACCACGCCCGGCTAATTTTTTGTGTTTTTAGTAGAGATGGGGTTTCACCATGTTAGCCAGGATGGTCTCGATCTCCTGACCTCGTGATCCGCCCACCTCAACCTCCCAAAGTGCTGGGATTACAGGCGTGAGCCACCGCGCCCAGCCCCTCTATCACCTTTAACCCATGGAAACCACTGATCCGTTTATACTACTGTTTCCACAGTTTTTTCTTTTCAAGAGTGTCATATAGTTGGATTCATACAGTACATACCCTTTCCAGACTGACACTTTTTACTTAGCAATATGTATTTACGTTTCCTCCATGTCTTTTCATGGCTTAATAGCTCACTTCTTTTCACTGCCGAGTAATATTTCATTGTGTGGATGTACCAATGTGTATTTATCCATTCACCTACTGAAGGTCCTATTTTTGCTTCCAACTTTTAGCAATTATAAATAAAGCTGCTATAAACATTCATCTGCAGGTTTTTTGGTGGACATAGTTTTCAATGTAGTGGTAACTTGTTTTAATTTGCAATTTCCTAACAACATATGATGTTTAATATCTTTTAATATGCTTATTTACCTTTATATCTTCTTTTCTTAATATCCTAAGGTGAAAGCTTAGATCATTAATTTTAAACTTTCGTTTTTTCTAATATATGCATTCAAGGCCATAAATTTCGCTGTAAGCACTGCTTTCACTGTACCCCACAAATTTTGGTAAGTTGTATTTCATTTTCATTTAGTTAGAAGTATTTTAAATTTTTTCTTGAGGATTTGTCCTTGACTCATGTGTTATTTAGAAGTATGTTGTTTAATTTCTAAGTGTTTTGAAACTTTTCAGCTATCTTTCTGTTACTGATTTTCAGTTTAATTCCATTGTGGTCAGAAGGAGAATATATTGTAAGATTTATGCTTTTACATTGATAATTTGTGTTTTGTAGCCCAGTATGTGGTTTACATTAGTGGATGTTCTATGTGAGCCTGAGAGGACTGTGTACTCTGCTCTTGTTGGATAAAGTAGTTGATAGATGTCAATTATATCCAGGTGATTGATTATGCTGTTGAGTTTGACTATGTCCTTACTGATGTTCTGTCTGCTGGATCTGTCCATTTATGATTGAAGAACGTCAAAATCTTCAACTGTAAGTATGAATTTATTGATTTCCCCTTGCAGTGCTATCATTAGGCTGGACTCTGGTAAAACAGCTTCTCTTGAGGGCAGGAGGCCTTGCTAACAACAATGCTTTGTTGGATTTCAAAATGGCGACCTCCCCTCACTTCCTAATGGAAGCATGAAGGGTTTTTCTTTGGTCTTCACTCTGAGAACCTGATAGAGCTCCTGATGTAAAACACACAGAAGTGTGAGAAGCCTTCCCATGGC
This sequence comes from Homo sapiens, assembly GCF_000001405.40. Taxonomy (NCBI): domain Eukaryota; kingdom Metazoa; phylum Chordata; class Mammalia; order Primates; family Hominidae; genus Homo; species Homo sapiens. The sequence continues at coordinate 19,255,513 of NC_000008.11, read as the reverse complement.
TGGGTCCCCTGCAGTTTCTAACTCTCAGACTTGTCCACATTAAGCTTCCTATAATTCATAAATTACAGTTCAGGTTTTTCGACCCCCGTACTGGGTCCAGTGAGGGTTTCTGCTCATGGGTTTCTGCTTCACTAAGTTGTGACTCTCTGTATCTAGCCTGTCTGTCTCTCCAATTTTGAGGAGAGTGGTTTGCCCTGAGAGCTCACTTTTCTAATGGATCTAAGAAAAGTTGTTGGTTTTCCAGTTTGCTTGGCTTTGTACTTGTTGTTGTGACGGAGTGATGACTTCTATACTACTTACATGCCCAACTGGAAACTGGAGGTCTCCTGTTCTTACTCTCCTAATACGTATGTTTAACATCAAGAAATTTTACAGTCATTTCTTTCGATGTAGCCACAGGTACTACAAAATTCAGTTCTCACCAGTGTTTCTTATACTGTTTTGCTTCTCTATTTTCTGATTTAAGATCTTTTATTCTGATTTTTTTGTGTCTTTGTGGTTAGGTTACTTCCTGAAGTGCTTTCTTTTCATAGGATATGTGGACGGTATGCTTTCTGAGAGCTCGAAAATGTGTAAATGTCAAGAATTATGTCTTCAGCATGCATAGGACTTTTCGATTAAGCACTGTTCCCTTGGTAGCCTAAAATGATTGCTCACTATCTATTAGCTGCTGATACTACAGAGGATAAGTTGAATCCACTTTTCTTTAGAGTATTCTGCTCTTTTTGGCCGGAAGTTTATACAATGCTTTTAAAACCAAAGAAGTTCAGAAATCTTGTATGTATCTTTCCCCCTCAATCCTACTTGAGACTCTGCTCCCATTCAATATAACTTTTTGTATTTTTATACTTGAGAACATTTTTTTTCTTATGTTTTCCTTTATTCTTACTTCTCTGTTTGTTCTGTTGGTTCCTGAAAATTTCATTTGCATAATAGTTTTCTTAGGTTTGCCTTCCAAGTCTTTCACAATTTCCCTCATGATTTGTAATTTTTGTTTGTTTTTACTCTGTGTTGTATGTTGAGAATTATTTATCCCTTTCAGTCTTGTGCCATCAATTTAGTTCTTACCACAACCATAAGTTTTTAGTTTCTAGTGAACTTTTAAATCCAAATTTGTACTTACAGTGAATCTTTTAAAGAAATCTAATTGCATCTATTTGAGATTCTTATTTTTATTAAATTTTCTTCTTTTTCAGTATTTTTGCAGTGAGATGCCCTCCGCCTTAGACTTTGCATTATCTACCACTGCATAATAAAGTACTCCAAAATATAATAGTTGGAAATACAAGCATTTCTTATCTTACAGTTTCTGTGGGTCAGGAACCTGAGAGTGGCTTAGCAGAGTGGTTCTGGTTTAAGATCTCTTACAGGCTACAGTCAAGATGCTGGCCAGGGCTGCAGTCATCTCAAAGCTATGGGAGAATCTATAGCCAAGCTCAGTCACGTGGCCTTCTCCACAGGACTGCCTCAGG